>NC_000001.11:181063374-181366405 GCF_000001405.40 Homo sapiens | reverse complement strand
GACTCTTACCTTGAGACAACTAGGTCTCGTGCAACCTGCAAAGCAAGTAAATCCAATCAGATTCTAGCACATTGCATTGCCTTGAGCCAGCGTCTGATACCATGGACCAAAGGCCATCACAGACCCCTGTAGCAAGAATAGGAGAGATGGAAGGAAGGATGCAACACCACAGAGGTCATGTGTGAGAGGTGCTTCAGTACTCTCCTCCAACCCTAAAATGGAAGGTGTCAGATAGGAATAGGCATTCAGAGAGGATAGTCAAATGAGAACCAGGTCCCCAAGGGGAGTCCTGTTCTCTGGAGGCCCCAGGCCCAGGTTCCATTCATCAGCCTTTCTCCACCTCTCCCCAGCCCACAGATGTAGAGTCAGAGTAACAGAACACCTCAAGTTCACAGGCTCTGGCAGGCCTTTGGTCCCCTGCAACATCTCCCCAGTTACAGCAGAAGGTCCCCAAGAACCATCTCACTTGTGCTCACCAGCCAGTTTGCACAGTACATCTGCCCTAATCCTCCTCTCTACCCTAGCCCCCTTGTCCACTTCCTCTGTGAGGATGCTGTAGCTACCAGCACTTCCATCATCTGCCTTAAAAGACTACCAACTGTGCCTAGGTGCCATTTCCTGCTAAACGTCAGGACACCAGAGCAGGTCCATGGCCCCAGCCACAGAGAAGAAGGCCTGTGCCCAACAAAGCAAATACAGCTCCTTGAACTTCTTGCTGGGATGCCCCTCCCTGTCCAGACCCTGGCTTCAGGTTAGAAAGGGAGAACAGTGTCTAAGGCAGCCACTGAACTGACCACCCCGGCCCAGGCCTCCCCTTGCTACTTTTTCAGTAGAACAACAACAAATCAAGCCAATAGGCTGCAGCTGCCCTGACCCCATCATCAGATTTACCCAACTGTCTCCGAATGCCAGGTAACCCTCAAAGGCTAGGATCGGCCAGGTGCAGTGACTCATGCCTGTAATCCCAGCAATTTGGGAGGTCAAGGCGGGAATATTGCTTGAGGCCTGAAGTTCAAGACCAGCCTGGGCAACGTAGCAGGACCCTGTCTTTACAAAATAAAAATTTTTAAATTAGCGAGGTGTGGTTGTACATGCCCATAGTCCCACCTACGTGGGAGGCTGAGGCAGAAGGATCACTTGAGCCTGGGAGGTTGAGGCAGCAGAGAGCCATGATCGCGTCACTGCACTCCCACCTGGGTGACAGAGTGAGACATTGATTCATAAAAATAAAAAATAAAAAAAAGCTAGGATTGCCATCCTGATAGCAGGCTGTCCTCACCTTCATTCACAGTCATGCACACTCACTGGGAGTGTTAACCAGCACTACCTCCCAAAGCACGTGCTCAGTGCTGCTACCCAGACATGTCCAGGGTGAATGAGACCTCCCAGGCCCCTCAATGGGACAGGGGTGGCTTGGCTAACGAACGCTTCCAAAGGCTTGTACAGAGGAAAGGCCAGGAAACCACTCATTCTCCCAGCAGCCCTGCTGGCAGGAAGGGGGCCATGGGCAGGGGAGCAGGAAAAGCCTCCTGCCCACTCCTATCAAAGCACCTGGCTTTCCCTGCAGAGGTGGAAGACTGGAGCCCAAGAGGATCCAAAGCAACTACTTTCTCCTCCCACACCCCATGGCACCCTCAAGGGAAAATTTGCTCCCCAGAACCACACTGTATTGTATATCGCCTCAACATGCTGCTCCACTCGGAATTCTGTCCCCTCCATGCCACTACATCAACTACCTGGGCACAGCTACTCACCAAGGACACAGCATCATTCTACCTTCCTTTGTCCAGATCTTCGTAATCTTTCTTGTAGCTTCCTGCAATTCAACCCCTGTGTTGAACCATCCATCCCTGTTATTTCTTCTGTATAAGATCTCTGAGGTCTGGCCTTCCAATCTGGCTCCTTCTGGGATAGCCTCCATCCCACCTCTGATCACAGTGATTCATTGTACAGAATGTTTACTGCGTGCCTGCCATGAGCCAGGCACTCCTGACCCACTCATGATGAATCGGTGAGGAAAACAGAGATCCTGCCCACACAGAGCTCACATTCTAAGGACAAGAGACAATTAACGACGGGCATCATAAACAAGTGTGGTGTAAAATACAATGGCTGCTGACCAGCACTATGGAAAAAGCTGGACAAAGGCGCTTAGGATGGTGAATAAAGAAGACACACAATGTAGAGTTCAATGGAAGAGTCAGGGAAGGCTTTGATGCAAAAGTGAAATCTGAGCAAAAACCTGAAGGAGGTAAGGGAGGGAGCCAATCAGAGTCACGGGGAATAAACATTCCAGGCAATCTGGAACAGCCATTACAAAGGCCCTAATGGGAAGGGCATGCCTAGCCTGACTTGCCTCCAGGCTCTACCACCTCCAGTCCCCGTGAATATCACTGTTGGTTTCATCTTTCTCTTTTCCATGTGCCAGTCACCTCCTCAGGAATTCATAAGGGCTTATGGTGAACAGAGGACCAAGTTCAGACTTCTAACTCTGGTGATGAAGACATCCCATACTCTGGCCCCACCTCTCCTATCCGTAGTGAAGTCTGTTGCTGCCCTTCCCAGAGCTCTCTCACCACTTCCATGCACCAAACCACAGCTTCTGCATGCCTTGTTTCTGATGGCTGGCACCTGCAACCTTATTGGGCTTGGCAACTTCCCACATCATCATGCAGAGAGCCAGAGACCAGGGGAGTCTCTTTCTGCCCTGCAGCAACCTATATAGCCAATGACTGATGGACAGGGTCCATGTCAACCACCCTTGCCTACTGGTTGACAAACTGTTTTGTGCAATTTATGCTCCAGAGCTCCCTGAGGGGTCAGGCTGAGGCTGGGATGTCACCTGAAATTGCACCCCTACTTGTTGTTCTCCTCACCTTGTCCTGCCCCTCTAGTCCCTTACCTCTGTCTCCTCGAAGCACTTCCTTGGTAAGTCATTTGCATATCAATCTTTATTTCGAGGTCTGCATTTAGGGATATGACCTAAAACACCATCCAAATTTAGTTTCCACTATTTTCAAACATGGATTCTCTACTTCCTTCCTTAGCCATGCTGGCTAGGACTATTTCTCTCCTCTGAGGTATTATAGTAATAGACATCCCACACGCGCATTTTGGCAGGTATTCACAAGCGGGTTTGTTTCTGGTTTTTGGTTTGTGTAATAGTTTTCCCATATCTACTTCTCATCTTCCTAATGAGATTGTGAGTACCCTTGAGAGCAGGGATGAGATTTTAGGCTTCTTTATAACCTTCAGCACCAGACTAGGCACAAAAATCTGCCCTCAAGACTTAGGGGATGGAATCAGAAATGATACAGGTCTATTTGTCCCCTGTAGATGGTCCCCCAGGGGGAACTATGTCCACAGAGCCCTTGAGGGCCTATATGGGGCATGATGTCAGACCTATGATGGGACATTTATGTCCTTTCACAGATACCTCCACCCTCTCTCCACGCCTCTTGTCTTCAGTAAACTTATAACGAGATCCTAAGGAGGACTCCCAGAGGGAGGGTTACAGCCTAGGGGTCAGGTCAGCCCAAGGCAAAACTGCAAACAAGTCTGTAAAACAGGAAAAGAGTCTGGTTTTCATTTCTCCCATCTCCTCTTTCACATTTGCTCCGGTTCCCCCGTTTCCCTTCCTTGATGTTTGTTTCTAAGTCTTATTCCCATCATATTTCACTCTAATTCCTACTGACATGAGGTCCCCAGCAAGCTGCCTCTGGGAGACATTTGTGTTTCCAAAGCATTGGCAAACTTTAGATAGTCAGGTATCCCAGGAGAATAATCCCTTACAGCATTTTACAGAGCTCACAGTATTTTCACATTCATCATTCCATTAGTTTCAAGCAACAAGCCTGTAAGATGTGTGAGGCAAACAGTATCATCATCTCTATTCTACAGACAAGGAAACTGAGGTCTGGAGAAGCTGAGTTCCTCACTGGAGACTACATACCTATGGACCGACAAAGCCAAGGCCAGATGAAGCCTGTATCCACGTGGGAAACAGCAACAAAGGCAAGAACTCATTCCCGTAATGAGGAGGTCTTGCTGCCATCCACAGCAGAAAGGACTCACACATACCAGTCCATTCTTCCATTTCTGCACCTACTAGGAAAACACAAGAGACTTTGGGCCTCCAGGGAGAAAGAGTCAGGAGTTTGACAGACACAGAGCTGTGTGCTCATGATTGGGACAAAGCACTTCTCCTTTTGGGCTCTGATGAGGAAGGATTGGAAGTTGCTGGAGAAAACAGCTGGATCAGAAGTTGCTGGAAAAAGGTCCATTAAGGTTCATTTAATACCTACTGGATGCCAGATGCTTCAAAATAGTCCTATGAAGGAGGTAATATTAGCCCCATTTTACAGATGAGGAAACAAGCTCGGAGAAGGCAAATGACTAGCTCAAGACTGCAACCTAGTAATTATAATCAATGTGATAGCCATTTAATGAGCTCCTGCTATGTGCCACATACTATGCTGAGTAGTATGTACACTTAACAAATCTAATAATCATTAATGTCTAGACTGGAGAGGCTGTATAAGCTAAGGAATCATACCACCATTTATAGATGTGGAAACTGAGTCTTGTTAAGTAATTTGCCCAAAGCTATTCAGCTTGTAGATATCAGAACCATCCAGGGGACTTAAAGATCAAGTCTAATCCCCTTCCCCCTTACATCCTCAGATACAAACAGAGCAGTGACAGTCACAGGCAGAACTTGGGGCACCAAGGCAGACACCTGTAGGAGGGGAACAGGTTGAGGAAGAAAGGCTTGCAGGAGAGGTGGGAAGAGAATAAACAGCTGCCTCAATGGGGTGACTATGGGGGCATGAAAAGGCCCCTTTTCATGTTGCCTCTGCCCAGGGCCAGCCCTCTAGCAACCACTCCATCTTCTTCTAACAATAATCTGGGAGTTTTCCCAGTGAGTCATGGGAAAAGGAGTCTAGCAGCCAAATCTCCTGCCTTGTGAAACCTCTGAGACCTTCCCTGCTACATCCAGGAAAGGGGTCCCTGCCCAAAGTAGAAGACTGAGCCACATATGGTAGTAGAACAATATTTTTAAATATTAACCATTTTAAATACTTCCAAGCCCACCTCCATATTTCCCTATGCTCCTCTGTCCTTCCCTCATTGAGTCTGCTTACGACAGTACATTGCCTCAGGGAAGGAAGACACAGAGGAGTTACAAAGGAAGAGAAAGAGTTAGATTTGGCTTTTGGGTCTTCAAAGCCCAGCCCTCAGAAAGGAGCAGAGAGGATTCAGTGTCTAGGCCACAGATTGAGGAGACCACATGAAGAAGGCTCTCAGAGTGGTGAGTGGTGAGGGTGACTGGGAGTGGTGAGATGCCACCTGTGAAGCAAGGAGTGGAAAGATGTACTAGGTCCCTAAGAAAGAGGAACCCTGTGTCCTGCCTCCCACCCTTCAAAGGTACTAGAGTCACTCTCCCCACAGGTTTAAGGGATCTGAGAGCACTGTGGGTCCTTGCCCGCTTTCCCAGGTAGAACCCTAGGGGGCAACAAGATCTTGGAAAAGATATAGTTGTAAAGGCTGAGCCACATATGGTAGTAGAACAATATTTTTGTAAAGGGTGTCCAGAAATATTTTGTAAAGGGTGTCCAGAAGATTGTGAGGGTTTTTTTCAGTACTCAAAATTGAAATATAATTCACTTAACATAAAATTCACCACCTTAAAGTGTACAATTCAGTGGTTTTTAGTATATTCACAACGTTTTACAACCATCACCACTATCTAATTCCAGAACATTTCCATTCCTCACCCTCTAAAAGAAAGCCCATACCTGTTGTACCCGTGAGTAGTCACTCCCAATTCTCCCCCACCCCTAGTCTCTGGTCTACAGATTTGCCTCTTCTGGACATTCCAAACAAACAGGATCATGCAGTATATGGCCATTATGTCTGGTTCCTTTCACCTAATATAATGTTTTCAAGGTTCATATCTATGATACAGTATGTATCTGTACTCCCTTCCTTTTTATGGCTAAATTCTTTGTATGGATATGACACATTTTGTTTATCCATTCATCAGCTAATGGGCATTGTGTTGTTTTCATTTTGGGGCTATTAGAAATCATGCTTCTATGAACAGGCATGTACCAGTTTTTGTGTGGTTATATGTTATTGGTTCTTTGGGGTATATGCCTCGGAGTGGAAGTGCTGGGTCATACGGTAACCCTATGTTTAACTTTTTGGGTAAACCCTATGTTTTTTAGGGTGAACCCTATGTTTAACTCTTTTCTGCTAAAGGCTGTACCAGAAATAGGGTTTAGATAGCCCTGTGGTGCTGCCCCTATGGCCCGAGGTGTCATGGAAGCAGCAAAACCCTTATGATTCCCGTGCACCAGAAGAGAGGGAGTCAGACCTAGAGCAGCCTTGCATTGAGAGAGGGAGAGTCAAAACTGCTCAGCAGTGAAAGTAAGGCTGGGCAGCAATGTAGACATTTCAGCAACTGCCAGTGTGAATTCATGACCGATGCTCCCCCATGCACCCCAAGTTAGCTACAATCGTAAGGAAAGGAGGTGATCCCAAATTCAGTGAGGTTAAGTTTCTTCTCTAGCAGAATAGGAATGTATTATAGAAATAAGTTGTATTATAGAAAAATAAATAAAATTACATTTCTTACACACCTAAATTTGTGACTAGAGATAAGTACCCACTACACAGTTTAATCTTAGAAACGTCTCAGAGAAAAGACCAGGGAAGCTCGGGAGGAATTTTAAAACCCCCTATCACCCACACTTCTGGGTGGATATCCAAACTAGCAGAGGAAGCACAGAGCCATAGAGTATCGGAACTACTTCTAGCTTCTTAGTGGGAGCAGAAGCCCACCCGCTTACAATGGCCTAGTGAACTCATTTAGCTGGTTTCAGCTTCCTCCCCAGCATCACCTCTCCCTTCAGCCACACTGGACTGCTTGCTAAGCCCCATATCCATGCCATGTTCAAACTTCTGTGGTTTTGCCCACGCTGTTTTTTTCTGCCTTCTCACCTTGTACACTAAAAAGATCATATGTTAAGGCCAAGTGCAAACGTCACTTTCTTCAGTGTGTCATTTCCGAACCCTCTCAGGTATAATTACTCCATCTCTCCCCTCTGTTCCCTTAGCATGCTGTACACTTTGCCTTGTACTTATTTGTTTATATGTCTCTGTCTCCTGTCCAAACTCCATGCCCCTCCCCCAGCTAAAGGACAGTGTCTTATATCAATATGATTGTACATGCTATGCATTTAGCACATACCCAGTGTTCCATAAATACCTGTTCAGTGAATGATCAGGCCAAGCCTCTATTTTACAAACAGGGAACTAAACCCAAGAAAGGTAAAGAATTTATCAAGGACTCCAACAGTTAGTGAGTGGCTAAGCCACTGATCAAACATAGCATACCCAAGGCACTTTCCAAGGAATGGCCAGAAGCTGCACCAAATAAACCTTCTGGTGTCATCCAAAATTCCTGTTAGTCCCACAACCACTCTCTGAGTTGCTGATAAAATGATAAAAGTAAGGAAATGTCATAAGTGAGGAACATGGCTGGCATATGCATTAGACTGGTATTTGAGGAAAAACATATGGGGGAAAATGTTACGGGGACATTATGTAGCATGCTGGGTGTACTTCTGAGGGAGGACAGTTTATAGAAGCCTGCTTTACATTGATGGGGAATGATAGTTCATTATGAATAAAGCAGAGCTAACACACAGCTCTGTGATGGCCAGATTCCACACTCACTAACACTCCTCCTGCAAAATCGAATATTCACATTCAACCCATTCCAAAACAGCAGCTGTCTAGGCTTCTCCAAGAAATCTCCATGCCTAGTTCCTCAGTTTATCAGAACACCAGCCACAATAAAGAAGCTCTTTATAATATCCAAAATATAAAATCTCTCCTGCAACCTAGTAAATTTTCATAAGATTATACATTGAATAAGATTTCACCAAATACTCTTTAAAATGTCTCTTTATACAGTAGAATAGAAATCAATACAAATCTCATTGTTGCATCTTCCAGCAAAACAAAACTGAGTGTGTGATCTTAAGCATGATTTCATACACTTCCAGGTTCCAAGCTAAGTCTCCAGAAAAAGGTCCTGACCAAGGAATAGGAGTAGTAGGTATAACTCACCTGCTCCAAACAAGAGAAAGACTACTGCTAGCCTGGTCCCCCTGAAATTAGAGGAGTGAAGACTGCTTAGGCCATTGTAGTGAGGAAGACCTGGCCCCTTCCACGTAGAGAGCTAGCTGTGGACCCGGCCTGGTGTGTTTGGGTAGGCAGCACTCCCCATTCTCCTGCAGGAGTTGTCAAACCCCTCTACTCTCCTCAGTCTCCATCCTACTGCCTCCCCTGACACTAGAAGAGGACCAAACCTCCCACTTTCTGACAGACAGAACGCTCCACCAGCAAATCTCTCACCTCCTTTTCATGGCAAATGTCATGAAAGGCTCCATCCTCCCTTTTCTCCACTCACCACGAATGAGCAGCAGAGAAACACCCCTCACTGGAGTAGAAGTGACCTCCTTGCCATCCTCATTCATGATGCTAAGAGGCAGAGATTCCAGGCATGGTGTTCAACTAGGGTAGGCACCAAGGGTACCTCAGGGGGCTGGATGTTCATGGCATCTAGATGTCAAATGTCATTCAGCTGTTTGGAGTTAATCTATATAGCTTTGAAACCCAAGAAAAACCAAATACCCTTTAGTTTGTCTAAATTGAACAGTGATGGTTTAGGCAGGGCTGAATTTTGCCAAAGAGCAAGGAGGAGGTTTTCTTTTGGTCACATACAGGCAATCCTATCTAGGACTTTTCATCATCAACTAACCCTGAACTCACAGAGGCTGCCTGGCAGCATCCTTTCTCTCAAAACAAGAAACAAATAAAAATAGGGAAACAAGAACAGGAGTCTGCTCACTACAAAGGGTGGTAGCCCAGAACAGGGGACAGAGGGTCCAGCCCTGTTCACTAGGTGACCTGAGAAGAGACTAACGCATCCATCTCCATTTTCTCATATGGAGATGGGAATAAATCATAGTTTGAATATTGAAAAATTCCCAAAATGCCCCCCTGAGGACTTCTAAACATGGCAATGGTGAGGCAACACCCATTCTGAGGGGTCTGAGCTGAGAACAGGAGTGGGAGCCACCTCCGCTGGAGGGGAGGAAGCTGACAACCCAGGCTTCCAGAGACCTGCCCCAGACCAGTGAGCCTCTGGGGCTGATCCAAGAGCAAGAACAAGAGCAAGAGAAAAGGCTCCTTTCCAGCAGTGGGTGGGGGAGGAAGCAGCAGGCAGGAGGGAGGAAGGGAGCGAATTCAATGGAAGCAATCACATTCGCTGCTAAAAAGGAGAAGAGGAAGCCCGAGAGAAGGCAGCTCCAATTAGTGGTAAAATAATCAGAAATGAACCGTCGTTTACCCAAGCACAACTTCTCTGTACCCTCTAGCTGAGCCTCTTTGCTGCCGTGGTTATATTTAGAATCCATTCGAGCAACCAGGTTATTTTGTCCACTGGAGCCAAAGAATACTCTAAAAGCTCCTACCAGGGCTCAGGAGAGTGGGGAGGAAGGGACTAGAGCATAGAGAAGCTAACCTCCCTGCACCTCACATCCCAGGACAAGGAAACTCCCAGGATACAACAGGAGCCCGCCCTGGTAGGAAGAGATGCACAGCAGTAGAGCCTGGAACAGCCTCCACCGCCGCAGCTTCCTCCAAGGTGGCAGAGAAGTTTCAACAAGGCTGAGGCCTGAAGAGCCTAAGTGCCCTTCAGAGCAGACCTGGCTCTCTTCTCCCTGAAGGCCTGCTGGCAGGCTGTGCAAAGGCAAGAGCATGTATGTCTTCTGGGAACAGCAGAGCCACAAGTGGGTCCAGCTGCTAAGGGACCAAGTCAAACCAAGAGTCTTTCTTGCATATTTGTGTCCCAAGTGTGAGGCATAAAATCTTATATTAAACTAGGGGAAGGGGAAATAGTATGGGTTAGATGCAGAGCAAACAGTTGATATAGGGACTATCTTCTAGAATCTCACAATCAACTTGAACACACACACACACACACACACGAATAGAAGGCAACAGCCAGGGAATACAGTGGCTGGAGAGAGTCCTGCTACTTTTCTTCTCCCCTGAGTCCTCGTGCTCCACTTCCTAAAAATTCAGAGAAAAATAACTCGGCTCCAAGTACCTCTAAGTCATCTAGAATATTCCTAATAAATCTGTCTTCAGGAGCACTTGTTGGCCAGTGAGCCTAGTCTAATGGAGCAGTTTTCATGTCTGCTACTGCAGGGCACCAGGCACTGTGATGGCCCTGAGTCAGGCTGTGAACCCTGGGAGGGGGTGCCTTTATGGTGTTGATGAAAATGTTTTAAAAAATGAGTATTTTTTGAGCCAAAAAAAATGAGCAAAAAAGGAAAACAGGAAATGAAACACTTAAAACAACTTTAATATTATATGAACTTTTGGATCACAAAGTAATATGCAAATTAATTGCCTTACAAATTGGGTCTTCATTCCCCATTGGTTTGCTGCACAGTCCCTGAGATGCTTCACTTTCCTGTCTAATGCCTCCACTCTCAGTATCTCCTCCTATCAATTCAGCTTTAACATCCCCTGTCCTCCAGTGACTGTCACACAGCTGCTGCTCTGTAAACAAGCATTGCAGTGCAAAGCTCTCTTTTAAAGGGGGCCTTTGCATATTTTTTTAAAATTATCAATAAAATGAGCACTTAATCATGGGACCTGGGCTAAGTACTTTGTACTCATTGTCTGGTTTGTTTTGTTTTGTTTTGTTTTGTTTTGTTTTGTTTTGTTTTGTTTGAGATGGAGTCTCACTCTGTCACCCAGACTGGGTTGTATTGGTGCGATTTCGGCTCACTGCAAACTCCCCATCCCGGGTTCAAGTGATTCTCCTGCCTTAGCCTCCCGAGTACCTGGGATTACAGGCACGTGCCATCATGCACTGCTATTTTTTGTATTTTTAGTAGAGACAGGGTTTTACCATGTTGGTCAAGCTGGTCTTAAACTCCTGACCTCAAGTGATCCACCTGCCTGGGCCTCCCAAAGTGCTGAGATTACAGACATGAGCCACCATGCCCGGCCTGTACTCATTGTCTAATGCAACCCTTATTGCCACCCTATGAGGGAGGTCTCATTATTTTTCCACATTTTTCTGATGAGGAAACTGGTGCTTAAAAGGATGAAGAGTTTGCTTTGGGTCTCCCAATTAGTTCACGGTGGGACCAGGATCCAAGGATCCAAACCCAGGCAAGCAGACGGGCCCCGCCTGGCTTAGGCAGCCCACTGGGCTCTTTCCCCAGGGACTATTTTATGTGTATTGAGAAATTTGCACCTTTCTCTGGGTTTTCTGGCAGTGGGGCTCAGCTTTCCTTGTGGGGCAGGCACCAGCAGGCTCTGCCTGTGTGCTGGCCCTCTTTGCTCTCATTGCACAATTGAACACAGCCTGAGTTCCTGCAAGTATTGCTAAGGTCCTTAACCTTGCTGGTTCATGTTACTCACTAGGCTTGGGGTGGGCCATTTTAATTTTCTGGTTTGGTTTCTTCATAGGCAAAATCCTCCTTTTTTGCCTCCCTCTCTTTTCCCCTTTCCACAGTGGAACTTGGCACCCTTGCCCTCACCCATTATCCCCCCAAACCCTCTCCTCCCTAAAACCTTCCCGGAACCAAGGCTCTACTGCCCTTTTCCCTGTCTCCCTCCATGAAAACTACTCTGCGGGTGGGAACTGTAGCAAGACCTGCAGCTCAGTGTCCCTCTGAAGGGATGGAGCCATGTGCACTGTGGGAAGGTGCAGACAACCTGAACCATAGAGAAGAATCTCTAATTAAGACCCTTCTAACCACAGGAAACTGGCACAGAAGGTATTGATTCTAACAAGGTGGACTCCACAGTGCCCCCCACACTGATCAACTGTGTAAGCCCATTCACTCATTTCTTCAGGTGTTCACTCAAGTCACCTTCTCAGCAGGCCATACCTGAGCACACTATTTAAAAGAGCAAGTCCTTCCTGCCACTCCTTGTCCTCAGCCCCAGATTTTCTCCATAGCAGGAGTCCACATCTAACATGCTGTAGATTTTACTTATTTATTTTGCTTATGATCTCTCTTGCTCTAGGCCCAGAATGTGCCTGGCTCACGATGGGTACCCGATACATATTGGTTTCATTCATTTATTCAAATGCTGATTGAGTGCCTACGATGTGGCAAGCACTGTTACAATAGACTGTTTAAAAAAAAAAAAAAAAAAGTCCTCTGCCCTTATTCAGCTGCCAGTCTGATATAGAGATAGATATTCAATGTAAATACTATATAAATAAAGTAAGATTCCAATTTGTGTGTCCCAGGGGAGGAACCGAGTCAGGCAGCAGGGCAATTAGACCACACTCAGAGAAGTGGCTGTTTACTAAAATGTGTGGAAACCTTTCTATTTTTAGCAACCCAGTATGGCAATACAGGTACATAGCAAATAATTATTAACTCTAACAGACAGGGAATCTCTTCAAATTCCTTGCCTGTGAGTAAGAATGGTCTTGCCTTTTACAACCTTCCATTACCTTCCTTCCTCAGTGTGGTAGCCACAGATTTGTTAGCACTCCCTCTTTCAGGAGGTAGAATCTATCTATGTTCCCACTCATCCCTTGAATCTAGGTGGGTGGATCTGTGACTGCTTTAGCCAATGGGATGCATTGGGAAGAATGGTTTATTTACACTGTTAAACTCCCTCAGAACCCATTTCCTTAATGCCTCATCCAAAGTGTCTAGCATGCATGGTTCACTGACATCTCTTCCCACCCCCATCCGTCACCCAACAGCATATTCATGCCAGACTACTAATGGTTCCCCAAACACATCATGCTCTCTCTCTCTCAAGAGCTTGTCAATGTTTTTTCCTACTATCTGGAATGTTCCCCTTTCATTTGGCTAAACCCAAGTTATCTTTCAGACTTCAGAGCAGATATGACTTCCTCCAGAAAGCCACCCTTGACTCTCAGCACTGGGTTTTGTGTTCTCAGATCCCCCTGCACTCAGGACTGAAGCACTCTGTAGTGATTGCCTATCACTTGTCTGTTTCTCCGACTGGACAAACTTGGGGACCAAGCCTGAACCATGTTTGTGGTATCCCCAGAGCCTGACCCACAGTAGGCCCCCATTAAATGCTGTGGGATATATAAATGGGCCCCTCAAAGGATCTCAGGGAGATGATGTCCTGCAGGCCCATCAGGGTTAGTGGAGAAGGTCATTGGTTCATCAGAAGCCAGGTAACCAGTCATCCCATTAATTCCCAATATGTGTGGGCAACGATCTGTGTTAGATACAGCAAATAGCAGCACAGCCAATAACAAGCAGCTGTCCAGAAGCTGGGGCAGCATGACTGAAGCCCACAGAGGCCACACTGAGTGGGCACTGAGGGTCAATCCAAATCCCTGACCTGCCCTCCCTCAGGTCAGAACTAGTTCACTAGTTCTTCCTGGAGCCGGCCCACTGCTCCTCTCTTGCAGCCCACACTAAGCCCTACTCCCCAGCCCAATCAGGGAGTCGATCTTATTTGAAAGGTCTCATCAACCTGAGTCCTGCACTGAGACAGATCAAAGAGACACTGGCACAGTCCCCCAGGCACTTACAGTCAAGAGCCCGCACCCTCCAATCACAACCACCACCTCCACCCACAAACCAGGCAAGCAATTTAGTTGATGTCTCCAAATTGCCTTGCCACTTCTCTGATCTATTTCTTTCCTCTCAGCACCTTAAGATGATCTAGACACTAACAAGTGGCAGAGGAGGCGGTGAAGAGAGAGACCAATGCATTAATTATTCAAATTTATTCTTGTTTAACTTCAGAAATAATAAAGAGAAATTCAATATTTCTAGAAAGACTGTCTAGGTAGGAGACCTTATGGCTTCTTTGACAGATCTAAGAAAAACAATATTCTTTGCTTATTTACTTGATCTTGTCTCATAATTATTTAACTCCATCAATTCTTAAAACCTACCAACAAGTAACTCAGAACTAAAGCCAGCCAAGGACCCTGTTATGCCAACGGAAGTACTCACCCCTCCCCACCCACTCTCACCCCCACTCACTTGGATGCCGTCATTTCCCACTGCTCTCCGCCCTTTTACTCCTGGTCAAAAGGCTTTTTATAAGAGTCAATGCTACTGAAAGGCCCAGGGCTTCTGCCACCCCAAACTTCTCATCCCTCTTTCCTGCTGATCAAATCCTCTCCTGGGAATGACAGGATTAAGATGTTATGAAAAATTAAAATATCACAGCTGGTGACATAATCAAGTATAGGCCTGTCACCTCCAGCTGATGGCAGGATTCTCTGATAGCATTTTACCAGAGCATATTGAATGTCCAGCACTATCTACTCCAGATGCTGCAAGTGCATGGACTATGCCCTCACTGTCCCCACTCACCTCCTCCTCCTCTTCCTTTTATCATCTCATCTGTGGCAGGCTGAATAACAGCCAACTATGCTCGCATTCCAGTCTCCAGAATCCATAAATGACCCTAATATAGCAAAAGAGACATTGCAGGCGTCATTGAGTTGAGGATCTTGAGATGGAGAGATTATCCTGGATTTATCTGGATGGGCCTAAATGCAATCACAAATATCCTTACGAGAGAGGCAGAGGGAGATATGACAACAGAGGAGGAGACAGCAATGTGACTGTGGAGGCAGACATGGGAGTGATGTGGTCACAGGCCAAGGAATGCCAGCAGCCACCAGAACCTGGGAAAGCCAAGGAACACATTCTCCTCTACAGCCCCCAGAGGGAGCTTGGCCCAGCTGACACCTTGACTTCAGCCCAGTGATACTAATTGAGGACATCTGGCCACCAGAACGGTGAGAGAACAAATTTCTGTTGCTGTCAGCCATGAAGTTTGTAGTAATTTGTTAGAGCAGACACAGGAAATGAATACAACATCCAAATCACTTTATCTCCATACCGGAAAACCAAAGTTCTGCCACTCTGGGGAACTTATGGCCATCTTCCTCCACCTCAGAGAGTCCAGGGTAGGACCATTCTTCTCCCCACCATATTCCGTGATACACTCATGGACTCTGAGCACTTCTTGAGCCGTGGGGCTACAGCCCTAGATGCTGAGGTGGCTGAGACTCAGCACATCCACTCCCCACTGTGTGAGCCACCTATCCTGCCTGGATCCCCCCACGGCTCAGGAGTAAGGAGCTCAGACCTACCCGTCCTCCTCAAGGTATTCCCAGCCCCAGCCACTGGCTCTATCTGCAATCCTGCTCCTACAGCTCTTCACATGGCTGGCTCCTTCTTTGGTCTAAACCTAAATGTCACCTCTGAAAGGGTCTTTTCCTAACCCAGTCTCCAAAAGAGTCCCCTCCTGTTTTTCTCTGCCTCTGTGTGTTTTCTTCATAGGACTTACCACCATTTATCATTGTTTTACTTATTTGCTCATTTACTTGTTTGCCTTTTTTCAGTTGCCTCCTCCCACCCAAAGCACAGGGACTGCATTTGTCTTGTTCACCCCTGCGCCCTCAGCACCAGCACAGTGCCTAGTAAATGGTGGGCACCCAACAAATACTTGCTCAATTAACTAATTAATCCCTTAACTATATAAGGTTGTAGGTGGGAAAAAATTGGGAGAATATGAGGCAAAGCAGGGTGGGCATTTCTGATGATTTCCAAGTTTGAGTCATGGGGCCACGACTCTGTTGAAACAGAGCCCCAGTCTGGGTGGAAATGCCTCCTGTAGGAGTGCTGACTAGAGTTACTTTGACCCCCAGGGGTCAAGGTTAGTGCAAGCACATGACCAATGCTGCCAAGGGACTCATTCCGTCTAACGTTGTCTCAGTCCTGGGCAAGCTGAGCTCTGCGAGTCCTTGTGAGGTTCCATTGGAGACGTGGAGCCAGCTGACACTCCCAAGTCTCCCACCCTTGGTTATAAAAGGAGAGAGGAGAGGAGAGGAAGCAGAAAAAGAGCAGGAGAAAAGAGGAGGGGTGCTTAAAGCCCCAGAGGAGCAGGGCTCCACTTGATCTCCTTTTTGCCCTGTTCTTGGGGAGCAGCTGCAGGAACCACCCAGCTCTGGATGACGGAGGGCTCTCAGTGCCAGGACACACATCCTCCGCGAAGGCTCCACGGGAGTGATTTCAGCCTGACTGATGACAGATCAAGAGAAGAAGAATATCACTTGCGTGAGTTTCCCAAAATTAAAATGGAGAACGGGGCCTTAGGGAAGGCTGCCTGCATAATTAAAGCATTAATTCAGGCTCTGGTTTGCTGAGAGCATCAGGCTCCTAAGAGCCCACTAAATTTCCCCCAATAAACACAAGCAGCTCCAAGGCAGCTTCCTGGCCAGGGTGCAGGGGTCACAGGGTGCAACACCCTTCCTCTCCACACTCAGGGACAGCAAAGTTGAGGAGGCGAGGTTCTTTACCCAGAATATCTCAGAAGTTGAGGCTGGATCAGGTCTGAAAGGCCAACTACACGCCAGGATACTGAGTGCAGAGAAGACAGTGACTTGCCTGGGGTCACACAGCTGTTGGTAAGAGTGGAGGCCAGAATTCAAATTTCCCAACTTTGCTCCTTTTCACATTTCTTGGAGGCTTGTCCACAATACCCCTATACACACACACAGCCCTGATTCCTCCCTACACAACCCTGAGTCCTCTCTACACAGCCCTGAGTCCTCCCTATGCAGCCTGGAGTCCTCCCTACACAGGCCTGAGTCCTCCCTACACAGCATGGAGTACTTCCTACACAGGCCTGTCTCAGTAACTCAGGCCCAGCCCCGCCTCTTGCTTTGCTGCAGGCACTCCCACCCTGGCAGCCCTCACCCCCTCACTGTCTCTCTCATTTCACCTTCCTTCGGGCTTCAGTTCAAGGTCTCCCTTCTCTATTGTCTTCCCTTTCAATGTCACTGCTTCATTCCCCTCTTTGAACTCCTCCAGCACTTGGGAGTTTTCATAGAACACAATTTAGCCCTGAAATGTACCCTGCCTCCCTTGGGGCAGGGCTGTTCTTCCCAACAAGACTGGGGCTCCCCGAGGCTTCCTCTCAAGTCTCCCCAGCCCAGTACACAGTGAGAGCAATCGCTGCCTGCTCCTTGGCAAGCCAAGATTTGAGTCCAGGTTTAGTTGACCTTTGTGGCCTTGGACAAGCCCCACAGGGGACCTGTGTTTCTGTCCCCACCCAAACAGACAACAGGCATCAACTCCACCAAGGGCCAATTTTATTCCACATTGTGATGCTTCCCTGCACCTTCTCTCTGTCCCATAACAGCAGCCCACCCAAGCCCGCCCCCTCCCTGCTCTTCCCGTGGGTCCCCAAGAGCTCCCCAAGGATGCTGCTGTCTGAGGAGCCCCCTGACTGCCTATTAATCAACCATTCTGCTGTCTCTGCCCAGGAGAATGGCATGGCTGGTGGGACAAGCACTGGATAGGGAGTTTCACGCTGGGTCCTGGGTTCCAGTCCTGCCCCTACCACTGTCTGGCTGTAGGACCTGGCCACATCCCATTGTGCCTTCACTGAAGGCTCTTCCTCTGTGAAATGAGGATATGAGAACTCACTGCTGCTCCCCACAGGCTCTACTGCCCAGTGCTCTCCTAAGTTGTAAGTAGACATCGATGTCTCCAGGCACAGATGCCCAGTAGAGCAGCTGAAAGCAGAATATGGCTTTCAAGGCTGGAGCATTTAAGAGGAGAAAGGAGAACTCACCCTTTTCCTGGACATCTGGCTTGGATCTCCTAGAAGAGAGTGTGCAGTAAATACTAAAAGGCACAAAAACCACTGAGGCAACAATACACCCACCCAACACATACACAGTTGATCACCACCTCACACAGCTTCCCAGGAGCACAGCAATGGTTAATGAGATCTGGAGACTCAGTGGCTTGTATCAAGGCTCATCACCAAGATGATAACAGCAGAACTGCCATTAGCAAACCATACTGACCCTCTAAGTCAGCTCCTCAGATCACTCACGCTTTCTTTGACTGTGAAATGGGGAATGCACTAGATGTGGGGAAGGGGAGGGAAAGGTGAGATGCAGACTCACAGAGACCTCAGGCTTGGAAGCTCTAAGTTTAGATGCGACCTGGTTTGATACCCTCCCCCATGCTGACCTTGGGCATGCTGACCAGCCCTGCTGACCCCCATGACAAAGCGTGCCCACATCTGGAATGAAATGACCCCCCATCTCAACTGCAAGTCCATCTGTCCACCGAGACCCCATCGAAGCTCCCAGGATAGCTCTGTGCTGAGCTGCAACTGGCATCAATACCACCCTCCATGAGACGCACGGCTTCAAGGAATGGGACTGAGTCTGTTGTCAGGATGTTCAGCTCCAACTGCTCACTTCAGGAACCAAGCCTGGGTGGAAGGTCTGGCCCTGGCTGCACTCCCAGAGAGGATCCTTTGTGTTCCTGGCTGTGAGCCGCCTCTGGATGGTGCCCCAAGGAGAGCTGCTGTGCAGCCTCAATAATTAACGCCTATGCAAATTGCCTTTTACACCTTCAACTGGGATATTGTTATTTCTTGATAAAAAGGGGAAATATTTACTGTCTTAGAGCACTTCTCACCAGAAGCCTGATAGGGCACAACACTCAGAAAAACTCCTCGTGGTGAAGGGGCTATCCCCCATCCCACCCAGCAGGCTGAGGCCCACTTGCTGTCACCAATTCCATCACCCACAATGGCTGACACAGTCATTGAGTTTAGACTGTCACAAGCCCCACAAATGACTGAAACACGCAACGTGAATAAAGGCCTGAGTCACAACAAACCCCGAGTCACTGGTGGAGGAGGAGTGGGTGCAGAGGCAGGCATGGGCCTTTCGAATGGGCGATCCCAGAGCCTGCAGGGTCTGGAGTTCAGGGTGGAGATGGAGGGAGGGGGCCCTGATGCTCTTTGGGCAAGAGCTTCTCTAGTAGGAATTCTATCTGCCTTGCTGTGCAGAAACAAGCTGCACATTGATTCATAGACAAAAACACCAAACCACCATCTGGGGATGGGAGGAAAAAAGAAAGACAGGGAAGGAAGAATATGCAGACAGATTTTGATTCTTCCATTGCCTGCTTTGTATCTCTTCAGCTTGGGAAGGTTCCTGGGACTTTCTGCCTCCATGAACAGTCATGCTTTACAGAAAATTAGACAAACCCTAAGAGAAATCAGGTTAGAAGCGAAACAAACCGTCTGTGGGACAAGCCTGTGGGAGGCTGCATTTCTGTGATCCTGGTGCGCATACAGTAGTGTGGTGGCCATTCTTCGAAGTGATGGGGGATGGCACGGGATCTGAATGCAGGAAGCGTGGTGAGTGAAGATTTCCTTGGTGCTAACAGGAAGGCAGTGCTGAGATGAGATGTTTTCATGAAAAGGCATGGTCCTCCGTGATTAGCCCAAGACTGTCAGTCAGTGACTGAGCACCTACTAGGTGCCTGGCTCTGCTCTCAGGAAGTTTTTAGAGGACTCTGCACCTCAGATGCAGGGCATGCTCTCCTCAAAACACACCACCCGGGGTTTGCTTCCATAGAGAGACTTCCTTATGGTCCAAGCAGTGGCCCCAAGGCAGGAGTCAGCAGCTACTTCGTCCCAGTATCTAAGAGGCAACCCAGGGAGGCTTGATGCCAGGTGCCTCCCTGTCCCTGCCCATGGTGCCTCCAATTCCCGTCATTAAAGATCCAGCCCTTTGCATGAAGGGAATGTGATCCCAAGAGCCTCTGGTTAAAAGGTAATAAAGGTAAAGACATTGACACACCTGAGATTGGCTGACTCCCCTTAGAGAAGGGTCCTAAGGGAATGGAACCCTGCCCCAGAGAATTGCCAGGAGGGACTGAGAAAAGGTAAAGTAACCTGAATTGATTAGGAAGAACAGGGACCTATAATGTAGCCTACAAGTGATGGGGAAGTGACAAGGTCTCAAAATAAATTCAGGCTGCGTCCACTGATGGCCTTCTCCCTTCCACTGGGGGCTGCCCACTGTACTGGCAACAAATCAGACAAAATCCCTATCCTTCTGTAGCCTGCATTCTCATGGAGATACAGACAATATGGGAAATGTTTTTAAAGTACAACAAATGGCACTTTACATGGTGATAAGGACTAAGGAGAAAAACTACAGCAGAGAAATGTATTGGAGAAAGTATGACCCAGGAAAATCTTCCAGAGAAAATGACTTTTGAGAAAAGATCTGAAAGGAGTTGGGGACAGAACTATGGAGACACCTAAGGAAGCACACAGAGAGAAGTTCTGGTGTGGGTGCCCTCCAGAGGGAACCCTCGGCCCTCGCTGACCTTCAGTGCCCCCCAGCACTCCTGCCGTCCTGCTGCGCCCCTTCAGCTGTGCAGGGGTCTCCATTCCACATCCTGCCAGAGCGTGACAGCCTTCAATCTTGCACGTCCGGTTGGCCATCTATGGCCTGCCCCTCAGAAACACCTGGTCCTGCCTGAGACAGAGCTGTGAGGAGACTACCCTGGACACGTTGTGGGGAGCTGAAGCTCACCCTCGGTGCCTGCAGCCCCTCCTTCCTGTGGCCACTCTCTCCCCTCCTCCCACAGTACTCAGTGATCCTGGAGCCCCGACTCCTGCCTCTGTCAGACGGTCCTTGGCCAGAAGGTAGAGCTAGGCACAAGCCTGGCTCAGCCACTCAAGAAGCGGGGAAATGAGCAAGTCATCTGCCCTTCCTGGGCCGCAGTTTGTGCATCTGTAAAATGAGGGTTGTTGGATAGCTCATCTCGAACACCTCTTCCAGTCCTCGATGAGCCCCGCTCTCCACTGAGAAGCCCAAACTTGCCAGCGTGTTCATCTATGTCTCCTCTCCGCCAGTAGACTGACCTGACATTCTAACAGCAGCCCTGCAGTCACACAGCCACATGCCCAAGAAAGACCCAAAGCCAGCAGACCCTGGGGAGTTATTTTAGGCCTAGAGCCTTCTCGGTAGCCACTCATGCCCCAGGCGCAGCCCCCTGGCCCCCCAACTCAGCAACTCGGCATGTGGCCACATTGAACCATAAGAAGAAATGCAGCAATTCCATGTGCAGCCAGCCCTTCATCCGCCAGTGTTTCCTGTCACTCAAATTCACACTGACTGTGAGATCATCTCACCCCAGGGTCTGTGGCACTCTTATTAGGAGGCTTTACAAGCAAATAGCTACCAGCACTCCAATGCAATCAGCATCAATCAGCACAGCCGATGACGGCTCACCCTGCAAAGCTGCTTCTCCCTGGCTTTGCCTTCCAAGGAGCAGAGCCCAGCTAGGTGTGCAGACCCTGCTGAAGGAGGCACCCAGGCTGCAGCTGAGGCAGGGGGCTTCTGGCGCTGGCACCTCTGTTGAGGTGGGTAACAGGGAGCTGGCTAAGACTGCAGGAGTCCTGCCTGCCCCACTCACTGTCTTTACCTCCAGGGTCTGGCCTGGATCACCCTTTTCTGACAGGCATGAAATTCAATGTATCATACCTTGGCCACCTAGGAATGGTGGGGCAGGGGAAGGGATGTGGCATAATTACAAGAATGGCCTCAGAGCTGGTTAGCTCCCTGGGCTAACCCAGCCAGTGTAAACCAGAGGCAACTGGGGCTTTGCCAGCAGGTAATTAAAAGAAAGACTTCAGGTTCCCAGGCCGATGGCCAGCCCGGGGGCCTCAGTGCTATCAGCCAAGAAAGGGCCCTCTATCTTGCACTCTGGGTGTTTCCTTTTCCACTAAGGACTCCTCCAACATTCATGTCAAGTGGAGGTGGGCTGTTAGGCAGGGATGATGCCACAGTGTAATTCCACTGTCCTTGCCAAGTGTGTCCCTAGGGCAAAGAGCATTTCCAGCTGCTCAGACCCCTGGTTTTCCCCTGAGGCAATTATTCAGTCATTTTTGTCTCTGAGGGTGGCAGAAAGGCTGAGTGTTGTTTCTCTTTCCTTGCCTCCTCCTTGGTGACCTTTCAAGACCCTGAGGCAGGAAAGCATCTGCCATCTCAGGAGACTTTAGAGACAGCACCAAACTTCCCATGTCCTCTCCCTGCCAAGGGTTTGCCTTAGCCTTTCAGCCCAAGACAGGATCCTTGTAGAAGTAGCAAGACCAAGCATGTTTTGGGTGGAGAGAAAGAGCAGTGCCTGGAATGCGTACGGAAGTACGTTTGATGTACTGATTTAGCAAGCAGTGTTAGTGGAAAGAGAGTTTGCCTGGACAGGTACATGCAGCTGCTTGGAATCCAGCTGTGAACAGGACCCAACTGTTGCCCTCAAGTAGCTTACAGTTGCACAGAGAAGATGGAAGTGAAGAGATTCTTCCAGAGCAGTGGGGTGACTGCTAGCTAACAGGAGAGCTAACTAAAAGGAAGTTTGAGAGAACACAGGAGGGTACCTGACTCTGTTTGTGGGGCTGAGAAAGGCTTCTTGGCAGGAACAACTTCCTGTGGAAACAGGTATGCAAGCTGATTGAAGGGTGAGCAAGAGTAGCCAGGTGAGGGGGGTAGGGACAAGGGAAGGGCCTGTTGTCCTTTTATATAGCCAGGGAGGGGAGAGGAGAAGCCGGGGAGGCAGACCACCCAGGCACAGGCTTGGGGCCACAATGAGGACTTTGTTTTCTATCCTTTGGGTGATAGGGACGATTCTGAGAGGAGACAGGGCATCACCAGGTTTCCTCTTTAGAGAGGTCATGGGAACCATGGGGCCAAGGATGCAAGGATGCAATGCAAGGGGCCAGGCTAGAGGCCAACTAGCCAGTCAGAAAGCTGTCGCCTCCTTGATTTCTCCACTTAAATGCATAATACACATCTGGGTTAGTCCATTTTTTGCATTGCTATAAAGAAACAGCTGAGGGTAATTTAAAAAGGAAAGAAGTTTATTTGGCTCATGATTCTGCACCCTGTACCTGAGGTATACCACCAGCATCTGCTTCTGGTGAGGGCTTCAGGAAGCTTACAGTCACGGTAGAAGGGAAAGGGGAAGCCAGTGCCTCATACGGCAAGAGAGGGAGCAAGGAGGGGAGAGGTGCCACAGTCACTTGGACAACCAGATCTCACGTGAACTAGTAGAGCAAGAACTCACTCATTATCATGAGGACAGCACTAAGCTGCTCATGAGGAATCGATCCTTATGACCCAAACATCTCCCCCTACGCCCACCTCCAGCACCGGAGGTCACATGGCAACATGAGATTTGGAGGGGATACCATCCAGCCCATATCAGCCTCTCAAACTTGACAGAACGAAAGCAGCATTCTTTCTCTCTCCCTCCAGCCTCCTCCACCCCAGTCTTCTCCTTGTCAGTGAATGGACCCTCATCTACCCAGTTGCTCAAGCCAAGTTCCAGGAGGCATCCTAACTGATGCCTCCCTCATCACCACCACCAACCACAGCCAATCTGTGGGCACGTCCTGTGGCTGTCACCACCAAAATACCTCCCAATATACCACCCCCTGTCCTGTGATTTTGGCAGCCCACTAAGGGATAGTCCTCTCCCCTGGCTCTTGATGCCCTGCCACCCATTTGTCACACAGCAGCCAAAGTGAGGTTTCTATACCTTTTTGTTGTGAATATATAAGCAGGAAAGTGTACAAAACAAAACCATACGAAGTGAGCACATGTGGAAGCACCCACAAGGTCAAGAAATAGAACATCACCAGTTCTACCCCGAAGCCCACTTTGTGTTCTCTATCAGTGGTCCTCTTTCTCTGCCAAAGACAACCACTATCCACGCTTTCGAGGTAAGCACTTCTTTGACTATTCTTATATTTTATCACCCAACCATGCATCCCTAAAAGCATCCAAACATGCATCCCTAAAAGCTCTAGTCTGGGTTTTGGCTGGAACTTGAAGTCTCCACAAATGGAATCAGACGGCAAGGATTCTGTTCTGTTGGGCTTCTTTCCCTCAGCATGATATTTAGGAAATTCATCCGTGTGTGTAGCCATAGTTTGTTCATTCTTATTGTCATATGACAATCTATTATTTATCCATTCTACTGTTGATGGGCATTTGAGTAATTCCCAGGGTTATTTTTTTTTTACTGTTATGAATGATGTTGCTACAAGCAGTTTGATATGTCTCTTGGTGCCAAAATAGTCTTAAACATAGATCAGAGCCTGTCACTCCTCTGCTTAAAATTCTCCAAAAATCATCTTATCATACTGAAAATCCAAATGCTTTATAAGGCTATGCTTCCTCCTCTGACCTCCTCTTCTTCCCCTTGTCCCCTTGCCCAGAGCACTAATGCCTCACCAGCCTCTGGAACATGCCACGCCTGCGTCAACCTCTGGGCCTTTGTACCTGCCCTTCCCTTTGCCTAGAATGCTCTTCTGCCAGGTCTTGACATAGTTGGCCCCTTCTTACCATTCAAGTCTAGAGTCAAATATCACTTCCTCAGACCACTCCCTTGACCACTTCATTTGGAAGACACTCCCAAATCTCCCTCTTCCACACACCCTTGTCCTGTTTCCTTCCAGGAACTTGTCACTGTGGGAAGCGTCTTATTTACTTGTCTAGTTACTTGCTTGTTGTTTATCTCCTCCCACCTTTATCTTGTTCACTGCTGCATTCTCAGCACCTGGAATCTTGTCAGATGCAGAGTGAGCATTCAATAAAACCTTTTTGAATGAATGGATGGATGGATGAATAAATGAATTCCCAGGAAAAATAGCCATGTAAGTAGTCCAGTGGCAGTTGGGAGAAGGGAGTAGAGTAGAGAGCAGTGAACATTTTTGAGAACAACCGAGAAAGAATAAAGGAAAGAAGAGAGGCAGGAGATTAACACTGATTGAAACTCTGTGCCCTGTGCCCTAGGCCAAGGGTTTCATGTTGGGCCCATGCAGGGCTGGTCTCTGGTGTGCTAGAGGGCTGTGTGCCCCTTGCAGGCTGGTTGAGCTGAAGCCCAGGAGAAGGTTCCCTGGGAGGCAGAGAACACTGAACCCTCTTCAGAGCACAGCCAACCCTTGCTAAAGTGGGAGAATAAGGGAGGCTGCCTTTAATCCTCGTCTAGACAAGGGAGGAGGAAGGTGGGGGTGTTTCATTATTCTCTAAGAAATCAAGGCAGCAGCATGAGACACTCTGGGTGTCAACCTGACAATGCAACCTCTAGGAATGACAAACTCTCCTCACTGCTGCTGCAGTAAACATCCAGAGAGCAGCAGAAGCCAGCACCAGACCTCAGTATCTTCCAGCCGGGCTGTGGGGCGTGCTCCAAGCATTTTGAAGCACTTCCCTGCACAGACCCAGAGCAGCAAGGCCAAGGCTTTGGGGAGGGAAGACTGGAATAGGAGCAATCATAAAAGGCAAGGCAGGAAGGTGCTCCTCTCGGAGGTGGACTAGGAGGGCAGGACCACCATCAGGACGCGGGAGTAACTTTAAGAACCTGGACTGGAAGGTAAGAGGCCTGAGTTCTTCCTGGTCCCTCCTTACCTGTGTGATCTCAGACGGGCTTCTTAATCTGCCAAGGGTCAATTACTTCCACTTCAAAATGGACACAAATAGACACCCTCTTTGTCAACATCTCAAGGTAATTGTAAGGATCAAATGGAATCACATATATAAAACAGTTTGTAGACAAATGTAAGATGATATTGATGGGCCTGAAACACACTCACTACTCAAAAAGTAAAAGCAGATAGTAAATCATCAGCCAAATTTGGAGTAAGTGGCAGGATTTGGGGGAATTTTTCCTTGAGGGACACTCATAACATCCTAGGCCAGGAGGGTAGAAACTAAGTTTCTATCAGCACAATAAGATCTCTACTAGTTAACAATGTGGAACCCTGTAATAAAAAATAAAAACAAAACCCTAGGAATGAATTTAATAAAAAATATGCAAGATGGATGAAGAAGCTTTTAATTTAAATACTATTTAAAGACACAAAAGAAGAACTTGAACAAGTGGAAAATCATACCACATTCATGAATAAAGAAATTTTATATCATAAAGACGTAAATTTATTCTCAAAAAAATTACCAATAAATTTTGTGGAGGAGCTAGGTAAGTTTAATTTAAAGATCATGTGGAAGAATAAATAAGTAATATTATCCCAAAAAATTCAAAAAAGAAATGTATCAAAAATGACTAGCCATACAACATATTAAGGCATATTATAAAATCGCATTAATTAAAACCTGTATTCTGGCATATGAATAAACAAATTAATCAACAGAATAAAATAGAAAATGCTGAAACAGATGCATATACCTATAAGAAATATTAAATTTGAGATCACTGAGGAAGAGATGAATAATTCAATAAATAGTATTGGGACAAGTGAGTAGACATGTAAAAAAAAATTATGTAGGATCCTTCCCCCAAGTCTTCTACCAAAATTAATTATCAATGAATCAAAGATTTAAATGTAAGAAATAAAGCCATGAAAAGTGCTAGAAGTAAAAAAAAAAAGTATAATTTTTGTGTTTGTGAAGGCCTTTGTAAGAATAATATAAAACCAAGACACAATAATAAAGAGACTGATACATTCAACTGTATGAAAGTGTAAAAACTGTCATAAAAACATAAACACCTTCAAAAGGCAAACTACAAACTAGGAAAACATTTTCTGAATTTACTACAAAAACATTTTCTGAATTACTACAAAAGTCTAATTTGCTTAATATACAAAATAGTCTACAAATTAATAGGAAACTGTGCAAAGGATATAAACAATCATTCACAGAAATGGAAATATAAATGGTTTTTAATAATTTTAAAGATGTGGAATCTCACAATAAGAGAAATGCATATTGAAACCAGGAGATACCATTTTTTATCTCTCAGATAGTCAAGAACAAAAATGTTTGGTAACACAGTATATTAGTAGGGAGGCAAGGAAATAGGTACTATGTCGGTAGATGAATAAACTCTACAATTTCCTTGGAAGGTTATTTGGGACTATATTGCAAAATTTTAAACTCATACCACAAAATGTGGTATGTACATACAATAGAATATTATTTAGCCTTAAAAAGGAAGGAAGTTCTGACACATGATATAACATGAATGAAGCCTGAAGACACTATGTTAAGTGAACAACAGTATCAAAAACAATAAAATACTCAGGAATAAATTTAACCAAGGAAGTGAAAGATCTGTGCACTAAAAACTATATAACATTGATTAAAGAAATTGAAAAAAAGGCATAAATAAATGGAAAGATTTCCCATGTTTCTGGGTTAGAAGAATTAATATTGTTAAAATGGTCACACTGCCCAACGTGATACACAGATTCAGCACAATCCCTATCAAAATTCCAATGGTACTTTTCACACAAATAAAAAAACAATTCTAAAATCTGTATGGAATCATATAAGATCCTGAATAGCCAAAGCAATCTTGAAAAAGAAAAATAAAGTTGGAAGCATCATACTTCCTGATTTCAAATTATATTACAAAATTATAATAATCAAAACAGACACATAGGCATAAAAACAGACACATAAACCAATGGAACAGAATAGAGAGCCTAGAAATAATTCGAAGCATAGACAGTCAACTAATTTTTGACAAGGCCACCAAGAATACATAATGGAGAGAGGACAGTCTCTTCAATTAATTGTGCTAGAAAAACTGTATATCCACAGGCAAAAAAAAATGAAACTGGACCCTTAATTTACACTATACACAAAAATCATCTCAAAATGGATTAAAGACCAAAACATAAGACCTGAAATCATAAAAATGCTGGGAAAAAAGAAATAAGGGAAAAGCTCTTTGATAGTGGCCTTGGCAATAATTTTTTGAATATCACACCAAAAGCTTAGGTAACAAAAGCAAAAATAAACAAGTGGTACTGCATCAAACTAAAAAGCTTCTGAACAGCAAAGGAAAATCCAACAAAATTAAAAGACAGCCTACTTATTGGTAGAAAATATTTGCAAACTACATATCTGACAAAGAGTTAATATTTAAAGTATATAAAGAACTCACACAACTTAGCCACAAAAAAAAAAAAAATGGGTAAATGACCTGAATAGACATTTTTCCAAAGAAGACACATAGATGGCCAAGAGGTGCATAAAAAGGTGCTCGACATCACTAATCATCAGGGAAATGCACATCAAAACCACAAAGGGGACCAGGTGCTGTGGCTCACTCCTGTAATCCCAGCATTTTGGGAGGCTGAGACGGGCAGATCACTTGAGGCAAGAGTTCAAGACCAGCCTGGCCAACATGGCGAAACTCCATCTCTACTAAAAATATATAAATTAGCCAGGTATAGTGGCGCACACCTGTAATCCCAGCTACTTGTTAGCCTGAGGCAGGAGAATCGCTTGAACCTGGGAGGCAGAGGTTGCAGTGAGCCAAGATCACGCCACCGCACTCCAGCCTGGGTGAGAGCACGAGACTCCATCTCACAAAAACAAACAAAAAAAAGCCCACAATGGGGTATAACCTTATACCTGTTAGTATGGCTATTAACAAAAAGACAAGAGACATGTGTTGGCAAGGGTGTAGAGAAAAGGAATGTCTTGTACATTGTTGGTAGGAATGTAAATTGGTACAATCATTATGGAAAACAGCATGGATGTTCCTCAAAAAAATTAAAAATAGAACTACCATATGATCCAGCAACGCTTCTGCTGGTTATATAGCCAAAAGAAATGAAATCAGTACCTTGTAGAGATATTTGCACTTTCATGTTCACTGTAGCATTATGCACAATAGTTAAGACAATGGAAACAACTTAAGTGTCTACCGATGGATGAGTGGATAAAGAAATTGTGATATATGTACAGAATGGAATACTACTCAGCCTTAAAAAATGAGATACTCTCATTTTAGACAACACGAATGAAACTGGAGGATGTTATAGTAGACAGAACCTAAACACAGAAAGAAAAGTACTGCATTATCTCACTTACATGTGGAATCTTTAAAAAGTCAAATATGTAGAAACAAAGAGTAAAATGGCGGTTAGGGGCAGGAAGGAGGAAGAAAAGTGGAGAAGTAGGTCAAAGGGTAAAAACTTGCAGCTATATAGATAGGATGAACACATCTACAGATCTTAAATGTACAGGGTTAGCGCTATAGTTAACAATATTGTATAGTACACTGAAATTTTGTTAAAAGGGTAGATTCTACCATCCTGGCTAACACAGTGAAACCCTGCCTCTACTAAAAAAAAATACAAAAAATTAGCCAGGCGTGGTGGCGGGCGCCTGTAGGCCCAGCTACTCGGGAGGCTGAGGCAGGAGAATGGCGTGAACCTGGGAGGAGGAGCTTGCAGTGAGCCGAGATCATGCCACTGCACTCCAGCCTGGGCGACAGAGTGAGACTCCATCTCAAAAAAAAAAAAAAGAGTAGATTCTAAGTGCTCCTACCACACAAAAAAGGAACTATGTATGGTGAAGAATATGTTAATTTGCTTGGCTGTAGTAATCATTTTACTATGTATGTGTATATCAAAACATGTAACACCTTAAATATATAAAATATAGATATAAAGAAAATTAAAATAAATATAGATATATAAATATCTATATTATATATTTTAATTTTCTTTGCATTATATCTATGTAATAGATATGACATTATATAGATGTAATATAAAGACAACTAAATTCCAAAATCACTTCCTACTTTAAGAAAAAAAGACATTATGCTAGATGAAATAAGCTGATCACAAAAGCACAAATACTGTAGGATGTTACTTATATGAGATACCCAGAGTAGTCAAATTCAGAGAGACAGAAAGTAGATTGGTGGTTGCCAAGGGCTGGGGGAGGGAGGAATGGGAAGTTAGTCTTTGATGGGTAAGCAGTCTAGTTTGGGAAGATGAAAAAGTTCTAGAAATGGAATGCAGTTGCAGTTGCACAACAATGTGAATTACTTAATGCCACTAAACTGTACACTTAAAAATGGCTAACATGATAAATTTTATGTCATATATATTTTACCACAATAAAATAAATACAGAGAAAAAAGAAACCATAAACAATACACAAAGAGTACGAATTCTAAAGTCAGCTGTGCTAGGCCTAAATCCTTGCTCCTTCCTTTAACAGCTATGTCACCTGAGACAAGGTACTTAACATTTCTAAGCCTCAGTTTCATCATCCACAAAACAGTAATAATATACTGCATTGAGTTGTTTTGAGGCACGTATAGGGCTTAGAGTAGTGCCTACCACATTATAAGAGCTTGATAAGTAGTACTTTCTTATTTATCATTATTATTAACAGTTATTGAACACCTCTAACATCTGGGCATTTTGCCAAGTACTAGGAATACAGAGATGAACAGGATGGGTTCCTGCCTTTAAGAATCTCACCACTTAGTAAATGGTCCCTTAACTGATTCTATCTTCACTCAAGCCCTCACTGTACGAGCAAATGTTGAAAAGTCACAATAGAAGTACCCATCAAGAGGAAAAACAGGAGACTCAACTAGATTGAAGGTCTAAAGTAAGTTCTATTGATTAGACCTGTCTGAAATAGAAGGGACTATCCTGAAAAGTAGTGAGGTCGTCTGGATAACCACTTATCAGGCATACTGCAGAGAAACTCAGAAGTTGGACTATGAGATCTCTATGGCCCCATATGGCTCAGACAGTCTGTGGTGCTCTAGGGTGGGGGCCAAGGACTGGACTATGAGCAACTTGGCTGCGGAAAGGCTCCAGGGTGTCAGCCTCACAGATACCTCTGCTTCATGACATCATCCAAATTCCCCCCAGCAGGAACCTGAAGTGTCCATATGTCAGGTGTGAATTCAAGTTCAAAATTACAGACATGATTTCCACATAGACGAATGGAGATGAACCAAGGCACAATGGTCCCTGGATGGCAGACAGAAGGGTAAAAAGGCCCAAAGAGAGGGCCACCACTGCCTTTTTCTGGGCCAGGGCATGCTCCAGGATGCAGGCCTTGGATTAAAACTACAGCAGCATGCACAGCTGAAAACCTGAAGACAATACCCCAAGGCCACCTGTGAATCCAAAGAGGGTATCCTACTCCCCAGATTCAGGACAGCACATCTAGGCCAGCAACCAGAGGAGTCTGAAAGCTTAGCATTTAAGGAAAAGAAAAACAGGTCTCTTTCTTGGAGGTTTGACAGTGTCCTGCACAGAGACAGAAGGAAAGACAAGACTCCCGTTTCAGTACTCCCGTTTCAGTCTTGGGACATTATGTGCAGTCAAGACTTCAACTGCAGCATCAACTTAGGGCTAAGGATAAGGAAGGGCAGGGCAATATTCCCTACATGGTCTGCAACCAGGCAGCTTTCCTGAGGGTCTCAGAGGAAAGACAGTGTGGATCCTGTTTGCTAGAGATCCTGACTTCCTTTCTGGAGGGCAGGGTTGGTAGGAATAGCAATGTGATCAGGGAAGGCCTCACTGATACAGTGACATTTGAGCAAAGACCTGAAGGTGGTGAGGGGCAAGCCATACAGAAACCTGGAGAAGAGCATGCCAGAGGGAAGAGCAAGTCTACAGGGCCAGAGGCGAAGTGTGCCCAGCACATGTGAGGCACAGCAAGGAACCTGTGCAACTGGAATAGAGAGAGATGGGGAGAGCTGTGGACAGTCCAGGGAGATAAGCGGTGGGCCAGCTCTCAGACCCTGCAGGGCTCCATAGGCCATTTTAAGGCTCTAACTTCTACTCTCAGTAAGATGGGAAGACACTGGATGGTTTCAGGCAGAGGAGTGAGACCCCCTGACTCAGCTTCTAAAGGATCCTTTGAGCTGCTGGGTTGAGAACACACTCCAGGTAGGGCAGCATGACCACCTGTGTCAGTTAGTGGTAGGCTGTGACAGTAGCTTGAACCAGGCTGGTAGCAGTGGAGGTGGTGAGAAGCAGATATATTTTGAAGACAGAGCCAACAGGATTTGCTGACAGATTGGATGTGGGGAGTGAAAGAGAGGTGTCAAGAATGATGCTGAGATTTTTTGGCCAGAGCTATTAGAAGGATGGTGTTGTCATTAACTGACATAGCGAAGATTGAAGAAGGAGCAAGAAGATCAAGAATTCATATTTAAATATGCACAGTTTGATGTGCCTGTCAGACATCCATGTGGATACCTCTCATAACAATTGGATGGACACGTGTAGCATTCAGGAAGAAGGCCAGCTATATGTTTAGAAGTCATCTATATTGGGTGGTATTTTAAATCTGGACCTTGGATAAGTGATTATAGATAAAGAAGAGGCCTTAGGACTGCACCCTGGGGTATCCAAGGCTCACAGCTGGTTGATGACAGAAAATTAACAAAGCCCTGGAAGGAGTTAGCAATGAACACGAGGAGAGGGCGTGTCCTGAAAGCCAGATGAAGAAGTGCCTGTCCATGTCAAGGACTCATTAGGTCAAGTATCTCAAGATGAAAACTGAGAGTTGACTGCTGGATTTAGCAATGGGAAGGCCATTTATGATCTTGGAAAGAAGAATTTTGGTGAAGTGAGGGGAGAGGAGAGCCTCATTAAAGAGGGTTCAAAAAGAATGGAAGTAGCCAAATAGTGCAAGGAAAGTTTCTCTTTATAAATGTATTCCAACTAAGAAATAAAGAAGGAATGGCTGGGCGTAGTGGCTCACGCCTGTAAATCCCAGCACTTTGGGAGGCCAAGGTGGGTGGATCAACTAAGTTCAGGAATTCAAGACCAGCCTGACCAACATGATGAAACCCCATATCTACTAAATACAAAAAATTAGCCGGGCGTGGTGGTACATGCCTGTAATCCCAGCTACTTAGGAGGCTGAGGCAAGAGAATCCCTTGAGCCTGGGAGGCAGAGGTTGCAGCAAGCCGAGATTGTGCCATTGCACTCCAACCTGGGTGACAGAGTGAGACTCCGTCTCAAAAAAAAAAAAGAAAGAAAAAGAAATGAAGAAGGAATGATGGATTAGAAAGCATCATTTTGTAAGCCCCTAATGAAACAAATGATCTCAGCAGGAGCTAGCAAACTATGGCCCTTGGGCTATATCTGGCTCACTTGCTTTTATAAATAAAGTTTTATTGGAACTCATCCATGCCCATTGAGTTATGTATTGGCTGTGGCTGCTTCTGAGCTACATTGGCAGGACTGAGTAGTTGAGACAGAGACCACATGGCCCACAGACTAAAATATTTACTGTCTGGCCCTTTGCAGAAAATGTTGCCAACCCTGATGTATGTAATGGGTGTGGGCTTGGAGGAAGTGAGACCCCAGAAGATGGGCACAGAGGAGAGGGCAGGGCAAGTCAGGAGGAGAAATAAAGTGAGTAAAGGCTGAGGCTTGTGAGGGGAAGCCTCTTCCACAGACTTCTAGTGTGTTCATGCCAGAAGGGACTGGGGACTGATGTAGTCCACCCTCCACTGCCTCACCGTGAATTGCTTCCTGTGGGCCTGCTCAGTGGCGTCTGGGCCCACAGCTGATGAAGGGAGCCCCTTTCCTTCAAGGTGTAGGTAGCATCCTCAGAGAGATCCAGTTAGCACACAGCGGATGGAAACACCCCTACCTGCATGACTCCCATACCACCAGATGTTTCCATGAGGGCAAGCCCTAGGCCTGCCTTTCCACCTAGTAGTATCTCTGTCCTCTGCATTCTGCATGGACCTCTTCTGGTTGACTCACGATGGATAGCCTTGATCGAGGGTGATCCACCCAGGCTACAAGTAGAATGACTTTTAGGAGACTGTGGGGTCCCAGATGTAATATCAGCATTTGGAGTGTGCATTTTATCAGTTTGAGTCCATAGCTTTCATCAGATTTTCAAAGGGTTCTATGACTACAAAGGTTAATAATCACCACACTCAAAGTTTAATAATTGTTTGATGTACTGGATTTAGGAGCAAGTCTGGGATATAATTACATCTGTCAAGTCTCCTTCAAAAGTCAATATGTGCTCCCCACCCACCAAACTAGAAGACTTTTTCTGGATCAATGAAAATAAGAATTAAAATTATTCAATGGCAGGCTGATAACAGTGCAAATCTCAAGAATCCTCTATGTTTATAGGCCGAACAAAAGAGCAAACTTATCAGGAGCTAGTTCCCATGTAATAGTTGATATTATACACACTTAACAAGCCATGAATACTTAGAAAATAAAAATGGGGTACAATTTGTATCTTTTAATTGAACTATGTTTCATTATCTCTTTTTTTTCCAACTTTTATTTTAAGCTCAGGGTAACATGTGCAGGATGTGCAGGTTTGTTACATAGGTAAATGTGTGCCATGGTGGTTTGCTGCACAGATTGTCCCATCACCTAGGTATTAAGCCCAACATCCATTAGCTATTCTTCCTGATGCTCTCCCTTCTCCCACTCCCCAGTCTTCGACAGGCCCCAGTGTGTGTTGCTCCCCTCAATGTGTCCATGTGTTCTCATCGTTCAGCTCCCACTTATAAGTGAGAACACGTAGTATTTGATTTTCTGTTCCTACGTTAGTTTGCTGAGGATAATGGCTTCTAGCTCCATTCATGTCCTTGCAAAGGACATGCTCTTGGTCCTTTTTATGGCTGCATAGTATTCCATAGTGTATATGTACCACATTTTCTTTATCTAGTCTATAATTGATGGGCATTTATGGTATTGATATAAGAACAGACACATAGACCAATGGAACAGAATAGAGAACCCAGAAATAAGACTGCACACCTATAATTATCTGATCTTCGACAAACCTGACAAAAACTAGCAATTGGGAAAGGATTCCCTATTTAATAAATAGTGCTAGGAGAACTGGCTAGCCACATGCAGAAAACTGAAACTGTTTCATTATCTTAATGGTTTGAATGACCTCTACAAATTAGCATCACCCGAGCCCTCACAACTTTACATGCTGTGATGGTTAATATTAGGTGTCAACTTGACTGGATTAAGGAATACCTAGAGAACTGGTAAAGCATTATTTTGGGGTGTGTCTTAACGGTGTTTCCAAAGGAGACTGGCGTGTGAGTCTGAGTGGAATAGGTGGGGAAAGCGTACCTTTAATGAGGTCAGGCACCATCCAATTAGCTGAAGGCTTGTATAGAACAAAAACAGAGGAAAGACCCTCTCCTGGAGCTGGGATACACTCTTCCTCCCCTCTCCTTGGACATCAGAACTCAGGGCTCTCCACTCTTTGGATTCCAGGACTTATACCAGCCACCGTCCTTCCAGGTTCTTAGGCCTTTGGACTGAGCCATGTTACTGGCATCTCAGGGTTCCCAGCTTACAAATGGCCTGTGATGGGCCTTCTCAGCCTCCGTAATCACGTAAGCCAGTTCCCCTAATAAATCCCCTAAAATAGGTAGATAGAAAGATATTGTCTATCTATCTATCTATCTATCTATCTCCTATTGATTCTCTCTCTGGGGAACCCTAACTAATACACTTCCCCACCACAGCCATGCCTGAAAGGATATGAGATCCAAGGCAATCTGCACCGTCTGCCTCCCACAAATACTTTATATGCTTGTTTAATCTACTTTTATTGGGCTTGAGGCTCTGAGATGCCATAAGACAGCAGATTAAGAGGGCCAGCCACAGGTACTATGGTGGTGCCCAGCTAGAGCTCTGCTTGCCACCCTGCCCTCCTCCCTTCCCACAAGAGCTCAGTACAATCCCTTGCTCTCAAACAAGCCCAGATCATCTCTAGCTAATATTTGTTGATTGTTTCTACTGATTCAATCTTTACACAAATCCTGTGAGGTTAGGTACTATTCCTACATACATCAAGGAAACTGAGACTCAAAGAAAATAAGTCACTGTATGGAGCCACTTAGCTAATAATTGGGAGAGCTAGGACCCAGTCTGAAATTTGTTCCTGTGAGCCCTGCCCTGCAGCACTGACTCCCTGGCTGCTTAGCTCTTGCTTTTCTGACACTACGTTGGACTCACCTGCCAATAGGAAATTCTGTCACAGGGACTTGGGCAGCTTTATGTTTCAGCAACAGAATTTCAGCAATGATTTCTCAGGTGCCAGCAGGCCTTGCCCCACCCAAGGGGGACAGAACATGACAGAATCTGGGGTCGGAGTTGTGGCAGCCACACACGGAACTCGGGCTGTGTTTGCCCCGTTCCCCAGGCACCTTCCCCAGGCTGACCCTCTGGCACTCTCCTCCACTTATGCCCAGCACAGCCAGCATCACCAAGACCCCTGTTTTGACATTTCTGAGGTGCTTCAGCCTATGGTTTCAGCCATAAGAAACTGGAGGCAGGCAGAGAAGAAGGGGAGAGGGGGCTGGGGGGAGGTGGCCATGGCAGGGAGGGGTGGTGGTGAAAGCCAGAGGAAGCAGGAATCAGAGCGAAATCAGGGTGCCGGGATGCCTTCATAGGTCAGGGGTGAGCTCAGGAAGGGGCCTCAGCTTCTCTGTCCAATCCAGGAACAGCTGATCAGCCCAATTCCTTTGAGACCCTGGGTCTTCAGTATGACAATATCCCCAAAATGAGGGCACAGAGAGCATGAGGCTGGTAAGGCAGCAAGGAATGTGCAGGGAGAAACAATGCTACGTCTTAGCTCACATGCTCAGAACCAGAGCAGCTTCAGTTCCTCCTGAGTCAGGGACTGGGAGGGGCAAATCCCTGCAAGACCCATTCTCCCCTACTCCCCTCCACTCCCTTGGACCTGTATCCATTCAACCAACAGTGATTGATATGCTGCTATATACCAAGCACTGTGCTGGGCTCTGAGACACAGCCATGAACAATGCAAACACAGTCCCAATCCTTAGGGAACTTTCTGCCTGGGAGACACAGATGCTAAACTAACAAGTAACTAAGTATACATACATGAACTGGGATGGGAGCTATAAAACTGTAGGATGCTATAAGAGAGTGTCATAGGGGAACATAAATTAGATGGGCTAGGGTGAGGGGTGGCAGTTGTCTGTGAGACAGAAGATCTCACTGAAGAAATGACAGTTAAATCAAGAACTGAACAATGAATAGGCACTAACCAGGTGAATGGGGAGTGAGAGGATGGGAGATTATGGGGAGAGGGAACAGCATGTGCAAAGGCCTGCAGTGAGAAAGAGTGTGGCGTGTTTTAAAAGAGACCAGAGTAGCTGGAAGCTGGTGGGTGATAGAGAGCAAAGTAGGCATTGAAGCTGTGGTGGGGTAGGGGCTGGAGCATGCAGGGCACAGAGACCATGGCTAAGATCTTGGAGTTCAAGCTGAAAAGTGGTATAATCATGTTTATGCTTCAAGATCATGCAGGCTTCCTTGTGGAGCTTGGAGCTCCACAAGGGGACCAGAGAGGAAGTGGAGAGATTGGTTAGGAGGCTGTTGTGGTTGTCCAAGGGAGAGATGAAGATGGTTTGGTCTTGGTAATGGCAGCAGAGCTGGAGAGAAGAAGACAAGGTCGAGACATATTGAGGGATAAGGTGGACAGGCTTTCATAATGGATCACCTACAGGAATACAGAGATGCAAGTATCAACAATGACTCCTGGACTTGCGGGTGGATGAAGACGCCACTCACCAAGACAAAGAAAGCTGGAGGAAAAACAGATTTGGAGGCAGAGATTAAGAGTTCACTGTGAGATGCCTCTGAGACCACCCAGTGGAAAGATTAAGAAAGCCATTGACTATAGAGGTCTAGAGCTTAGGAGAGAGGTCTGAGCTGGAAGTATAAATTTGGGAGTTGTGATAAATTCTTTGAGTAATGACACTATGGTGGCTGTGAGAATGTGCCTAGCAGACCTCTAGGAGTCACAGGACTCCCTTGATAGCCAACTTTGGCGTGAGGGCCTCCCAAAAGCCTTGCAATCCTCAGATTGCACAGCAGGCAGGGACCCTTGAACTCAACTTACCTTCCCTCAATCTGTCACTCAGGGTTAGACTTGCATGGTGGTCTGATGGCTTTTCTAGCCTTTCCCAACTCCTTCCCCATTACTCTCATCACTTTTCTCCTAATAAAAATCCATGTACATTTCACCCCATCTTGGTGGCTACTTCTCAGAGGACCCAGGCTAACACAAATCCCAATTTGTTCACATTTTCCTATATCCACGCCTTGGGTAGTCACTTCCTATACTGAATCTAGCTTGGCCATGTGACTTGCTTTAGGCAATGGAACAGTAGGAAATGTGACACAAGCAGAGAACTGAAAAAGGCTTGCTCACTGGGGCTTGCCCTCTCTCCTTGCTATTGTCTGAATGTTTGTATCCTCCCCAAATTCATATGTGGAAAGCTATTCACCATTGTAATGGTATTAGAAGGTGGGGCCTTTAGGAGGTGATTAGGTCATGAGGGTGGAGACCTCATGAATGGGATTAGTGCCCTTACAAAAGAGGCCCCAGAGAGCTCCTTACCTTTCCACCATGTGAGGACACAGCGAGAAGGCACCACCTATGAACCAGGAAACAGGCCCTTACCACGACTAAATCTGCCAGCACCTTGATATCAGACTTCCCAGCCTCCAGAACTGTGAACATCAAATTTCTGCTATTTAAGAGCCACCCAGCCTACAGTGTTGTGTTACAGCAGCTCAAACAAAGACACTTGCTTCTGAAACCTTCTGCAACTATGTGAAGACACCTGGGCTGGCCTCTCTGAGGACGTGAAATCGTGAAGAGAGAGGCTCCAGCATCCCAGCTGTCCCCCTGCCCCTGCCTCAGCTGATGACCCATAGATGTCAGTGAGGCCAAACCAGACCATCCAACTCCAGCCAGGCCAGCCTAGGACAAAGGAACCACCAGCCAACCCACAGAATTGTGAGAAATGCTAACTGTTGTTTTAGGCCTCTGAGATCGGAGGTGATTTATTATGCAGCAAAAGCTAACTGCTACAGGAGTGTGGGGCATAAAGATGATATTCAAAGCCATGGGACTCAGCTGGTCTGATCATGGATTTGTAGGTCCTGCCCTCATTCTCCCAACCCAGAACCTTTCCTAGAGTTCTTGCCATTAGCCAAAGCTCTTTCTGAACATTTATTTAGCACTTAACTGTGTTCTAGACAATATATTGAGGAGCTGTGGGTATACAGTGATAACTGAAATACAGTCTTCACCCTGGGGGGAAAGATGGGGGTTGGGGAGATCAGAGAAAACTCTTCTTTGATTTTCTATAAATTACAAATTGTTGGATATAAAGTTGGCAGGAATATGAAATCTGCCTGGATTCTTCCACTTCAGCTTCATGGCAACACTTTCTACACAGATATATATATACCACATACACACTCCGTAGTATTACTGCCTTCCGTCAACTCCCTGCTTTCTCTGAGAGGAGTTGGTGGGTACTCACTGTCACTTCAAAGTCAAGTGTTAAGGATCTTGTCAAAGTCATAGTTGGCGAGCACAATGACCCCATCATAGGGGAGATTGTACTGCAACAAAGGGAAGGAGAATCAGGATTTGCCAAAGGTTCCAGAGTAGCATCTTTACTTGTTTATATATTCAGTAAACTTATCAGTCACCTAAGGGCAAAGCATTGGAGACACATAGATAAAAGACACAATCCTCGCCATCAAGGATCTCAGCCTAGGAGAGGCTGACGGTTACAACACTACCTAAGGAGCACAGTGTCAGAGGTAAGCATGGGATGCCAAGGGAGTGCAAAGGAGAAGAACCCAGGACAGCCCAAAGGGATTGAGGAATCAGGATGAGCAACTGAGAGCCAGGCCCACGTGGGGTGGGTGAGGGCAGGTCAGGTGATGAACGTCAGGGCAAAAGGGAGGAACAAGAGTCACAAATGACTCCCAGATTTCTGTCTCGGGCAACAGGACGGAGGGCGGTACCATTTGCTGAAAGAGGCCATGTGAGAGGAGGACAAGATTTGGGAAATGAAGATGGGTTAGGTTTTAGACAAGGTGAGTTTGAGACACTATGATGTGCTGAAGTATAAACATCTAGTATTCAGTTGGAGAGAAATCTCAAACTCAAAAGAGAATCCTAGGTTAGAACAGAAATTTGGAAGTCACCAGCATACGAGCGGTGGCCAAGGCAAAGGGAGGGATGTGTGGACCATAAATAGCTGAAAGGGCCAGGGTGGACTGGGAAGCACCTGTGTTTAAGGATCAGTCACTCAGTCCCATCTGGAGGAGGAACTCAGCCAGAGCTAACCACAGGAGAAACTGCCAAGCAGTGGGAGCACCCATGAGACACCATAAGGTATCCAGGCCTCCTTCTCAGGGCTGTTCCGCTCTCCTCTCAGCAGTCTATTGTGAATGGCCAGGACAGGAATTAGCACTAAGAGCACCAAGATGTTACTGATTAGTAACAGATATCGTCAGAAATATTTGCATTTTAATTAGGGGTCCAAACCTCACAATAATTCTGGTTTCGAAGTCAAGACTGGATTCAAACTCAGGATCTACCACCTACTATGATCTCGGGTTCTGCAGGCCTTTCTGCTCATCTATAAAACAAGAATGACAATTCCTGTACCTCAAAAAGCTGTACATACAATATAACTAGTTTCTGGGGAGTTGTTAAACGACTTAGCATATGAAAAAATCGGAAATGAGGCGCTGGGGAAGGAGCTGGGATTGGCAGCGGCCTGGGTGTGGACAAATCCTCCAAGATTTAACTTCCAAGGAAACCGGCGGCGGAGCGGGTGGAGGAGGCGAGGATGTGTGGCCAGTGCACGCGGAGTGCAAGGCCGTCTAGTTGGGAGCCGCAAGAGCCTGCCTGGTGTGGCAGGCACACAGAACCCAATCCCTGTCTGTCCCCTGCGGCCTGGGAGGGGAGCGCCGGCCTCACCAGAGGAAGGAACAGGAAGGGAGGAGTTCCGAGAGGAAATAATTAGTGAAATATTTGCAGAAGATGCTGGGATGTGGATTTAATTCCGGATGGACAGTGGTGCTTCTGATTCCCTCAGTCTGTTTCCCCACCCACGATCTCCTATTTCCTTGGCCTAGACACACCAAAAATAATTCAATAAAATAAAAATAAAAATTTAAAAATAAATAAATAAATAAATAAAAATAAAAAACTAGTTTCTGGCACATGCTGGATGCTCCACACTCAGTTATCCTTCTAACAGGGGTTCCCAAACTAACGTGCATGAGACTCCCCTGGAGGGCTTGGCCCCGCCCCTAGAGTTTCTGATCCAGGATGTCTGGGACTGGGCATGAGAATTTGAATGCCTAAGAAGTTCTCGAGGGTGCTATGTGGCTGGTCCGGGAACCACACCTTGGGACAGGATGTTCTTCCTAAGGACCCCTCCCATGTGAGTGAATAAACACTCCATGTACCCCCAGACTGGTCTTGTGGCCCTGGGGAAGGGCCGTGAGGTCTGAGCTCTAGGGTCTAAGGGCAGGAAGCATGATAAACCCAAAGGGAAGTGAGGGGCAGGGACACACACACAGCCTTCTCCCTCAGCTGTCACACAAGATGTCTCAAAGGCTAGAAGTTGAGTGATTCACACCTCCGTGTTTGAACAACTGTGACTCACAGCTCTGGGTGCAGGAGGTGGGCTGTGTTGACTCAACTCTTCCGGCAGGCAGGTAGCAGGGAGAAGGGGAGCAGGTCTGCAAAGTCTCAGTCAGCAGTCCGCAGAGTGGACTGAGAGCCCCTCTGAGCACGATGGGCTGGAGAGAAGAGAGAGCTGTGGCAGCACTGGAGGAAGGCAAAGGCTATGAAGTCTGCATCCTGTGCAGCATGGGAAGAACAGCCACCCTCCCAGATGCAGGAGATGGAAGGAGGCCTGGACGTCTCTTCCCAATTCCTGCTAAGCTAACCTCTGTCCGCTCTGGGTTAAGAAGACCCTGAAAAGCAAGAAGAGCAACCTGGAACTTACTCAAGAACACTACTCCCTCAGTATTGCCTGTCCCTCTCCATCCCTCTGTACCCTGTAAACCCAGGGAACCTCCACTCTCCCGGGGCTTCATGGATGCAAACCTCCAGGAAAGCCCAGTAGTGGCAACAGTGGAAGGAACAGGATCTTCCTTCCACAAAGGCCTGTCCTAGGCATCATCTAATTTATTTCTTAAACATTTCCTTTGAACTCCCGATTTACATTTATAATTTAATTCATCCTACATTCAGTACTATGCTAGGTACTGAAACTGCAAATATTAATTAATCACAATGCTCAACCTCAGAGAATTTTGCTCAATGAGATATAAAATGTGCTGCATTCATTTCATAGTCTCAAACACTTCTGCATACAATTTAACTTATTCCTCATAATAGCCATAGAGAATCTGTGATATAGATCCTATTTCATTTTTATCATTCTGATCTTCGGCTTAAATATCACCTCCTCAGAAGCCTTCCCTGATGTTGCTATCTAAAGTGTGACCCTGTTACTGCCACATCACCCTCTATTAATTCTCCAAATGCCATTCATTACGGTCTGATTTTTTTTCTAAATCTACTTATCTATGTATGGTTTCTCTCTTCCTACAATATAATATAAATTCCACAACAGTATGATATCTGGCTGTCTCGTTCATTGCTCTATTCCCAGTATCCTAGTCAGTGCCTGGCCCAGAACAGGACCTCAGGACACATTTTCAGAAAGAGGGAAGAGGGGAAAGGTGAGTAGAAGAAAGGAAAGGGAAAGCAGGGAGAACTTAAGTGATTTTTCACCCAGTGACAGAACTGAGCTCACATAAGGGGCTTTGCCCCCCAAGCCCAGGCTCCTTCCTCTCCAGTCATCATGGGAGCTGCTCTGGACCAGGGCTCAGGTTCTGAGGTTGGAAGGCTGGCTTTCCTTGCCTGGATGAACCTAGGACTCTCAGACTTCAGCACCGAATAGCTCATTAACCCAGAGTCTGAGATCCAACAAAAAAAGAAGGCGGAAGTTGGATGTGTGTTTACCTGTCATTATGAATCCCTCACTAAGGAAAGGGTGGAACTTTTTTGTATTTAGGATCATTACTTTCAAGAAAACATCAATCAAGGACTAAATAAGTCAAGAGTAACTCAATTTACCTTCTTTTCAGAAGCAGAAATATAAAATGTTCCTCACAGCTTTTTAAATTAAGAACAAAGAATAAAATTCCTATTCAGTAAATATAGCAAACAAAAAAATCCTATTGTATGACTAGTAAAGGGTAAGAGAGGGAGAAAGATAATAGAAGAAGAGAGAGAAGGGAAGGGAGACAGAATCATATGACAGTCAATGATCCTAACATGGGAAGGGGCCTCAAGTGGCCATTGGCTCCAGTTCCCCTTCTCTGAAAGACAGTTCTGTGCCTGTGTATTAATAAGTGGAGACCCAGCAGGTTTAAGTGCTTTTCTTGTGGTCATATAGCTAGTATGGATTGGAACAAGACCAGATCCACTATGCCAGCGTCAGAGAATATATAATTTGATAAAAGAAATACTTTATTAAAGTACTGGACTTAGAGCTAGAAACCAATCACTTAAGAGAAAGAACCATGCATCTTTATTTTCTCATTCCTTCTGGAAAAAGCACATGTACACATTTGGTTCATGAGAAAGGGGAAGGAACCCCAAAAGGCACTTAAGAGAGGCATACACACAGATACTCTCTGCAAGACAGCAAGGCACAGAGAACTACTTTGATACCAAGTTGCATTTTTGCAACTACAGTGATATTTTCATCAATAAGAGGTGTGGCCATCGGTGCAGCCCTAGATTTTTTTACCCAGGTTAGAAATTATATGAAAACTCACAGGGACGGATGCACTCCCGTGCCATACGCAGTTGTGCCCAAGACAGCATCACACCTTCATCCTGGTGCTCCCAGGGGCTGTGCCCTCCCTCAGCCCCATTCAGCTGCTGCTGTCACTACCAATCCTGTACTGAGAATCTAGAGCACTCTCTCTTCACCCCAAGCCCAGACTAGTGTTTATGGAGGAAATTTTATTTTTCAACTGTCATCCACATAGTTACAAAGGCCCTGTGATTCAGAGACTGAATCTGCCACAGCAATAACACATGAACATAAACGGGAAGGCCTTTCCTTGGAGGAGCCCCATTCTATAACCTCATTCAGTGCAGTTACCCCCAAGTCCATGCATGTATTGCAGACAATAGAACCTTCTTGAATCCTCATGTCAGGGATGAGGATGACATTCATAACACCAGTTTTCCAGGTTACAATGAGAAAGGTACCACACATCTTCGCTTCTGCCAGGAAGGTACTTTATTTGCACATAAACAACTCTAACTATTTGTTACAACTGTTTGTAAAAATGGTTTTGCAAGGGGCTTTTTGGTTCTGAATGGCTTTATAGTTTGTAACATGTATACTTGGTCCAATGGCCTAGTTCCAGGCTCTCCCCACACTGTCAGCACCAGGAGGACAAAGACCATGTCTCTCCTTCTCCCTTTGTCCTATCTCTCACCCCCACCCTCTTCCCCCACTGCTCAGATAATCATTCAGGGCATATTGTAGATGGTTGTTAGTATACTATTGTATTTCCTGCTTTTCCCAATTCTCCCTCACTTGTTGGGAATGCAAAGTAATATATGCCAGCATCTCATCTACTCATCCCTGACCAGCTGAGCTACCCAATTTTTCCAGACCAGAACTGGGCTGAGGCCTGCCTATAGGAGACCAAGGGCAGTCGCTGCTCCACCCAGAAGGTTTCTTCCATGGCCCTCCATCTAACTCCTGTCCATAAGCCCCATCTGCCCCGCCTACCCTCCCCCAGTAGAAGGGAAGAGAAAAGGCGTGGTTCTGCCTCAGATTTACAGAGCACAGAGCAGAAAGCCACCCTGAATTGTGGGACTGCTGAAGCTAGAAAATATCCCAACCTTCATTTTCAGACAAGTTAAATGAGGCCCAACTAGGTTACCGATTTGCACAAGGTCACATGGCTTCTTAGAGAGGCTGAGTTGGGTAGAAATGAAGTCTCCCACGCAGTACTCTTTAACTACCCTATCCTGACCCAATCTCCGTCCTGCCTCCTTTCCCCCCAGCCATGCTGTTCTTGGTCTGGTAAATTATTGTGCTGCAGGGTAAGTGGGAATGACAATGCCTAGAATTATCTACATGAGCCTCTATTTTTGCCTTTATGATAGAGAGGATCTGAGGGACCCAACCAACACACTATCAACTAGTGATGGTCTGGTTCCCCTACTAGTCTACAGAACTATTTCTGGGGAAGCCAAGGAGTGAGAAGGCCTTTTCCAATCTAGGCCATGGTCAGTCTCTGAGACAACTGGATTCACCTGACTATGATCCTGAGAGAAGCAGGCATCAATAACTAAGGTGCAGACAAACCCTGAAAATCAGATGGTGACATGCGCTCTGCCTTTCCATTAGACAATTCCACCACCCCAGGTAGGATTCATGAGCTCACTGGACTGGGATCCAGAGGTGAGATCCCTGTGGTGAGATCTAGGTTGCCAGGCAAAAAGTGGAAGACACACAAAGTTTGGTTGTTCATCCCTTCCAAATCTCATGCTGAAATGTGACCCCCAGTGTTGGAGTTGGGGACCTAGTGAGAGGTGTTTGGGTCATGGGGGCTGATCCCTCATGAATGGCTTGGCACCGTCCTCGAGGTAATGAATGCATTCTCTTTCTATTAATTGCCACAAGATCTGGTTGTTAGAAAGAGCCTCCCTCCTCTCTCTCTTGCTTCTCTCTTGCTTCTCCCTCATCTTGTGATCTGCACACACCAGCTCCCCTTCCCTTTCCACAAAGAGTGAAAGCTTCCTGAAGCCTTCACCAGAAACGGATGTTGGCACCATGCTTCTTGTACAGCCTGCAGAGCCATAACCCAAATAAACCTCTTTTTTTAAAATAAATTATCCAGCCTCAGGTATTCCTTTATGGCAAAGCAAAATGGACTAAGACGGACACCAAGCAAGGACACTGCTGACAGAAAAAACGGGGGTAACATGAGTTAAGGACCAGTCAGGATGGCCGAGCAGACTGGCCAATCTACCCCACTCTGGAACCAGCCATCACCCCCCCGGCTGAGCAGCTGGGACTAACTCTGTGAGTCAGATGCCATCAACTTCAGCACAAAGGGTCAACCTCGTGTGCAGGGAGTCAGCTAGCCTGGGTTCAAATCCCAGCTCTGCCTCCTACTAGCTGGGTGAACTTGAGAAAGTTAGTTAACTTTTCTGAGCATCAGTTTCCTCATCTATAAAATGGGGATACCTACTTAATAGGATTGGTTAACAATTAATTATGAAAATGCCTGGAAGCTGCTTGGTATAATATTTGGAAAATATAGCAATAAGCAATCAATCAATGGTAACTACACTTTTTGAGGCCCTGCAGGAACTTAGCTGTCTGGCAGATTTATGGGCTGCAAGGGGGATGGAGGTGTGACTGACACATCCGTAAGAGTCCTCATCACTCCCTCACACAAGCAAGGAAGTAAAAAACAGACATTTCTCCACAATAGGATGCTTCTTGAACATGAGTTTCTCAGTTTGAAATCCAGACATGTAGGATTTTTTTTCCTCTTCCTTCTCTCTCACACTCAACACACACATCCTAGCCTTCAAGGAGTGGAGGCGCTGTGACAGCGATGATCCGATAGCTCAACCATGTGACTCTGTGGGTCACTGTATATCATGCTACCATCACCACAACACTCACAATTCCTGGCAGAAGGACAGCCTCCTGGGAGTCCCAGACTCATAAATACAACCAAGAAGACAGAGGAATAGATGTAAATCACTCTCAGTTTGTCATCCCTGCAGAGTTAGAGCATGAAGCTCCACTCCAGGAATGGGCATTTCAGAGGGACTCATGTAATTGGAGAAAAAGGTGTTCATCAAAGGACAGAGATTTGTATTTGAGAGCTGGATTTTCAGAGGGAACTGAAATAAAGCCCATTAGAAATCTGAGTCAGGAAAAACGATGCAAGATCCAAATGACATGAAACCAACACATGTTGCCTCTTGAATTATCCCTACCTCTAACCTAGCATAAATACAGTCACTCTTAGGGCAATCATTTATCTCTATCTGCATGGGAGTCTTCATTGGCCATGTGTAATTATTACCAACATCTCTGTCCACTCTCAGAAATGTCCCAGCTTGGACAATCAGTCAATCATAAATGATATGATTACACTATACTACAAAGTGGTAAAAAACTTCTTAGCTGGTCAGAAACTTAGCATGTGAGAGAACAGTAGAATGGAATCAAACAACAAGAAATGGTCATCTTAGTTTAGATGGTAGAAATCGCTGCACCATCCTACAAGACCCACGTATTTACAGTGGAAGTTCTATATCCCATTAGCAATTTATCTTGGAATTGCAAATGGGAAGTTTTTTCCTGGTGTCTAGCCCAAATCCCAACCCCAGGAGAGAAAGCCCCTTTTCCTCTGGTTCTGACCTCAGTGGAGATAAAGTAATGCCCTTATTTAAGCATCAGAAACATCCTTTCCTTGCAGGAAAACACTTCTCTGAGTTCAGCCTGCTCTGTGGATTAAGCTTATCCTGACTCCCAGCCTTTCCTCTATGACACAGTGTGATTCTCAGCCAAGAGTAAGTATGCATCAATGTTCCAACACGGTGAACCATTACGACAAGCCCCCAGATCTCTGCACGCACCCACAGCCTGAATCATCTGCTCTGAGCAGCCAGACTCACAGACACGACTGCAGCAAGTGACCTCAGTCCTCTGCGCAAGGAGGAAGCCGCGATCTCAAGGGAGACGTCGGTGGGTTAGTGTCTCCCATTATTCTCTCCAAGACATGGGCACAAAGCAAAAAAGCACAGAAAACTGGATGTTCCATCCCTGGGAAAGGACGCACAACCACTCTCGCACAAGGAGACTCAAGCCGGATCAAAAAGCAAGTCACCCTATGCAGCCTGGCTTCCTCTGTGCTCTTTCCTCCCCTACTTCGAGCCCCAATTCCCAGTCCTGTCCCAGGAAAGGACCCACCCTACTCGCTCTGACCCGCAACTCCATAGACACCCAGTCCACCCTACAGCAGTCCCGAGTCGCCTCCAAAGGCACATGCAGTTTCCTTCACGGAAACTTCGCTGCAAGCTCAGCCACTGGCCCGCGCGCCCTCCCCACCAGCGATCCGCGCACAAAACTTCCCGAAGCCGGGGACCTGCTGAGCCGCCCGCGCCCGGAGGCATGGAAGGGCGGCCAGAGGCCCCAAGGCTTGCGAAAACCCAGCGGCTCGAGCCTGCTCCCTTCTCGGAGCCTGGCTCCGCTCCCCGGCGGCGCGTGAGTCCCCCTCACTGCTTGGTGAGAACCCTGCATCCTCGAGCGGGATGCTGCCCTGAGCGCTGCGGCAAGGGGCGCAACACTCACACCCTAAGTGCCAAAGAGCGCGGGGGCGTTTCCCACGCCAGGACAATTCCCACAGAAGTTGCAAAGGAACGGACAGAGCGTGCAGAGGAGGAACAGGCAGCGCGTGCAGAGGAGATTCCGAGAAGGTTAGGGCCAACTACGGATCTCCAAGGTCCATGCATCCCCCCAACACGTAGAAGCGCGGGGGCCAGACCCGTGGCGCCGCCGGGGAGTGCAGCGCAGCCCCGCAGGCAGTGCATGCGGGGCGCAAGACAGACACATCTCTGGCAGTAAAAACCCGGGGCTTACCTTGAATTAATGCAGAGTCCCGCGCTCAGCTGAATGAAGAGGGTGTGCTAGTATTCCCGAGACATCACTGAATTATTTTAAAAGGGGAAAGGGGTGGGGATGGGAGGGCGAAGACGGGGGAGGAGAAATGGTGAAATTGAAGGGGGAAGAAGGAGGAATCCACAGAAAGAATGGGGAAGGAAGGCAGGCGGAGGTGAGGGCCACAAATGGAGAACAAAATAAATAAAAGAGAAGAGAGACAATTTAAAAAAATCTGTCTCTTGCTCACACAGTGGAAAAGAAATTTCTGGCAATCAGAAAGAGAACTCGCATACATGCCCACCACCCGAGAGGGCAGACCAGGGACTAACAAAGGAGGAGGGAAGAGAGCTATATCCAGACAGCAGAAGATAGCGCTGTCCAGACACGGGCGGCACGCGCGAGGCGGCAAGGGAGCGGCGGGAGGGTGGGAGCTGAACGCCGGCGTGAGCGCGCGTACACCCGGGGCTGGGGGCGGCGGGCGGGGGGAGGGGGGCACCACGAGGCTTCATTTAGGCGGGGATTTGTGTTGTAAACAGCCTGAGGTCAAGAATTTAGGTCAGGGTTTCTGTGGAAAAGTTCAATAACCTCAAACTTCCGCGGGCGATTTCCACTGGAGTACCCGATTCTCGTTTGCGGGCGGGATGGCCCCTTCCTGGGCTCCAGCTCTGGACCTCACCAGGGTCCTGGCCGCTGGCCTTACTGGGCAGGGAGAGGAAAAACATGATTACATCTAAAAAGAAACAAGAGAACTGGGGGCTTCAAGGATCAAGTTAAGGGGGAAGGAGAGGTGTAGGGGACCAGCCCCTGAGCCAGACTCTTCCCAAGGGAAGCCCCAGCCCGATGCAGAGCCTGTTCGCTGCCTGTGGACTGATCCAGAGGCTCTCTGAAGGTCTCCAGGAGCTAGCTGGGGGCTCTAAGGGAGACCCTGTTTCCTGTGGGCAGTTAAGGAGCACAAAAAAATCAACAGCCCCAAAACTGAGTCAAACTGGCGTTTCCAAGGCTTCCTAGACCTGAATCCCTCTAGGGTATCCTCTCCCCCATTTCTCTGGCTCTCTGCATATCTTTCCCTCAAAAATAATAGAAATGTCTCCCAGAACCCTGCAGGTAATGACTTTCCGTCCCACCCACCCATCTTTACAAGGCCCAGCAGGGTCCCTAGGGAGGCTTTGGCAGGTGGCTTATGAACAACTGCCTCCTGTCCTCCAGGAGCTCAGAGTCAGAGAAGAGAGGGGCTCCAGAAAAAGAGAGAAGAGGAGGCAGTGGGATTGGAAGGGACAAGAAGAGAAGGGAGTCACAGGGAAGGAGGAGGGAGAGAAAGAGAAGCGTTCTCTCCCTCTCCACTCATTGCTTTGGCTTAGCCTTGGCCCAGGTGGGTCAAGTCCTCAGAAGGCCTCGCTTGAGGGTGGCCAGGGCTGAATGACGACAGCTGGCCCTCCTACTTGGCCATGAGTTTCCATGGCTGAGGGCAGAGCCTGGCACACAGTGGAAACGTGCACTGAAGGGAACTAAATAGCCACCATGCCAACAGCTCCTCTCACCTTTCCTCAGCTGTGGCAGGAAAAGGGTGGCTATGTACCCTCCTTGGCTAGTTCCCAATTTACCCCCAGAAGGTCTGCTTGAGAGGCTCATGCTGTGAGGAGCCAGGACATTGGCCCCAGGGCCAGGTAAGTCCTGAAAATTCTCACCAAGCCTGAAAAGAATTGAGTCAATGAATCAGACTTTCAAAAGCTGGGCTTTAGCCTGACATTAAAAAGAAAAAAAACTGTTCTGGCAGGGCATTAGGAAAAAAATCAGGGCTACACCTCAGTTTTTCAGAGGCTGATAGATTTTTAGAACAGTCTTGGAGGTCTGGTTTCCCATATCAAAAGGTTGTTTGGTTGGTTGGTTTTTCTGTTCAAGCATAAGAGTGCAGTGGGGGCCTCTCCTGAGCCCTTGAGAAGAGCCTGGCCGTAGGATTCAAACCCCCAGGTCAGAAGCACAACATGGTGAAGGAGAGGAGGAGATTTTCCCCACTTTAAGAAATTACCTCAGAATCTGCTGGAGCTCGGGGGAAGGAGAATAACTCCATGAACCCCAAAATATACTCTTCATGCCCCCACCACTACCCCAACATACACACACACACACACACACACACACACACACACACACACACAGCATAGTTACCAGCCACCCAGGCCTTCTCCCCTCAGCCCGTAGCAGGAGCATTCACTCTACTATGTGTGGGTTTTTTTTGTTTTTAATGAAAAAGTTTAAAGAGCTAGGATACCAGACGGCTGATGGTTTTCCTGGCTTGGAATCTTCTAAAGAGCAGAGTGTCCATACCCGCTCCTCTCCACCGTCAAAACAAACAGCAATTGTACCCACAAACAAGACTATCTCTGACAATGCATTCACACAATTGGGAGCATGGGATGCTCACCAACAAGATGATCCCACAACCCATTCCCTTTACCTATCCATGCAGGGGGCTCAATGCCAGATGCCCAAGTATGATCCCCCGGACATACCTGCCATTTTATTTCTTCCTTCCCTGGCCACAAGTAACAACTACTTAGAACGATATGGTGTCCTTTCAGACATAACAAAAAGATTGGTTTTTGTTCTTGTCCCATTTGAATGAGTTGTGGCTGCTGCTCTAGACAGAGGAGGTAGGGGAACCAGGCTGGGATGCAGGAATTCTTCTCAGCAGCACACAGGGCCTGTCTCCCTCCATCCCTCCACCCGCGCTGGTGCACCTCCCCCCACCCCCAGACCTCTATACATCTAGCAAGGGAAAGAGCCCAGTGCCCAAGATGCCCTCCCTGTCCTCTCGGTTTTCAGCCAGACCTGCAAGAAAGCACCCTGGCTCAGACCTATGCCCCACATGACGCCCCCTAACGGGACTTCATACTGGGACCAGGGCTTCAAAGAAAAGACCCTGGTTTAATAATTCAGCTTGCGCGAATGCTATTTAGTAGCCATGGCAACCAGTTCCCTGACATCTAGTTGTAGGCAAGATGTGGTTGGAAAGGGAAAGAGAAAGTGAGAAAGAGGAAAAGGTAGAGGGGAAAGGAAAAGAAAGAAACCCAGCTGAGTTGTCATCTAAACTTTCCCTGCTTTCACTCCACACCATAATCCTGACAGTGAGACGCCAGTGAATCTCAGCCAGCCGTGCTTTTACCTAGCTTTCTTCCCTCCATCTCTGACTTTGCTCTCGCCCTACGTGTCTCCCTCTGTCTCCTCTTTCTGCAACCCACTGGAAGCTGGAGATCTAGTTTCCTCACTCAGCATTCCAACTAAACACCTTTGGGACTCTGGCAAATTATTTAGCCTTTCTTTGCCTCCATTTTCTTATCTTTAAAATGAGGGGCTTGTGGATGTCTGCTCTGGTTCCCTCTGGCCCTAACAATGCATGATTCTGTGGTCCTCTCTCTGTCTCGCCATCTCCCGACCATCCAGCTTTTCCTCTCTGCCCATCTGTCTCTGTCTCTCCCTCCCTCTGCGTGTTTGTTTGCTTCCTGTACTTCTCCATCTCTCTCTCTCTCCCCCCGAACCCCTCAGTTTTTATCTCTCATGAATACCATTTGCCATGAGGTTTCACCTGTGAAGCAGTTATGTTTCTAACAAATACTTCATTCCCCCTTGCTGGAAAGCATCCCATTACCTCCCTTTACCCAGATAATTCCCCTTCACCCTTTAGATTACTGATCAGACATCAGCTCTTCTAATAAACCTCCCTGCTCCCCAAAACAGGGCTAGTGCCCCTCTTAGAAGCTCCCATAGTGTCCTGGGTTAACCCCTATTGGATCTTATCTCACTGTATAGTACTATAACTGCCTTTTTATTTGTTGGCACTTTGACTAGCGTGTGAGCTCACTAAGGGCAAAAAGAGTGCCTTCTTCATTGCCGTATCTCCAGAATCTACCATTTGGAATGAACTTAAAAAGTAGATATATGAAAATGTAAATAAACTAAAGCCACAGGTTTCTGAATCATTGCTTGTTAAACACTCAAGACATGCCCTGGAAGGAGCACAGGGTAGGAAGCCTGGGCAGGAGCACCCCCCCCCCGTACTATAGCAGAGAGAGGGAAGGAGACCTCCTCCTCCCTGGACTGTTTTGAGGAGGTGGGGGGCCAAGAGCAAGGGTATCTTTCAGACATTCTGGGTGGACAACCCAGCTCCTGAAGGAAATGAGGATGGGCAACAGCAGGAATGGGGAAAGTGATCAATGCCAAGTGGGTGGTTCTCTTCAGCCCATCTCTGGGGTTGCCCTGGTGCCATTTGGGCAAACCTAAAAGGTAACTTTACACATCCAGTGCTAGGAATTCCTTTCATGGTGTCAGAGCTACAAGCAACTGCCTAACATCCAATGTCTCCCAGCCTTTTAGCCTGGCCCTTTCTTCCTGGGAGCAGACGGAGGCTGGGATAGTGCTACCAGAGGCACATGGGCCATGTGGGCAGTGTTTCAAGCCGCTGCTGGGAGATGCCAATGTGGATTTCAGTCATCCAGGAAGCAGCTTGCTTTAAAAACAGAAAATAAAATATTCTTTTGGTAATCATCTTTTTATGGACAAATAAGACCTCTATACTTTAAAAACCCTCAGCTATAAATGTGAATGAAAGGCAAGAATTTAAAAGACAGGGTTTCTTCCCAATGCCTCCTAATGAATTCTCTTTCATTCATACATCACACAAAGCGGGAGGGACAGAGCTGGTAAACACACGTACACATAAGCCCTTATACTTGTGTGCACAGAGCTACCATTAAGTTGAGACAACCTCTAACACAGGGCCAGGTTTTGCATGGTGTGTGCCCCCCCGCCCCATTCATCACTCAGAAACGTAGGAATGCCTATCTGAAGTCCCAGTCTTCATATAGCCACCCCCCCCACACACAAATAATTCTTAATCCAGACGGAGCTGCCTTACACTCAAAGATCTGCCAAGTGACACACAGTCTTCTTGATATTGTGCACATACTGAGTGACATATTTCATTAGCAGATGTTCATGAGTTGTCCCTACCACCCCCTCCCCAAGTGCAACATTCACATATCCCTCATGCAATACGCAGCTAGCCCCAAGCTTAAGAAAAAAGGATGAGGTTTAAAGCAGGAAGCTAGAAAAGAGAAAAAATACAAAAAGACCAGCACATACCCTGAAAAAAGACACTGCTTTGTAAAAATGATACCCCCAAACCTGGATTTACATCCGCATTAGATTGTTTGAGAAGTTCGATATGGATCCACACTGAGTTTCCCCATTCCACAGGAATATAACTCCCAGCCGGTAAAAAATTCAATCCTGTACCCTTTTGTGCAATAGAAACCTGACATGGGAAAAAAATAAGTTAAAAGCCTTCCTACATGCCCAAACCCTGCCACCACATTACCCTCCACTAAACCGAAGTTGCACGTCCTCTCCCACGTTCTAACCATCTTTGAGTGCAGCACCCAAACATTGGGACAAATCTGCACTCTTTCACCACCTCTGAGAACAGAACCGGAAAGCATGGCAGCAAATGCCCATACTAATTCCATGTGATATACACACAACGCAAACTGTCAAGTATCACACAAACACACCCCTCATACACAATAACTGAAACATAGGCATATGCACACATACGCATACATACATACTGCCCTCTTGAGGCATGCGTGTGTGTGTGTGTGTGTGTGTGTGTGTGTGTGTGTGTGTGTTGTGTGTGTATTTTGCTCGGAGACTGGTGATGCTTTGGATTATGAGGTTTCCATGGTTACCTTCTGCAGCGAGAACTGGGGTAATTGAACTCTTGGGGTTCACCATTCAACAGATGCTGCTTGCTCACTCCTGCATGCTCTCTCGCTCACTTGCTTGCTCTGTCTGCAATTCATCACCATCATTTTTAGTTACAGTTTCAAGTCGAGTATATTGTAATAGAGTCGTACCCTTCCTAGGGCTCTGGCTGTACCTTGGAAAGAGATAAAATTCTGAAATGGAAAACTCTGACTTCAACAGATGGGTTACCCTGGAAAAGTCTCAGGCTAATTAAGGTCTAGGAGCAGCCAAGATCATATACACCCATCCCCTCTCCTCTATGCAAGAAAGACAACCACCCTATAATGGGAAAGAAAAACCATATTTACTAATTCATAAGAATCTCCGAGAGAATAAAATCTAAGGGCCCAGACCAGCATAAGCCCACAGGAATGGGGACAGGGCTCCAACACTGGTATCTCCTCTCCACTCCATGTCCCTTCCCAGGGGACCTTTAAATGGTTATTGCCTTAGTCAGTTCAGGCTGCTATAACAAAGTACCATGGACTGGGTGGCTTATAAACAACAGAAATTTATTTCTTACAGCCATGGAGGCTGGAAGTCTAAGAACAGCATGCTAGCAAAGTCAGGCAACCAAGCTTGTCAGCACCTTGATCTCAGACATCTAGCCTCCAGAAGTGTGAGAAAATAAATTTCAATTGTCTAAGCCACCCAATCTGTGGCACTTTGTTATGGTGTCCTGAGACAAAACTGCAGAAGGTACACCAAAGCGAGACCCTGAGGAACGGCTCCCAAGCAGTGCTCCAGGCTAAGGCTCTGGAGTCAGATGCCAGGCTCACTGCCAGAGCAGCCACTAAGCAAACAACACGTGGGTTTGGGCAAGTGATTTAACCTTTCTAGGCCTCGGTTTTCTTGTCTGTATAATGTGGATAATAGCAATACCTTTCTCATAGGGTGATTGCAAGGATTAAAGGAGATGATGCCTGTCAAGAACATAGTACATAGAAAATATTCAATAAACATTATAATAAAAACAAGCCAAGCAATTTTTTAAATGGAGATTTTTTTAAATGGGCTGGAATTGAGTCAGGTGCCTTGGTTGGTCTTGCCTGAAGACAACGAAATAGGGAAGATAACTTCCCATGCACCCTCCTAACACTGCAATTACACAGAAGTCTGAGTACCACCTCCCTACCTTTCAGGGAAGGTTGCAAATTTTAATCCTGAAAATCCACACATATTGACTATTTTAGAAAAAGTAACCATAGTTTTCCAAAACCATCACAGTCTGTGAACTGTTTTGCCACAGGTGCCTTCATGCCTCTCTAACAGCCCACCTGAGGCTTTTCTAGTTTTCATTTTCCCATCCCTGTTTACACATCATTCCTGAGAGATCTCTGACAGGTCTCCACTCTGAGGACAACTGATCTGAATCATTATTTATTCTGTCCCTGTGGGATGTTTAGAGTAAAAGGAGGGGGAAGTGGGAGAGTTCATCTTTGGCACCAGACTAGAACAAGCAGGAATGCATTTCCATTGATCAGGAAGGGATGGTCCTGGACTACAGCAGGCAGTGCTCCCAGCAGCCTCTGCCCGAGCCCCATGGATGCTCTGGTGATGACTCACCAAATGTCCCTTCACTTTCCATTACCTAGGACCACAGGCAGCCTTGTCGGTTGCCCTCCTTGGGCCTTTGATCTGGTTGCTGCTGGGTCTGTTCTGCAATATTTCTATTGTTCTGCCCTCAGGAACCATGGCTGGACACCCAGGCCTATGGTTCTTGGGACTCTGGTCATACCCAGAATTTCATGAGGCTGTATTTGCTTGAGGGAAAGGCCAAGACCAAGGAAATAACATTTAGTTCCACATCTCCAGGGAACGCAGACAATGGTGGTCTGTCTATTCAGAGAGCCTAATGGTACACAACTTGCCAAGGCCCAGAATTCTCAAGCAAAGACCACATGAGTCATCAGAGAAAGAAAGTGGCTCATGCCTGTAATCCCAGTACTTTGGGAGGCCAAGGAAGGCGAATCACAAAGTCAGGAGTTCAAGACCAGCCTGGCCAACATGGTGACACCCCTTCTCTACTAAAAATACAAAAAATTAGCTGGGCGTAGTGGTGGGCACCTGTAATCCCAGCTACTCAGAAGGCTGAGGCAGGAAAATCACTTGAATCCGGGAGGCAGATATCGCAGTGAGCCAAGATCGCACCACTGCACTCCAGCCCAGGCAACAGAGTGACACACCATCTTAAAAAAAAAAAAAAAAAAGGAAAGAAAAGATATTCTCATCCCAAGCCCATGCTGTATCCTAGAGGCAGGTCTAACAGCAGGTACAACTGATTAGACAATGTACTGCTTCCTCAGCATGTGCCAACCCTGTCCTCCCAGGTGGATACCCTAAAAATGTTGTCACACATAGAAAGGTGGCCATTTAGAATCTCTCTCTTTCCAAGTCCAGGGAGATAAGGGACAGAAGAGACAGGGAGAAAACAGAAAACAATAAAGGCACAGAACCTTTGCACAAAGGAAGTCCTCTTCAGTTGTCAAGGTTAAAGACAAGTGCCTCCTTCCTCCTTCACCACACTGAGATATCAATGTCATTGGCATATTTCTGAAGAGCATATTTGGGAAGGAAAAAAGGAAAAGCACATATATTTAGACAGGTGAACCTACCTCCTTCTACACCAGAAGCTGGTAGGTTTTGAGGCACCCATTAGCTTTCTCTTCTCAGAAAACATACTAATAGTCCAACCATCATAAGAGGAAGGTTTGGGCATCTCTCCCATCAAAACCTTGCGTAGTCCCTGACAAGCTCTGCAGGTGTCATTAAGCACTCATATTGGCTTCATTGTTACTTTGCTGGCTTTATTGGGTCCACCATCCTTCCCCATGCATCTGTTATGTTACCCATTTAACAAAAGGTGAGAAAAGAAACCACAGTCTTATTAGCCCCCAGATTGCCCTCATTTTACCTCCTCAGGTGCTGAATCCTACCATTTCCCAGGACTTTTCGTATACAAGCTTGAGTCAGTTTCTACAAAGTGAGCAAACTTCTAGCCTGGCCAAATGGATTTAATTCTGCAAATAAAAATTTCATAAGCATATTTAATCCAAATATTTCAGACCTGAGCTTCCTTCTCTCCTCATCTTTGAGACACACAGGCCTTCATACTAGAATGGATGGCAGGATCTTCACACCCTCTCTGCATATCTGATGCCCCAGGTCTCTCTGAAGATCTGATGACCAAGCCAACATAAAATATATATAACATAAAACTCACCCTTTTAATCATTTTAAAGTATACAATTCGTGGCATTAAGTACATTCACATCGTTCAACCATCACCACCCTCCACCTACAGAACTTCCATCTTCCCCAACAGAAACTCTGTACCTATTAAACCATTACTCCATTCCCCCTGTCCCCAGCCCCTGGCAACCACAATTCCACTTTCTGTCTCTATGGATTTGACTACTCTACGTACCTCATGTTAAGTGGATTCATACAGTATTTTTCATCCCACACATATCCCTTGTGTCTGATTTATTTCACTCACCATAATGTTTTCAAGGTTCATTCATGTTGTAGCATGTGTAAGAATTTCCCTCCTTTTTAAGACTGAATACTAATCCATTGGATGTACATACCACATTTTGCTCATCCAATCATCTTTCAATGAACATTTGGATTGTTTCCACCTTTTGGCCATTGTGAATAATGCTGTAGTGAACATTGAGGTCCTAGTGTCTATATAAGTCCCTGCTTTCCATTCTTTTGGGGATATACCCAGAAGTGGAATTGCTGGGTCATATGGTAATTCCACATTTAACTTTTTGAGGAACTGCCAAACTGTTACCACATTCTCTTTTAAAAGGACCTCATCATGTAGATAAACCTTTCCCAGGGACGATGAATAACAAAAACCTGTCACCAAGAATTCCAAATAGCAGCTGGCCCTGGGGATTGCTTGTCTTAATGTCTTCAGTCCTCCAGCCCTCCCTGTGTCCACACTCTTTGCTGTGTAAAACTGGCAGCTCCTCCCACAAGAAGGCAGGGAACCGTCCCTGGCCTTTGAAGCTGGGCTCAGCCATGTAACTTGCTTTGGCCCAAGGGATGCAGCAGACACGAGAAAGCAGGGGCTTGAGGTGTGCTTGCACATTAGGGCTGTCTCACCTGCCCCTGTGACTCCACCATGGAAGGAACATGCCCAGCTTGGCCCACCAGTCCCAGGAGGAGCAGGAGGGATGCATGAAGAAGAGCTATGCCACCACTGTAGCCTGAAGGAAAGCTGCCCCAGCTCACCTGCTGGTCCCTGAGAATAAATGATCGTTGTTTTAAGCCTCTGAGTTTTGGGGTGGTTTGAGCTGATGGCACAGTAACAGGCCCACTTACTGTTTGTCCTAAATATAGGTGAGAATGAGATTTCTGGAGAATGAGATTGTTTGATAAATGGTAGCAAATTCTCGTTGGCTTCAGGATTTTTTTCTAACTGGAATCTGCCCTCACCTGAATTAAAAGCCGGGCATCCCCTTTGTCTCACAGCTGTCTAGGATTGCCTCGGCGGTCCTCTTGGGCTGTTTTTGGGCTGACGTTGTAATCAAGCTTTGTGAGTACGAAACCCAGCCTGTGAAAGTGCCTTAGCTCTGCATAAAATGGGGCGTACCAAACGGAACCAGAAATCAAGTAGCTCATCATAAAACTGTGATTAGCTGGCCCACTTGCAGTTCCTAAGACAAGCCCTACAACACAGTCATGGCCCGGCAGAGCCATCATCAGCGAAGATCTGATCTCGGCTGAGCAGCTTCTAAAACACAGTTCTGTCTGTCCCCTCCAAATTAACCAGTCTCAGGGGATAGTTCACATAAGCCAAAGTTTCCAGAGACTGAGAAACTAGAATGCCGGTTTATTAATTTACTCAGGGAGTTATTCTTTCCGAGGCCTGAAGTAATGTACTCAAATTCTCCAGCCAGCTTACCTCCTTCCTATCAGTGTATCTGCAAGACCACATGAGTCCTCGGAAGGCTGCTTGGTAAGCACAGAGGCATAACCAGGGAAGGAGGACAGAGTCGGTACAGTCTCTCTGGGCCATGGAAAATCCTAATAAGTGCTCCCACCCAAAAACAGAGCTTACAATTGAACCTTTCCATAATGTAGACATATTTCAAAACATCATGTTGTGCATCACAAATACAATTTGTTAGTTTTTTTAAAAAGACTTTTTTGTAAATAGAGCTCAATTCTAGGGACCAAATATTGTAAGAACTGGCCCTCTAACCAAATCAGTACTGTCTTGATAGAAGTAAAAAATAATAATAATATAATAAATGAGGCACAAAGCATTATACAAACATACCACATTATCATTTTATTATTATTTCTATTATTATATGTTTATAATAGTAAATGTGAGCAGTGCCATGGAGGTGGAAGCATACCAAACTGTGAAGACTCAGATTCTAATCACAATTTTGCTATCAAATTACTGCATGACCTTAGGAAACTGACTACGGCACTCTGGGCCTTGGTTTTCTCATGTGTAAGGTGAGTGAGTTGAACCAGGTGGGCATCAAAGACAAGACATTATGACTTGATGAGTCCGTGGGCAGCATGGACGATAAGTGCTAGGACTTCAGTGGAGGGAGAAATCAGTGAGGACTATTCACAAGATGGATCAGGAGAAAAGGCCTATGGAACATAACAAGGCTGATAGCACTCCCAGCAAGACAATGTAAATAGTATATCCTGTTAGGTCAGGAAACAAACTGATGGACACAGAATGTCTAAAAACCATCTGTGACTAGAATAACAATAATGTAACACTCGTTGCTGATCTAGAGACACCCTGCTTAGAAAATTCCTTGGTCTCACAGAACCTTCCGGGAGAAAAAGTCAGGCTGACATTTTGTGTACAGGATGAGACTAAAGTGCCACTCTTATTCAGTGCTGTGTTCTTACTTCATTGATGTTAAATTTTAATTTCAATTAAAATGCCAGGATCATGCCCCAGGATTTAACTTGGTTAAATCCTGTTGAAATAGCCATATTTGCTTTCTTGATAATCCTCATCTTGGCTTTAAGCCCCTCTACTTAAATTGAAATCTTCAGACACACAGGTCCATCATTTACTTGTTTCTTTTAAAGATTTACTCCTAATATTCTGCACTGCAAACTTGGAGCCCTCGACTCTTAAAATTGCTCTGTGACCACCTACAGTGAAATTTACAGACATAAATTCACAGACATTATTTTCTACTGCAAACCCAGAGCTCTGAGCTGTCAAAATGTGTTCCTGGTTTCAAGTTCAAACCAATTTTACTCTAATAACATGTCCTATGTTAGGCACTGATAGGTAGATAAATTGTTCAAGAAATGGGATCCAGCCCTGAAAATTATTACAGACTGATAGAGAAGACAGGACATGTACATATGAAATTATTAGAGGACAAAACAGGGGATAACATAGTCCACAAATACTCAGTTCTTGGAGAGATTTTTTAAGTGAGATTATTGACAATCTCAAAAGGCTTTATGAAAGAAATGGTATATTTGAAAGAGACTACAACTTAGTGTGAAAGTTACACGAGAGGCAGAAAATATGGCAGGATCCAGTGATTGCATTTCCCAGGATTCAGGGAACAGACCTCCATTTTTGATCCCTTTTCCCTGTGCTTTTGTAGACACAATATTCCCCCGCTGGAGGTAAGGTGGTCCTCTTGCTGTCAGACTGAAGGGCAATCTCATATATGGGAGATTTAAGAAGATGTTGCCATCTCAACTCTACACCTGCTCTGCAGACTGGGATGCTTGCTGAGCACAGTCCTGTGGGCTCATAGATGGGAGATGTGACACCTGACACTGCCCTGATTCCATCTAGCTCCAAGTGGCTAGCAGTGGCCATAGTGAGGCTCAGAACCTAAGAGGCAGAAAATTCTCCTATGGAGAAGTACTCATCATTAAAACGTGAGCTTCACCATCAGCCTCAACCCAGAAAAGGCAGGCTTTGCTATAGGGGAGTAGAGAAATCACTGTTGAAGGATTATTAGGATCAAAACTAATCCCATCTGGGCCTGCTCCAGAGACTGGACTTCCTCCTGAACTTGACACTTTCAACATTTTTTAAAGTACAGGTTGAGGATCCTTAATGCAAAAATGCAAAATCTAAAATACTCCAAAATCTGAAACTTTCTGAACACTGACATGACACCACAAGTGGAAAATTCCACACCTGACACCTTTGCTTTCCAGCAGTTCAACGTACAGGAATTTTGTTTCATGGACAAAATTATTAAAGTATATTGTATAGAATTACCTTCAGGCTAGGTGTATATGAAACATAAATAAATTTCATATTTAGACTTAGGTCCCATCCCCAAGATATCTCATTATGTATATGCAAATATTCCAAAATCTGAAAATATCCAAAATCCGAAACACTTCTGGTCCCGTGGATTTCAGATAAGGGATACTCAACCTGTACTAAGAGAAGTTCCGCTTCTGGTATAAAAGAGTGAACTCTTGCCAAGTCAAACAGCATCTATAAACTCTTAGAAAATAAATACAACAAAAAGTTACCTGAGAACTCTAAGGACTGAAACAAAGGCAGGCATATTTTGGAGGTGAGTGAAATTCGAAGCAAGTGGCCAGGCTGGAGTGAGTTCCTTGCTTATTGTGGCTTTACCCTGAGGGAGACCACATTTGCAGCAACACTGGTGCGGAACGGCTTAAATTCTGGTAAAAAGTCCATCATCTTTCTAACCAGAGGAACCAGGACAACCAAAGCTTCTGGAAAATAAGAGTAAACCCCAGAAAGAAGAGAACAAGAACAAGAGAATCTCAAATTGTATGTATAGACCTAGCCCAAGTCTCTGACTGACTTCTGAATCACACATACATGGAACAAACTGAAAGCAGCTGACTGACTGCTGTGACTTCAAGAACTGACCAGAGATCTGAGCCACTACCTAACACAGGCACAAGAGTTGGCATTCTGAGTCTAAATCAAGTTAATTGTCTGCTAAAACAAAATGTCAACACTCCTTGGAGAAATATAACAGAATGCAGAGTCTTTACAACATAATATTCACAGTGTCCAGGCTACGATCCAAAATTATTCAACAAATAAGACTCAGGAAGATGTGAGCCATTCTCAAGGGAAAAAAATAATCAACATGATGCCAACCCTGAGATGACCCAGATGTTAGGATTCTCAGGTGAGGAATTTAAAGCAATTTTATACAGTATAACTATGCTCAGTGAGGTAAAGGAACATATGCTTGTAATGAATTAAGAGGTAGGGAATATCTGCAATGAAATAGACATGATTGTTTACGTAGAAAGTTTTATAGGAAACTATAAAACAGTTGTTAGAACTTATTAACAAATTTAGCAAGGTTGTAAGATACAAGGTCTATATACAAAAAGTAATTCCACTTTTATACTTAGTAGCAAACAACTAGAAAATAATTATTTAATATTAAATGTGGATTTATTAGTAAGACTCTGACTAAATTATTACAAGGGAGAACACATAAGAATATGAAAAGTAGTGTGTTAAAGCTATGTGACAATTTCCATGTGATACAACAATTAAAAAATAGAAGGATGTTGGAAAGAATATGTGAAGAATAAAATAAGCTCACTGATTGCCTTATAGGAATTTATTGGGAGTAAATGACTATTACTTCAAAATAGATTCAGTGAAAGAAAAGGGAGAGAAAAGAGGGGGTTATAGACAAACAAAAGAAACCAACAGACAAAAACCCAAATCCAGCATCTTACCAAATGGAAACAACCAAAGGTGTTTCTACAAAAGTCGGGAACAAGACAAGACAAGCACTATCTCTTCCTCTATTTAACATTGTGTTTAAATTAATCCAGTTGGATAAGAGAAAGAATCTAGAGGAATAAGAATTGAAATGACAGAGGTAAAGTCTATTTACATATAATATAATCTCAAAAATTGCAAAGAATCAATAGAAAAACTACCAAAATTATAAGAAAACTTAGTAAGGTAGCAAGAATTAAAATTATTATATGCAAAGAAACCCAATTCAAAGTCTAATGAAAGAGAAAACCTCATTTTACTATAGCAAAAATAAAATACCTAGGCCAAAACTTATATGAGGAAAACTACAAAACAACCTGGAAGAAACAAAAGTAGACTTGAATAAATGAAATGAGATATCATGTTTTTCAATCGGAAGACTTACCATCCTAAAAATTCCATTTTTTATGTCTTCTAAGTGTAATGCAATCTCAATAACAAATATCATCAAATAATTTTTTATCTTGAGTTAGACAAGTATAATATAAAGTTCATTTGTGGCCGGGAGCTGTGGCTCACACCTGTAATCCCAGAACTTTGGAAGGCTGAGGTGGGTGGATCACTTGAGCTCAGGAGTTTGAGATCAGCCTGGGCAACATGAAGAAACCCCGTCTCTATTAAAAATAAAAAAAAAAAAAATTGTCCTGGCATGGTGGCAGGCGCCTGTAATCCCAGCTATTCAGGAGGCTGAGGCAAGAGAATTGCTTGAACCCAGGAGGCGGAGGTTGCAGTAAGCTGAGATCGCACCATTGCACACCAGCCTGGGCAACATGAGCAAAACTCTCAAAAAAAAAAAAATGTAAGAACAAGCAAGAATCACCAGGAAAAATCTAAAAATTAAGAACAATGGTTTGAGGTGAGTGAGAGGGGAAGAGTAGTCCTGTTAGAATTCAACCCTACCATAAGTCTCCATAATTAAAATTCACTGGTATTGTCACATGAACAGAAAATAAAATCTGGAAAATGACCCCACTGTGTATGAACATTTAATATATGCTAAAGACAGCATCTCAAAGTACCAGAGGAAATGTAGACTTTCTACTAAGTCGTATAACTGTATAACCACATGGAAAAAGATAAGATCGGATCCATTACTATGCCAGAGGTTGCAATTTTTTGAATTTTTGCATGAGTGAAAAAGCAGACCTTGGCAATGACCTTGAGCAGTAGGATATAAATAACTCCCCCATGCTTAGCGTTCCAGTAATGGAACACTAGGCGTAAATGGGTTAACCTGTATTCCAGAATGAATTCCAAACAGATCTGAGATTTAAATATTAAAAAATGAAACCAACAAATATTTGGAGAAAACATGGGTGAGTTCCTCTATAATCTTGCAGTAGGAAAAACCTTCCTATGACTCAAACCCAGAAGCAATTTTAAAAATTGATAAATTTTATTACATACATTTTTTTAACTTTTGCATGGCAAAAAAAAAGAAAAAAGACAAATGGCAAAATAGGAAAAACTGTTCACAATTTATTCATAAACAAAAGGTTACTGTTCTTAATATATGAAGACCTTCTAAAAATAAAGAGGCCAAAACATTTTTAATTTAATATACAATATATAATAAAATGTAATGTATAATAAAGATATGAACTGATAGTTCATAGGAAAAAATGCAAATAGCTCCTAATATGAAAAGATGTTCATCCTCAGTCATAATAAGAGAAAAGCAAGTTAAAACTACACTGAGATATCATCTCTCACCAATTAAATTAGTAAAAACCTAATTTCAAAATCACATTCTGCTGGCAAATCTTGTGGGAAGGCAAAATGATATAACCTCCTGGGGATAAGAATTTAACAATATCTAGCAAACTTCTCAGAAAGTAAGACTTCTATATTCACGTCAAAGGAACTCAGGAGCCAACTTGAATAGTTTCCTGCTAGCCAAGGAAGGGGCAATTTGAGAACCATTAAGGAAAGTAACTACAGTTGATTGAAACACATTAAATTAGTTTAAATCTATGAATTCACTACAATATTTGTTTTAAAAAAATTTCATTGATTACCCTGGGAAATCAACTCATTCTTTTAAAAACTGTTAATAAAAAGAAAGAGTCAAGCATTTATTCTACTTTTCCTACACAAACTGATGAGGGAAAGTTGATGAACAAAAGTTTCCCTTTCAGTAGTATTTCAGCTAACAAACAAAAACAGACATGAGAAAACTAGGTTATGCTCATTTTGCATTTTCTAAGGAATTAAATATAAAGAATGACCATTAAGGGCTACTCACATCACAAGACAACTAGACGTCACATCCCCTCTGATGGAAGGACATGGTTCTACCTATAATGTAGTCTGGCCTCCCCTACATTGAACCTAAATCTGGTCAAACCTCCAGATCTAACTTCTAATTTACAGAGGAGACAGAGGAACATGTCAGGCACTATCACAAGGATGCAATCAACAAAACAGTTGTTAGAAATAAATAGACAAATGACTGAGTTTCTTTAAGAATAAAAAACCGCCAAAGACAAAAAGGAATAGAATGGGAACCTATAGGCTAAAAGAGATTTAAGAAATATGTTAACCAGTTGTAATGTATTGGGCCTCCTTTGGTTCCTGATGCAAAGTTTTCAAAAGGAAGAGTTTTTATCTTTTAGAAATACATACTGAAATATTTATAGATTAAACTATATTATATCTGGGATTTGCTTTAAAAATCTGGAGAAGAGTAGGAAAACAATATACAGGAAAAAGAAATTAGCCATGAGTTGATAATTGTTGCAACTGAGTGATAGGTACACAGAGATGTATCAGGCCTTCCTTTTTTGTAAATGTTTTAAATTCTGCATAATTTTATCAAATGCCATATATAGAAAATGCACTATTCCTCACAGACACATGCATACTCAAGGCCACAGATTGAGCACTCCAGTGCTGGTTAGAGAGATAGGAATAAGGACCTGAATAATGAAGAAAAAATAAAATAATAATACAAGAAAATGACTGCAAAGAATGATGATAATTATACTCCAGGAACAGAGGAGGATGATTAACGCTACTCTCTAAACCCAAAGGCCCCCCCAAATTAAAGAAATAAAATACATGACTGAAATTAAAAATCATGACTATGCATTCAGAAAGCAATTTGATAATTGGGAGGTTAATGCAGGAGGATCCCTTGAGCCCTGGAGTTGGAGGTTACAGTTGGCTATGATCGCACTATTGCACTCCAGCCCTGATTACAAAGGGAGACCTCCATCTCTTTTTTTTCTTAAAGGTAACTTGGGGAGTTATATGTAACCTACTCATTAACAGCATAACTGTAATTATTTATCTGAGAGCCTCATGAGTACCATCATCATCTATCAGAGAGTAGAATCGGTAAAGGTTCTTCTGCCCCATCAAAACTCCATCCCTGCACTGTTCCCTTAGGATGCTGAGGTCATAGAAACGTGGATTAATCAATCCCTGCTAATGTGCTGAATCTTTCTGAATCTATCCCTTCTCCCCTTTTTTTGTTTTTTTTTGTTTTTTGTTTTTGTTGTTGTTGTTGTTTTGTTTTGTTTTGTTTGTTTTTCTTTTTTGAGACAGAGTCTCACTGCATTGCCCAGGCTAGAGTGCAGTGGCACGATCTTGGTTCACTGCAACCTCCACCTCCTGGGTTCAAGCGATTCTCCTGCCTCAGCATCCCAAGCAGCTGGGATTACAGACGCACACCACTATACCTGGCTAATTTTAGTATTTTTAGTAGAGATGGGGTTTTGCCATGTTGGTCAGGCTGGTCTCGAACTCCTGACCTCAGTTGATCCGCCCACCTTGGCCTCCCAAAATGCTGGGATTACAGGCATGAGCCACCATGCCAGGCCCATACCCTCTTAACAAACCTGCTCCACAAGTCAAATTTCCAGAAGGTGAAACCCATAATTCAATCAACAGTCTAGGATCTGAGGATGTTCTTTGAATTTTACAAAGATCCAGGAAATTAGAAAGGGAAATCCAGTTTCTCCTAATGGAGGGAATCCCATTTTTTCATAGAATGTAAAATTGAAGCTCAGGGAACCACAATTGAAGGTCAAGCATTAGGGGGAGAAAGGTGAACAGAAAGAAAAGGGAAGGGAAAAGCAAAAGCTAAAAGCTAGCACAGATAAGGAAAGGGGGGAAACCTCAAAAAAGGGAAGATGCTCCTCACGACAGAGCTCAAAAATCCCATTCTTTTCATGGAAATCTTTCTTGATCTGGGAAACCTGCTTACAGATAATTTTCTTATTAAATTTCACAGGTGATTGCTCAGTCATCAGAAGGAGAAGTGGGTTTGGTGGCTTTGTTTGAGATATATGTATTTGGCTCTTTCATGATACTTTGATTCAGAACAGCCTTCTGTTTCCCTGTTCTCATCAGCAGACCTTTTAGGAGCAGAGAAAGCCTCAGTGATGTCTGGGTCTGGCCCTATTGGGTCATGCACAGTACCTGGAGAAGCACAACTGTCACTTCTCCATGTCATATGTATGGGAGTCATTCTCACAGCGCTAATAGATGGCTTTGCATACTCAGAGCTAGGAGTGTTTGGAGAGGCTGAAGCCATTCTTGGGTTCATCATGATTCTCTGTAAACAGCTATTTGAGGGCATGACAAGAAGCACCAATTAAACAGATCAATGTGTCGGAAAACAAAAGTTGGCTGGAGTCTGATTGCAGCCCTCACTGTGCAACACGCAACATCAGCATGCTTTCTCCCATTCCCAGGCCCCTCTTGGAAACTAGTCAAGTTCTCATCATTATTAGCTCCTATGTGCCTTGAGCTTTCTTCCCCTCTCAAGGTCTCTACATTCATCTCCTACTCAACTTCATTTTGGTGTCTTCACCCCATCGAGGCAAATCTGTATGACAAATAAAATTGTGCAACCATAGACTGCACAAAAAGCACGATATTTTTGTTGTCTATAACAGAACTTAGTTCATGAGCCCTCATTTCCTCCTCTGTAGCAGAAATCATAATCTTTCCAATTCAAGGTTACTCAGTCTCTTTTGAACTTATTGATAAATACAGTTAATGTGACATGTACACTCTCCATCTCTTTTCCTTCCCTTCCTGCTGAGGATGCTCTAAATTCCTACGTTAGGGAAAGGTGGGTGTTGTCCTGGCTTCTAAGAGAGACATCTGATTGTTGACTTGTCCTCTGTCCTGGCTAACTCCACAGAGGGACATCTCATCTTCTCTGGTCCTCACCATTCATCATCCTGCCATAGCTTCTCACCAGGAGGCATGCATATTCTGCAGCCTCCTTGTAGAGACCAACTTGAGGCTCTTAGGGCCTCCCAGCTTGTTACCAGCCCCTTCTGCAGCCATTGCAGGTGCCGTGGGAATTATTTGCATGCTCTCTGCCTCCACGCTGGAGAGTACAGAACACTCTGTGGGACTCCATAAGGCTGTCCTCAGACCTGCCAACCTCGACTTTCCCCAGTTGTTGCTACTCTGCAGCCCAAGTGCCATGCTGGGGAAAGACTATACTATTTGGTCTTTGGCCACAGACCAGGAAGAGAGGCACAAGTGTCTGCTGTTCTTGGAACTCTTTTCAATCCATTTATTGTTTCAATCACCCAGTCCCACCCCATGTCCCCTAATTCATCCCAGGGGAATGGAGATTCTGAGCTCCTTTATGGAAACTCAGGCAACACCTAAGCTCTAGCAATATCCACTTTGGTTCTCCTCTTTCCCCCAGTTTGTCACGTTTTTCTCTCCTTTCAGTGGGAAATAAATTATATCATTCTGCTGTCTAAAATCTCAGCTATCTAGACTTTGGATCTTGATATTTAAAGCCAAGCTTTTTAGAATTAAAAAATATATATTTAAAATCCTCAACTTATTATTTACGTTAGGCAAGAAAGAATATTCCATCAAAAATCCAATGGGCTTGTTTGTTCCAGCTCCATCCACCCACCCCCTGAGTGCTGTGTAATAAAAAGCTACAGGTGTATTTGGAATGTGAGGGAGAAGTAAAGAGAAAAGGAAGCATGATGATAGGAGCAGGGGCTCAAGTTCTAAATATCTATCACCATCCCCAGAACACTTGTTTGCCCCCTCCCTTCTGATGCTTCAGTCTTGCTCAATCCTGCTTTCTTCCAGGTCTCTCTCTACCCTCTGCCCCCCAAGTAAAGATACTCACCACTGGCAGAACATTGCTGACAGCACATCTCCTCCAGTGTCTTCCCTTGACAACACTGTGGTCCTGGGTGATGGGTCCCTCTTTGTGTTAGTAGCCCTCCCCACAGGCAAACTGCCCTCAGCTGTTGACATCCACACTGGATGTCTAGACAGGGCTTCTCTGCAAAACCCTCTTGGGGCCTCTGGACTGTGTAGGCAGGCTGCAGGGTGACCTGTTTGCATGAGGGCCCCTAGGCCACGTGAGAAAAATAGAAAAGAAGGCTTTGGGATTGACAGGCTCTAGGGACAGAACAGTTTTAAGAAGACTTAAGAAACAAGCAAGGAGAAAGCTAGGCTACTCCAACCTGTGGTGAAGATGGAAAGGTAGAAAAGACCCGAGACATGGAAGGCCATCCCTGGCCTGCTGTTCAAACCCTGCTACTCCTGTCTAACCTCTCATGTGCGCATGATTTTTCTGTTTTTATTTTCTATCTTGACATAAAAATACGATTTTTTTAACAAACACTGCTGTGTAGCAAATAGAACAATGTTGACATGTCCCAGTTTTTATAGCTCCTTTCATATATTTTTGATCCTTCTATCACTAACTCTAACAATTCTAATTCTTTGTTCTTTGGGGAAATGGAAATCAAGTACGTTTTAAAGTCAAGGAGCACATGCCTGTGTTCCTTTGTATCTCTTTATACATTCTCCACAGAGGCAGTGCTCAGGAAGTGTTATCTACTTGCTAAATGTTAGAAGAGATATTTGGGTCTTACAAAATAACTTTAGAAACTGGCTAGGAATGACCACAAAATACAGACTTATCCTTTAGAGAGCTTTGAAACGGATGCTCCTCACAATAGGAGCATCCTCCCCTCCACTGTCCACTCCCTTCCTCCAGCCTAAGATTGCCATGAGCATGAGCTGTTGCTGCTAACTTTCCCTCAGAGTCCAAGGAAAGAGGTCCTGCTGCTTGATGCTCAGTTTGCCATTTCCAGTAATCCCATAATAGCAACACTACAAGAAGCCAGCTGTGCACCTGGGTAAGCATTCAGCTGCTCCCTGGGGCCCCACAAATTAGACCCTGAATTAGCCACATAGAGCCCAGATTCCCAGTCCCACCCACTGATCCGTCCCAGGCAATCCCCACCATGGCTAGGAAAAGACCACTCTCAGCCCATGCAGAATGAGGAGAGGGGCCCTGGAATTCGCTGCCAGAAATTAATATTCTGTGCAAGGAGTACTAGGAAGGGCTTAAAGAGGAGAATGGCGTGGTCTGACCAGTGGTTTAAAAAGATTTGGCAGGATCTGGCAGCAGGTTTTGTTTGCTGTAGTTTGGAAACTGTGTGTGTGTGTGTGTGTGTGTGTGTGTGTGTGTGTGTGTGTGTGTGTGTATGCATAATCTTTGGAACTTTGTGAAAATTCTGTGAAGTCCGGGTTTCCTCTGAGAGGATTTGCATCTCCTTCCAAGTAACTCTTAGAGACACAACCAACCCAGGACCATTTTAACCTACACGTTTGGATTATAATTTTGGAGGTTAGAAAGAGGATGTGAATTCCAGCCCTCAACCTGCAGGAGGGTGGGCATGTAGATATTCCCAGAGGGACTTTTTTTCTTTTTCCTTTCCACTCAGAACCAAGACTGGGAGAGGAACTTATTCTTCCCTCCACCTCGCTTGGCAGGGTGGGTTTTATTTTTTCACTAGGAACCAAGCCTCTGAGGGTTCTGGTGGTTTCATATGGGGGCCTCCAATCCCAGCAAGGGTCTCCAACCTCCAATCTCATTCACTCAGCTTTGATCTAAGATGGTTTTGACTGAGTCATTTCACATAGATTTCACGTGAAACCCAAGTTCTAGACCATCGAGAATCTGCAGTGGCCCCCAATCTCACACCAGATTTAGCACGAAGTTAGCTTTCCCTAGTCATATTTCTTGTCATTTGAGGCCCCCAGGAATTTCTACTACTTCCCTGCTAGTTTATTCATGTGTTTACAAGACATATCTTTTTTACTACATCAGCATTTTTTAGGTATTCTCTACCAAGAGACATTTAGTCTATCATATTGCTAGAAACAAATAGTAACTTTAGCCTTTTCAGTTAAGATAATTTATTGCAAGTATAAAAAAAACTTACCTTTAACATATACTCACATTAACAAATTCATAAAACATAAAGGAGTATGCTTTTACTATGTCTGATAATTCAGAAAAAATAGACACACATATGCACGCGTGCACGCGCGCACACACACACACACACACACACACACACACACAGTGGCAGATTGTATTTTCCAAAGATGACCACAGCAATATCTTCCATTCCACATGCTTCTTACAATGTAGCTTTGGCCCTCCTCCCACCAAAAGGTGGGCTCTTTGTCCCCTCCCCTTGGAACTGGGCATGCCTTGTGATTATTTCAAACGATAGAATAGAGTGGAAGTGATGCTATGTGACTGCCAAGGCTAAATCAAAAAAAAATGCCATATGCTTCTGCTTTGCTCCCTTGGGACATTTGCTTTTGATATCTAGCTGCCATATTGTGAAAAAGCCCAAACTAGCCTACATGGAGAGCTGAGTTCTCAGTTGATGGCCAACATCAACCACCAGACAAATGGGTAAAGATTCCTCTAGATGATTCCAACTCCCAGTCATCAAGTCACCCTCCACCTTTGCATCTTCCCAGCTGAGGCCCCACACATCATGGAGTGGAGATAAGGAATCTCCACTGTGCCTTACTGTGTGAGTTCATTATCCACAGAGTTTGTGAACAGAATAAAAAATGGCTGTTTTATGCCAATAAGTTTTGAGTGGTTTGTTACACGAAAATGAAAACTAGAGGGGCAGGGCATGTGTGTGTGTGTGCATGCACGCACGTGTGTGTGTATTTAATGAAAGGCATAGAATATGGAGTTACACTTACCCACTTCACAGCTTCATGATTTTGAATAAATCATTTAATATGTACCTCTGTGCTCACATCTGATTGAAAACGATGGTGTTGGTGGTAATAACGATGGTGATATTAACAATAATACCAGCTCTACCTACCTCATAGTGCCATTAAATTAGCCATGGAAAGCAGTTTTGTAACTGTAAAACACTATAAAGATATAAAATATTATTATTATTCCAATTTCTGACACAGTCTTGGAATACTTTATTGAAACCAAACTAAAATCTATCTGTCTGTAACTTTCACCAATAACATTCACTGAAAGCTAACACAAGCCTAATTCTTCTTCCACATGACAGTCCTTTAAGTATTGGGAAATAGTCCCAATAACATTCCCAAGGCTTCTTTCCGGGTTAATGATGGTTAGTATTCTTTGTTCTCCCAACCACATGCCATATGTCATAACCTGCCATGTCTTGTGGCCTTACTGGGCTCCTGTGAAGGCTCCTTTGGCTTCCTCAGGTTTCTGGTTGCTGAGATGGAGGCTGAAGAGTGCTGCCATCTCAGACAACTCTGCACTTCAGTGAGGGAGGCGGGTTCCAGCTGCAGCCTGTGCCCAATGCCAGGTCACTGTCCCACCCTTGAATCCTTACTCCCCACCCCTAAACCAGCTGGCTCTCCTGCTCTTTCTTGTTATAGACCAATTAAAATGGGCCTTGAACAGCACACACACACACACAAAAGAAATTTATACCCCCAAACATGAACACCAGTAAGATCTCATTTTAGCCAATGGAAAGTATATGAATTAGAATGTAAGAGGAATCATTTATGCATTCCATTTATATAGTTTGTTTCCTCTAAAATGCTCAGGGCACTGTACTGGGAAATGTTAATCAATTAACATACAGGGCTCAGCTTCTCAGGGCTTTGCAAATGTCATTTCACTCTCTTGACTCAACTCTCCCTCTGTTTCAGTGCAACCGTTTCTTGTCTGCTGTGCACTCATGGTGCCCTATGGTATGGAGCATGAGTGAAGAATGCTAAGCTGGAGCAGAATCACAGATGGTAGGGCCAAAGGAAAATTTCAAGACAATCCAATTCATGCCTTCATTTTAAAGACAAGAAATCTTTGACTCTGAGAAACAACTTTCTCAAGGTCACAGCTAGTGAGGAACAGCACTAGGCAGTTTTTTTTACCTCTCTCATCTGGAAAGCAGAAGAAAAATTAAGCAAGTCTGTTCTGCACTCCTGAGAGAGATAGAACTTGAAGCAACATGACATTTCTGCACAGTTATCTTAGCCTTGGCCATAAAAAATCTCCAAGTTTCCCAGAGAAGAGCAACTATAATGATTAGGTAATACAAGAACCAACTGAAGATGATCAAATAACCCATCCAGCTAGGTTAGTTCCATCAGTAATTATTTAAAAGTCTGTGACAAAACAATGATTTCATGTTTTACAATTAAGTGTTAGTGGTGCAAAATAACTTGAGTGGCATAAGGGAAGATAATAGGCAGCAGGGATGAACATGAAATTAAGAAAGAAAAAATTAAGGTTGAGTATCATGAGAACATTGCCCAGCACAGATTCCCATAAGGAACCCCAGTTACTTTTTCATAGATATAATAATAATCTTTGTTTTGGCAGTAAAATGAGCCTTTAATATTTCTTTTTCTTCTTTAGCTTTTGTGATTATTTATAATCATATATACGTGTATATACATGTATATACACGTATATATGATTATAAATGATTATAAATTATATATGTATATATGTATATTTGCATGTATGTATACATATGTATATACATATATATGCGTATATATGTATATACATATATGTATGTACACATATATATGTATATATGTATACACATATATATACACACACACATACACACACAGAGAGAAAGGGGAGAGAGAGATATATATATATAATGTTCAAACACTCCTACAGTCATAAAAATCCCTCCCTGAAAGCCTGTTCTATCCTTTTTAATTAATGCCAAAAGCAATTAAATCACGGTGTGCTTCCATTACCTGCCAAGTTTTGTTATTTTTAAAATACAGGAATACAGTTTCAGATTCTATTATTTCGTCCACACACAGCCTTTCAAAGTTGGTTTCCTTGGTTCCCCCACATATGAACTTTTAGCCAGGCAGCTGAAAAAAAAACACCCCTGCTTTGAGATTTCTTGATTTTGTTTGAAAAGACTCTCCTTTAAGGGGTACCAACCTGTCTGCCCTTTACCCAAGGCCCTCTCCAGAGGCAGTGAGAAAAAGGCCAAAGAGATGTTGTGTGCAGGGTCACCATCCCCACTGCCATGCGCACATAAGCCAGCCTTGATCATGGCTCCAGGTGCCCTCCAATAGATTTCTCTTCCTTTTGAACATTTAGGAATTAAATAGGCATGTGTGGCTTCCTGAAAAAAATATTCTTTTTGTTCTGCTAGGAGAAGTAGCTACCCAAATCATGGGGTGAGAGGAGTGTATTGTTGACTTTGGGTAGACTCATGTCATCATTAGCAGAATCCCAAAAACTTGCTCTAACGAACAGAGCTAAACAGACCTTGAGGGTGATCTTCAAATGCTGGGCCAGGAGAGACCTCAAGGTGTTCAACACCTTCCCCGCCTGCAAGAATTTTCAAATGACATAAGCCAGTATACCTAAAGGGTTTTTTAAAAAGGGAAATATCTGGCATTCAGTGATTAATATTCATAACAAAGAGTGTACAACTTTCCTAGATTAAAACTAGCTAACATCATCTCCTTCAAGCAAAAAGATCTACTTTGACAAGTTGACATTCATTATTAATACTTCAGTAAGCACCTGCATTATACAAGAGCACTGGGCTAGGTGCTATGGGGGACACAGAAAAGTATGAGCCAATCCTCGCCTGGAGAATTTTATAATTTATTGGAGATACAAGACAAATACATGTGAAAAGAAAAACGCCAAAGGCAGTGAATGAAGAATGTGTTAATGTCAAGTGAGGGCATTAGCAATAAACTCTAAAATACTCACCTTTGCTAGTGAGGAGGCCCATCTGTCCTAGAGACCAAGAAAACACCCAAAGCCAAAGGGAGAAAAAGCAACTGAGACTTTATCTTAGTGTCAGGAAAGACCAACTACAGCTTTGGGGTTGGTATACACTTTATCTCCTGCTACTGACAACAGACCTACCCTCACTTCACCCACACCCCAGAACCAAATTACCTCCCAGAGGTAGCTCAGAGGTTGCCTATGATCAGCCACTTGCCTTGGGAAGTACAGACAGGTAGAGAAGCCAGTGCACCAGGAAACACCCTTTCCCTTGTAGGGCTGCATTAAGTGCTGTGTTTCAATGTTTGCCAAGGGCAATGGAAGATGTTTTCCCTCTTGGAATTTATTTCTCTTCCTCCCTCTGTTCTGTCTCTAAGAGTGGCTCAAATATGACTCAGAAGTGGGGCCTCTGGAAGTCACTCTCTTTACCCACTCAGCCAAGGTTCCTGGTTCCCATTAGCTCTGCCTCTCCACTCAGAGGGCATTGGGGTGTGATGGGATTTGTTATAGAGTACAGAATTGTATAACCAAACAACCCAAGCATCTTTCAGATACTGAAATCCTTCCACAACATTTTCCCCAAATGTTCATCAAATTTACCCAGTGATGGAGAGCTCACTGCCCCAACAGACAAGCTATTCCATCTTGAAACTGTTCTCATTGTTGAAAACTGTTCCTTCACTTGTATTTCCCTGATACTTCCTTGAGTTGCTCTTAATTATAACTCTGGGGTCTGCCCAGATCCAATCTAATAAATACAGTTCTCAAGTCCTTTTTGAGTCCTCACTTCTGTGACAGCAACATACAGACTTCCTTCGGCCATTTCAGATATCGCTTGGTTTCAAATCTTTCATTTTCCCATTTTATCTCTTAGTGCTTTAAGATATCAATTTGTCTACATCTCTCTTAAAACCTGATCTCTACAGATGAATAAAAGATGAATAGAAGACTCTAGACATAAACTGACCAATGTAAAGTAAAACAGAAATTCTTCATTTCTGATACTTAGACACTATACTTTTATTAACACAGTCTAAGGCTGCATTCAACTCTATGTGTGGTCACGTGGCATGGCATGTGCTTACTGTAGACTAAAAACTTTTTGCTGAAAGGGCTTCCCACCTACTGATGAAATAGTTGATTTTCATTTATTATACCTGCCTCACACAGCTGGGCATTATCCCAGAAACTATGTAAGAAAGTGACATCTTTCACGATCTTTTCATCCTTTCTACTTGAGCCCCAATTATAGATTCAAATGACTGTCTCAAAAATCTAAGAAAAGAAACACTGTTTCTGACCAAGAAATCTCCATGGAAAGATGTTGAGAATGTCAACGTGGAATTCTGTGATATGAGAATAAAGGCTGCAGCAGCCCCAGAGGACCCCAACACTGTTCCTGATTTCCATCCTGCATCCTCCCTTCTTGTACCACTAAGCCAATCAGAATGCCCTGGGGAGAGGCCCTGCAGGATGAGTGAACTTCTCTGGTAACAAAAGGACAGGAGAGGAAACCTGCATTCAATCAGTCATTTATTTCAGTCCTGTGTGGTCACTAGACTTTAAGACATGGAAGGCATGGACCATGTCCTATTAAGCATCCTAAGATATTGACTGAATGAGTGAATGAACAAATGCTAAAACTTTGTATCTCTCTCAGTGTCTCAAATTATGTCTGGGAGAGAAAAGATGTTCAATTACTAGTTTAACATGTTAACTCAGTGGTTATAGTCCTAAAATATTATTACAGGTTTTTGTGGAGAGGATCAACTATATAGCTTGTTAGAAAAATAAAATGTAAGCATAAAACTGATTTAAAAATTGTATCACTATCAAAAACAAATTTTAAAATAAGCTCACATGAAAGTGGAGGAGAGGAATAGAAAACAGAGCAAAAATTTCTGTCACTTTGCTGCAGAAGAACCTCCTACAGCTCCCTCTTCAATTGCAGCAGCAAATCCACATGCCCCCACCCAGGCTTAAAGACATTTATTATTGGGGGTCCTCCCTTTATCCCATAATAGCTCCCAAAGTCGAACTTCCACCCTGTTTGGGTTAGCCTGAACACCTATGATATTGCCCGAGAGGTTTCTGTAGTCCAAAAGATCTTACACGTCTTCTTGAGCAGGCTCCACTCAGCCTATCTTTCAAGACAACACTCAAAAAACCTCTTCTGTAAAGTCTTCTCTACCTAATACCATCCCACATTGACTATCCTTTTTTCCAGATAACATATAAACAATCTTCGAGAGAGTACGTTGCTTATCTTTTTTACTGAAGGTCACTTTTCAGTGGTGAAAAATTACCAAAATAGTGAATTATTATGATTATTTTTCAACTTATATTTGTCTTGCCTTCCCAAGGGCTGGAGCAGTAGTCTTTACTTATTTTGTATTTCTTTAAAAAGCAAGATAAAACAGTTAAATAAATGCGATAAAAAAATGAATGAATACATTTCAGCATGTGAGTCAGCCTCACTGTTGAAGCTGTCCAGGGTTCTGGTGAAGAGATTGATGATAAGGTTAGGCACAACCAGCTAAGCAAGTGACTTAGGACAAATTTTGCTGACCCTTAACCCTGAAAGAGTTCATCAACTGGTTATCATAATGACCATGAAATAGCTTGCTGTCCCTGTCACCCTCCCATACATAGTTCTCTCCACCTCCAACACCTAAATCGCCATTTCATCATGTCAACTCCCTGCTCAAAAACCTTTACGTCAGGGCTCCCTATTGCCTGCAGTAACATTCAAACTGAGCAGCCCTAACAGAGTAGAAAGTGAGAGTTTTGTCGTTTAGATACTAAAGCACATCTTAGAAGAGTGGCTAACACCAGTTGAAAAAGTAAGTAATGAGATATTTCTGATGAATGTACGCTATGGGCTGAATTGTGTCCCCCCAAAATTCATGTATTGAAGCCCTAATGCCCAATGTGATGATTTTTAAAGATGTGATCTTTGGGAGATAATCAGGTTCAGATAAAGTCATGACGGTGGAGTCCTCATGACAGGATTGGTGCCCTTTTAAGAAAAGACACCAGAGAGCTCTTGCTCACTCGCTGTTTCTCATTCTCTCTCTTTCTCCCCAACCTTCTTCCCTCCCTCGCTCCCTCTCTTTTGCAGCCACGTGAGGACATAGTGAGAAGGCAGCCATCTGCAAGCCAAAAAAGGAGACTTCACTAGAACCTAACCATCCTGGTAGCCTGATCTTTAACTTCTAGTCTCCAGAACCATTAGAAAATAAATTTCTGTTCCTTAAGCACTCAGCCTATGGTATTTTGTTACGGCAACTCAAGCAGACTAAGAAAAGTGACCCTCAATAACTATATGAAGGCACAAACATAAATATACCTGATCACATAAGCTCAAGCACACACATTGATAAATATTGCTCTAGACTGTTGCTTCTACCTATGAATAAATAACTGCTGTAGAAATTGCCCTGCCAACTCATACAAATAAAAATCTAGACAAAACAACTATCTTCAGAGATTGAACTACAAGCAATGCAGAAGTATGAACCCTGAGAAAACTGAAATAAATGGGATAAGTTCTATGTTCACTCTGACTAGCTGCCTAGATGCAATTTCCAGATTGCAGCACAGGAGTGAGGAATCCAAACAAATCCTGGTAGTCTTGCCAAGTTTAGGAGACAGAGATTGAGGTTTGAGAAGGTCAAGGCAGTCAAAACTTTCAGGGTGCAGTCAAAACTTTCAGGGTAGAATACTGAAAATGAATGAGCTACATGAAGAAAGGGCTCCAGATAGCTGCATAGGGATCCCCTTAAGTCTTTGCCTGAACACTAATCTGTACATGCATAGGGTGAAACCTCATAATACTGAGAAAGAACAATTAGCAAAGAGCTGTAAGCCAAGAGATTTCAGAGCACAAACAGATCTGAAAATCATTTGAGTTTCCATCAGCCAAAGTGGACAGACCCCAAAGCATTTACGAATCATTCTTTAGAGACGCCAGAAGTATCATAGTGTGGTAATGTTGCAAACAAGCCCTAGAATAAGGTATACTCCATACCTACCTTAAAAAAAAAAAAACTTTAAAACAAGCCTCAAGATCAATCTTCAAGTAATTTAACTACCTGCCAAAACAAAGCCAATCACTCTTTAAAGGAATACAACAAAATCAAGCAGTCAATGAACTAAATTTATAACATTCACCTTCTAATGCAAATAGTTATTAGATATGCAAAAGCACAGAAAATTGTGTTCCAAAACCTCAAGGAAAATCAGTCAATGAACACACACTAAAAATGACAGATTAAATGAGGAATTTGCAGACAAGATGTAAAACAAAAAATTTAAATGTTGCAACTATGTATAAGCATTTAAAAGTAAACGAACATTTGAGGAGAGATATAAGTAAAAACAACATGAATCACCCAGAGATTTCAAACACATTATTTGAAATGAACAGTTCATTGGATAAGATTAAGAGAAGATTAAACATTGCAGAAGAAAAGATCAATTAACTTGAAGACATGAGAGTAGAAATGATCCTAATTAAGTACAGAAAGAGAAATTTTTTAAAAGACTAAAACAAAATACCAGCACCTTAGTAACCAGTAGGAAAATATCAAGATGTCTAACATAACAAGAAGTTTTGGGAAGGGCAAAAACAAATTTGAAGATATAATAGATGAAAATTACCCAGATTTTATAAAAATTGTAAATCCATGGATCAGACACTGAACAAACAGTCTAAGCACATAGTCTAAGAAGTCTAAACACACAGAAACCTCACCAGGACAACTCATAATCAATTTTTGAAAACCAGTGACAAGGAGAATATCTTTAAGAAGAACCAGAGAGAAAAAAGACACACAATACAGACAAACAAAGGTAAGATTTTTTTTAATTTTTAAGGGAACATAGTAGGCATATATATTTTACAGGGTACATGAGATGTCTTGATACAGGCATGCAATGTGAAATAAGCACATCGTGGACAATGGCGTACCCATCTGCTCAAGCATTTATCCTTTGAGTTACAAACAATCCAATTACACTCTAAGTTATTTTAAAATGTACAATTAAGTTATTACTGACTACAGTCCCCCTGTTGTGCTATCAAATACTAGGTCTTATTCATTCCTCTATTTTTTGTACCCATTAACCATCCTTACCTCCCTTCTACAGCCCTCACTACCCTTCCCAGCCTCTGGTAACCATCTTTCTATTCTCTATGTCCATGAGTTCAATTGTTTTGATTTTTAGATCCCACAAGTAAGTGAGAACATGTGATGTTTGTCTTTCTGTGCCTAGCTTATTTCACTTAACATAATGATCTCCAGTTCCATCCATGTTGCTGCAAATTGACAGGATCTCATTCTCTTTTATGGCTGAATAGTACTCCATTGTGTATATGTACCACATTTTCTTCATCCATTCATCTAGCAATGGACACTTAGGTTGCTTCCAAATCTTAGCTATCGTAAACAGTGCTGCAACAAACACAGGAGTGCAGATACCTCTTCAATATACCAATTTCCTTTCTTTGGGGTATATACCCAGCCATGAGATTGATAGATCATATGGTAGTTCAATTTTTAGTTTTTTGAGGAACCTCCAAACTGTCCTCCATAATGGTTGTACTAATTTATATCCCCACCAATAGTGTACAAGAGTTTCCTTTTCTCCACATCCTCTCCAGCATTTGCTGTTGCCTGACTTTTGAATAAAAGCCATTTTAATTGGGGTGCAATAATATCTTGTTGTAGTTTTGATTTGCATTTCTCTGACAATCAATGATGTTGAGCACCTTTTCATATGCCTGTTTGCCATTTTATGTCTTCTTTTGAGAAATGTTTATTTAAATTTTTTGCTCAACATTTTGATTGGATTATTAGATTTTTCCCTATAGAGTTGTTTGAGCTCCTTGTGTATTCTTGAAACTAATCCCTTGTCAGATGGATAGTTTGCAAATATTTTCTCCCATTCTGTGGGTTGTGTCTTCACTTTGTTAATTGTACCCTTTGCTGTGTAGAAGCTTTTTAACTTAATGTGATCCAATTTTTCCATTTTTGCTTTGGTTTCCTGTGCTTGTGGGATATTGCTCAAGAGATGTTTGCCCAGACCAATGTCCAATGTCCTAGAGATTTTCCTCAATGTTTTCTTATAGTACTTTCATATTTTGAGGTCTTAGATTTCAGTCTTTAATCCATTTTTATTTAATTTTTGTATATGGGTGAAAGACAGTAGTCTAGTTTCATTCCTCTACATATGAATAGCCAGTTTTCCAAGTGCCATTTATTGAAGAGGCTGTCTTTTCTCCAGTGTATATTCTTGGCAACAAAGGTAAGATTTACACAGACTTCTTACCAGAAACAATGCAAGCCAGATGACAATGGAATGCCATCTTTTTTTGGCTCAACACTTATTTTATTTTATCTTTTGTTTTTTTAATCAACAAATTAAAAATTATATATATTTATGGTGTACAGCATATCTTTATTTATGTATACCTTGTGGAATAACTAAATCAAGCTAATTAACATATCCATTACCTCACATATTTATCATTTTTTTGTAGTGAGAACATTTAAAATCTACTCTCTTAGCAACTTTCAAATATACAACAGATTGTTATTAACCATAATCACCATGTTGTACAGTAGTTCTCATGAACTTGTTCCTCCTAACTGAAATTGTATAAGCTTTTATTCATATGGACTTATCAGAAACAATGCAAGTCAGAGAACACTTAAATGAACCCTTTAAAGTGATGAAAGGAGAATAAATTTGTCAATCTAGAATTTAAAATCCAGTGTAAATATCAAAATGAAATAAAAAATGAAGTCAGGATAAACATTTTTCAAAGATTGAGAAAATCTGTTGCCAGAAGACCTTCATTACAAGAAATGTAAACTTATTCAGGAAGAAAGAAAATAATACCATATGGAAACTTGAAACTACCCCAAGGATGAAGAAAGTTGGAAAAAGTAAATGTGATGATATATGTAAAAGTCATTTTTTCTCATATTTTAACTTTTTTAAAGCTGGCTGACTATTTTTAAAAACTAACAACAACAATGTATTGTGGGGTTAATAACATATGTAGAAGTACAATTTATGACAACAATAACACACTGAGATGCCATCTCAAAAAAAAAAAAAAAAAACCTAAAAATTAGCCAGGCATGGTGGTGTATATCTGAAGTCCTAGTTACTCAAGAGGCTGAGGTGGGAGGATTGCTCAAGCCCAGGAGCCAAGATTACAGTGAACTATGATTGTGCCACTTCACTCCAGCCTAGGCAACAGAGTAAGACTCTGTCTCTAAAACTAAATAAATAAAAATAGAAACAAAGCAAAGGATAGGAGAAAGAAATACAGAAGTATATTAAAGTTTTGATATTACATATGAAGCAGTATAATAGTATTCAAAGATAGACTGTCATTAGTTAAACATGCATATTGTAAACCCTAGAACAAATATCACTCTCTCTCTCTCTCTCTCACACACACACACACACACACGCACACTATTAAGCTAAAGGTGGGGAGCAAATAGAATATTACAAAATAACCGAGAAAAGGTAGGAAAAAGAGGAAAATATGAACATATGAACAAAGAACAGATAAAAACAATTTTGAAGAGAAAACATATAGAAAAATAATAGATTTAGACCCAACTATATCAATAATTACATTAAATGCAAGTGGTCTAAACAGTCCCATTAAAAGGCAGAGATTGTCAGTCAAAAAAAAATTGGAACACAAAAGCATGTGCTGTCTATAAGAAATCAACACTAAATATAAAGTCAAAGATAAGTTAAAATGAAAAAGATGTAAAAAGGTATATATGATGAAAATACTAATCAAAAGAAACCTGGAGTATCTATGTTAATATCAGAACAAGGAATAAAACCCAGGATAAAGAGGTACATTTCATAATAAAAAGATCACTTCCTCAAAAAGATATAATAGCTTTCAATGTGTGTCACATAACAGTTTTAAAGTACAGGAAGCAAAAACATACAGAAGTGAAAGGAGAAATAGATAAATCCATAATTAGAGTTAGAGGTTTCAACACCCCTCTCTTAGTAATTGATAGAAGTAGACTAAAAATTCAACAAAAATACAGAAGACTTGAACAACACTATCAATCATCTTGAGCTCATTGATATTTATAGAACATATCACCCCACTCAGTATCTTCTACTCAGAGAACTTACAGTGTACTCTGACCATAACAGAATGAAATTAGAAGTCAACAACATAAAGTTATCTGAATCAAAATATGTTGAAATTAAATAAAATTCTTCTAAATAATTAAGGGGTCAAATAAAAATCATAAGATAAACTTTGAAATATATTGAACAGAATGACAAGGAAAACACACATATCAGAATATATAGCATGCAACTAAAGCAGTTCTTATTGGGAAATTAATAGCTTTAAATGCTGACATTAGAGGAGAATAAAAGTCCACAATAAATTATCTAAATTTCCACCTTACAAAAACTAGAAAAAAGAGCAAATTAAAACCAAATGAAGCAGAAAAATGAAATCATAAAAAAGCAGAAATCAATGACATATAAATGGATAAAAGTAGAGAAAGTCAATGAAAAAAGTTGCAGTAGCATTAAAAAATGAACTATTTAGGGAGAATTTAAATAAAATATGTGAAAAACCTCTATGCTGAAAATACAAAATATTACTGTGTAAATAAAAGTAGGCCTAAATAATTAGACAGATATACCATGTTTATGGATTGGAAAACTCAATACTGTTAAAATGTTATTTCTCCCCCAACTTGATCTGTAGATTCAATGGGACACATATGGAAATATCAACAGACTTTTTTATAGAACTTGAGAAGTTGATTTAAAAATGTATATGGAATTTCAAGGAACTTAGACAAAACAATTTTAAAAAGAATAAGATTGGAAAACTTACACTACTTGATTTTGAGAGTTACTATAAAGCTACAGTAATCAAGAGAGTACAGTATCAAGAGAGGATACACATGTAGACCAATGGAATTGAAGTGAGGGTCCAGAAATAGATTAAGGCATATATGGTCAATTGTCACTTTTGACAAAAGTGCCAAGGGAATCTAATAGGGAAAAGATTGTTGTTTCAATAAATGCTGCTGAAACAGCTAGCTATCCATATAGAAAAGAATGAATTTCAACCCTTTTTTCACATCATACAAAAAAACACTAATTTGATACAGACCATAGACTTAAATGTAAAAGCTAAAACTATAAAAGTTCTAGAAGAAAACATAGGAGACAAATCTTTGTGACCTTAGAGTAAGTAAAGATTTCTTAGAACGAATACAAAATTCATGAACTATAAAAGGAAAAATTGGTAAATTGACCTTCATAGAAAATTAAAACTTCTGCTCTTCAAAAGACAACTGTAACTCTCTGAAGAAAATTATAAGACTATATAGAAAAGGGTAAAAGAAAATTCAAAAGTGTGAAAGTATAAATTAATACATTTAGGGTATATCTGATCAATATCTTTTTTTATTTTATTATTATTATACTTTAAGTTTTAGGGTACATGTGCACGATGTGCAGGTTAGTTACATATGTATACATGTTCCATGTTGGTGTGCTGCACCCATTAACTTGTCATTTAGCATTAGGTATATCTCCTAATGCTATCCCTCCCCCCTCCCCCCACCCCACAACAGTCCCCGGTGTGTGATGTTCCCCTTCCTGTGTCCATGTGTTCTCATTGTTCAATTCCCACCTATAAGTGAGAACATGCGGTGTTTGGTTTTTCGTCCTTGCGATAGTTTGCTGAGAATGATGGTTTACAGCTTCATCCATGTCCCTACAAAGGACATGAACTCATCATTTTTTATGGCTGCATAATATTCCATGGTATATATGTGCCACATTTTCTTAATCCAGTCTATCATTGATGGACATTTAGGTTGGTTCCAAGTCTTTGCTATTGTGAATAGTGCCACAGTAAACATACATGTGCATGTGTGTTTATAGCAGCATGATTTATAATCCTTTGGGTATATACCCAGTAAAGGGATGGCTGGGTCAAATGGTATTTCTAGTTCTAGATCCCTGAGGAATCGCCACACTGACTTCCACAATGGTTGAACTAGTTTACAGTCCCACCAACAGTGTAAAAGTGTTCCTATTTCTCCACATCCTCTCCAGCACCTGTTGTTTCCTGACTTTTTAATGATCATCATTCTAACTGGTGTGAGATGGTATCTCATTGTGGTTTTGATTTGCATTTCTATGATGGCCAGTTATGATGAGCATTTTTTCATGTGTTTTTTGGCTGCATAAATGTCTTCTTTTGAGAAGTGTCTGTTCATATCCTTTGCCCACTTTTTGATGGGGTTGTTTGTTTTTTTCTTGTAAATTTGTTTGAGTTCATTATAAATTCTGGATATTAGCCCTTTGTCAGATGAGTAGGTTGCAAAAATTTTCTCCCATTTTGTAGGTTGCCTGTTCACTCTGATGGTAGTTTCTTTTGCTGTGCAGAAGCTCTTTAGTTTAATGAGATCTCATTTGTCAGTTTTGGCTTTTGTTGCCATTGCTTTTGGTGTTTTGGACATGAAGTCCTTGCCCATGCCTATGTCCTGAATGGTATTGCCTAGGTTTTCTTCTAGGGTTTTTATGGTTTTAGGTCTAACATGTAAGTCTTTAATCCATCTTGAATTAATTTTTGTATAAGGTGTAAGGAAGGGATCCAGTTTCAGATTTCTACATATGGCTAGCCAGTTTTCCCAGCACCATTTATTAAATAGGGAATCCTTTCCCCATTGCTTGTTTTTCTCAGGTTTGTCAAAGATCAGATAGTTGTAGATATGTGGCATTATTTCTGAGGGCTCTGTTCTGTTTCATTGGTCTATATCTCTGTTTTGGTACCAGTACCATGCTGTTTTGGTTACTGTAGCCTTGTAGTATAGTTTGAAGTCAGGTAGCGTGATGTCTCCAGCTTTGTTCTCTTGGCTAAGGATTGACTTGGCAATGTGGGTTCTTTTTTGGTTCCATATGAACTTAAAAGTAGTTTTTTCCAATTCTGTGAAGAAATTCATTGGTAGCTTGATGGGGATGGCATTGAATCTATAAATTACCTTGGGCAGTATGGCCATTTTCACGATATTGATTATTCCTACCTATGAGCATGGAGTGTTCTTCCATTTGTTTGTATCCTCTTTTATTTCATTGAGCAGTGGTTTGTAGTTCTCCTTGAAGAGGTCCTTCACATCCCTTGTAAGTTGGATTCCTAGGTATTTTATTCCCTTTGAAGCAATTGTGAATGAGAGTTCACTCATGATTTGCCTCTCTGTTTGTCTGTTATTGGTGTATAGGAATGCTTGTGATTTTTGCACATTGATTTTGTATCCTGAGACTTTGCTGAAGTTGCTTATCAGCTTAAGGAGATTTTAGGCTGAGACAATGGGGTTTTCTAGATATACAATCATGTCATCTGCAAACAGGGACAATTTGACTTCCTCTTTTCCTAATTGAATGCCCTTTATTTCCTTCTCCTGCCTAATTGCCCTGGCCAGAACTTCCAACACTATGTTGAATAGGAGTGGTGAGAGAGGGCATCCTTGTCTTGTACCAGTTTTCAAAGGGAATGCTTCCAGTTTTTGCCCATTCAGTATGATATTGGCTGTGGGTTTGTCATAGATAGCTCTTATTATTTTGATATAAGTCCCATCAATACCTAATTTATTGAGAGTTTTTAGCATGAAGCGTTGCTGAATTTTGTCAAAGGGCTTTTCTGCATCTATTGCGATAATCATGTGGTTTTTGCCTTTGGTTCTGTTTATATGCTGGATTACGTTTATTGACTTTCGTATGTTGAACCAGCCTTGCATCCCAGGGTTGAAGCCCACTTGATCATGGTGGATAAGCTTTTTGATGTGCTGCTGGATTCGGTTTGCCAGTATTTTATTGAGGATTTTTGCATCAATGTTCATCAAGGACATTGGTCTAAAATTCTCTTTTTTTGTTGTGTCTCTGCCAGGCTTTGGTATCAGGATGATGCTGGCCTCATAAAATGAGTTAGAGAGGATTCTCTCTTTTTCTATTGACTGGAATAGTTTCAGAAGGAATGGTACCAGCTCCTTCTTGTACCTCTGGTAGAATTCAGCTGTGAATCCATCTGGTCCTGGACTTTTTTTGGTTGGTAAGCTATTAATTATTGCCTCAATTTCAGAGCCCATTATTGGTCTATTCAGAGATTCAACTTCTTCCTGGTTTAGTCTTGGGAGAGTGTATGTGTTGAGGAATTTATCCATTTCTTCTAGATTTTCTAGTTTATTTGTGTAGAGGTGTTTATAGTATTCTCTGATGGTAGTTTGTATTTCTGTGGGATTGGTGGTGATATCCCCTTTGTCATTTTTTATTGCGTCTATTTGATTCTTCTCTCTTTTCTTCTTTATTAGTCTTGCTAGCAGTCTATCTATTTTGTTGATCTTTTCAAAGAACCAGCTCCCGAATTCATTGATTTTTGAAGGGTTTTTTGTGTCTCTATTTCCTTCAGTTCTGCTCTGATCTTAGTTATTTCTTGCCTTCTGCTAGCTTTTGAATGTGTTTGCTCTTGCTTCTCTAGTTCTTTTAATTGTGATGTTAGGGTGTCAATTTTAGATCTTTCCTGCTTTCTCTTGTGGGCATTCAGTGCTATAAATTTTCCTCTACACACTGCTTTGAATGTGTCCCAGAGATTCTGGTATGTTGTGTCTTTGCTCTCATTGGTTTCAAAGAACATCTTTATTTCTGCCTTCATTTCGTTATGTATCCAGTAGTCATTCAGGAGCAGGTTGTTCAGTTTCTGTGTAGTTGAGCGGTTTTGAGTGAGTTTCTTAATCCTGAGTTCTAGTTTGATTGCACTGTGGTCTGACAGACAGTTTGTTATAATTTCTGTTCTTTTACATTGGCTGAGGAGGGCTTTACTTCCAACTATGTGGTCAATTTTGGAATAGGTGTGGTGTGGTGCTGAAAGGAATTTATATTCTGTTGATTTGGGGTGGAGAGTTCTGTAGATGTCTATTAGGTCCACTTGGTGCAGAGCTGAGTTCAATTCCTGGATATCCTTGTTAACTTTCTGTCTCGTTGATCTGTCTAATGTTGACAGTGGGGTGTTAAAGTCTCCCATTATTATTGTGTGGGAGTCTAAGTCTCTTTGTAGGTCACTCAGGACTTGCTTTATGAATCTGGGTGCTCCTTTATTGGGTGCATATATATTTAGGATAGTTAGCTCTTCTTGTTGAATTGATCCCTTTACCATTATGTAATGGCCTACTTTGTCTCTTTTGATCTTTGTTGGTTTAAAGTCTGTTTTATCTGAGACTAGGATTGCAAACCCTGCCTTTTTTTGTTTTCCATTTGCTTGGTAGATCTTCCTGCATCCATTTATTTTGAGCCCATGTGTGTCTGCACGTGAGATGGGTTTCCTGAATACAGCACACTGATCGGTCTTGACTCTTTATCCAATTTGCCAGTCTGTGTCTTTTAATTGGAGCATTTAGCCCATTTACATTTAAGGTTAATATTGTTATGTGTGAATTTGATCCCATCATTATGATGTTAGCTGGTTATGTTACTCATTAGTTGATGCAGTTTCTTCCTAGCCTTGATGGGCTTTACAATTTGGCATGTTTTTGCAGTGGCTGGTACCGGTTGTTCCTTTCCATGTTTAGTGCTTCCTTCAGGAGCTCTTTTAGGGCAGGCCTGTCAGCACTTGTTTGTCTGTAAAGTATTTTATTTCTCCTTCACTTATGAAGCTTCGTTTGGCTGGATATGAACTTCTGGGTTGAAAATTCTTTTCTTTAAGAATGTTGAATATTGGCCCCCACTCTCTTCTGGCTTGTAGAGTTTCTGCCAAGAGATCAGCTCTTAGTCTGATGGGCTTCCCTTTGTGGGTAACCCGACCTTTCTCTCTGGCTGCCCTTAACATTTTTTCCTTCATTTCAACTTTGGTGAAACTGACAATTATGTGTCTTGGAGTTGCTCTTCTCAAGGAGTATCTTTGTGGCATTCTCTGTATTTCCTGAATTTGAATGTTGGCCTGCCTTGCTAGATTGGGGAAGTTCTCCTGGATAATACCCTGCAGAGTGTTTTCCAACTTGGTTCCATTCTCCCCATAACTTTCAGGTACACCAATCAGACGTAGATTTGGTCTTTTCACATAGTCCCATATTTCTTGGAGGCTTTGTTCATTTCTTTTTATTCTTTTTTCTCTAAACTTCTCTTCCCGCTTCATTTCATTCATTTCATCTTCCATCGCTGATACCCTTTCTTCCAGTTGATCGCATCAGCTACTGAGGCTTGTGCATTCATCACGTAGTTCTCATGCTGTGGTTTTCAGCTCCATCAGGTCCTTTAAGGACTTCTCTGCATTGGTTATTCTAGTTAGCCATTCATCTAATTTTTTTTCAAGGTTTTTAACTTCTTTGCTATTGGTTCAAACTTCCTCCTTTAGCTCAGAGTAGTTTGATCTTCTGAAGCCTTCTTCTCTCAACTCGTCAAAGTCATTCTCTGTCCAGCTTTGTTCCATTGCTGGTGAGGAGCTGCGTTCCTTTGGAGGAGGAGAGGTGCTCTGATTTTTAGAGTTTCTGGGTTTTCTGCTCTGTTTTTTCCCCCTCTTTGTGGTTTTATCTACCTTTGGTCTTTGAAGATGGTGATGTACAGATGGGTTTTTGGTGTGGATGTCCTTTCTGTTTGTTAGTTTTCCTTCTAACAGTCAGGACCCTCAGCTGCAGATCTGTTGGAGTTTGCTGGAGGTCCACTCCAGACCCTGTTTTCCTGGGTATCAGCAGCAGCGGCTGCAGAACAGCGGATATTGGTGAACTGCAAATGCTGCTGCCTGATCGTTCTTCTGGAAGTTTTGTCTCAGAGGAGTACCCGGCCGTGTGAGGTGTCAGTCCACCCCTACTGGGGGGTGCCTCCCAGTTAGGCTACTCATGGGTCAGGGACCCACTTGAGGTGGCAGTCTGCCCATTCTCAGATCTCAAGCTGCATGCTGGGAGAACCACTACTCTCTTCAAAGCTGTCAGACAGGGCCATTTAAGTCTGCAGAGGTTACTGCTGCCTTTTGCTTGTCTGTGCCCTGCCCCCAGAGGTGGAGCCTACAGAGGCAGGCAGGCCTCCTTGAACTGTGATGGGCTCCACCCAGTTTGAGCTTCCCAGCAGCTTTGTTTACCTACTCAAGCCTCAGCAATGGCAGGCGCCCCTCCCCCAGTCTCACTGCCACCTTGCAGTTTGATCTCAGACTGTTGTGCTAGCAAAGAGTGAGGCTCCGTGGGCATAGGACCCTCCAAGCCAGGTGCGGGATATAATCTCCTGGTTTGCCGTTTGTTAAGCCCATTGGAAAAGCACAGTATTAGGGTGGGAATGACCCAATTTTCCAGGTGCCATCTGTCACCCCTTTCTTTGACTAGGAAAGGGAATTCCCTGACTCCTTGCACCTCCCAGGTGAGGCGATGCCTTTCCCTGCTTCAGCTCACGCATGGTGCACTGCACCCACTGTCCTGCACCCACTGTCCAGCACTCCCCAGTGAGATGAACCCAGTACCTCAGTTGGAAATGCAGAAATCACCCATCTTCTGCATCGCTCACGCTGGGAGCTGTAGACTGGAGCTGTTCCTATTCGGCCATCTTGGCTCCACCCAATCTGATCAATATCTTAATGAAGCATTTATTAACATGTTATATTTATTAAAGTTTACATAGAAATAAAAATGCAAGGGCCAGGCACAGTGGCTCATGCCTGTAATACCAGCACTTTGGGAGGCCAAGGCAGGTGGATCACCTGAGGTCAGGAGTTCGAGACCAGCATGGCCAGCATGGTGAAACCCCGTCTCTACTAAAAATAAACAATTAGCCGGGCGTAGTGGCAGGTGCCTGTAATCCCAGCTACTTGGGAGGCTGAGGCAGGAGAATTGCTTGAAGCCAGGAGGCTGAGGGTGCAGTGAGCTGAGATCACACCATTGCACTGCAGCCTGGGGGACAAGAGCAAGACTTCATCTCAAAAAAATAAAATAAAAATAAAATGCAAGAGAACAGCTTTAAAACTGTACAAAAAGGAAGTATTATGAGGAAGACATATTTTAGCAGACATCAAAAACATTCTAACAATAAATATAGTAATAAATGTCAGCACAGGTCACTCAACAGCATGACAGAGTCTACAGTCAGGCCAGTGAATCTCTGTCTAGACCTCTTATGTTTAGAAGTGATCCTATCCCTAACCCCAGATTTACAACTTTACATGCCTAAGGATTATATGCTGCATTGTTTGTAATAACAAGAATAAAAACAATCTTAGTGCCCATCAAATAAAATAGAACATATGGATCTATTAAAAAGCATGAAGTAGATTGTACATATTCTGCCCTGGAAAAACATGCACAGTATATTGTTAGATTTTTTAAAAAATCAAGTTGCAGAACAATATGTATATTATGTTGCCATTTTAAAAATAAACAATAAAGGAAAAATTCAAAAAAAGACACCATCATGAAAATGAAAAGGCAAGATATACAAGAAAATATTAATAGTACATATGTGTGACAAAAGACTGATATCCAGAATATTTAAAGCATTTCTCCAGCCCAATATAAGACAACCAACCCTAAAAATGGCAACATATTTGAACAGAGTCTTCACAAAATAAGATATACAAATCTCAAGTACAGGAAAAGCTGATTATCATTAGTCATAAAGAATATGTCAATTAAAACCACAAGGAGATACCACTTCATACCCACTAGAATGGCAAAAACTTTAAAAACTGTATTGGCTGTAAGGATGTGCAGCAACTGGAATTTTTATACATGACTGAGGTTATATAAAATGTTGGAACCTCTTTGGAAATAGTTTGGCAGTTTCTTAAAAAGTTAAACATGCTCTTACCATATGACCCGCAATTCCACTCTTAGGTATTTATCCAAGAAAAAGGAAAACATATTTCCACAGAAAGAGTTATATACGAATGGCTATGGCAGTTTTATTTATAGTAGTAGAAAACTGGAAACAACCTAAATGTTCAACAACAAATGAATGAATAGCAAATTTTGGTATAGCCGTGCAATGGGATATTATTCAGTAATTTATTAAAGCTACATTCTACATATAAAAATAAATAAATCTCAAAAGCACTATGCTGAGCAGAAAACAACAAGTCTCATAAGAACACTTAACTATCTGATTCCATTTGTATGAAATTCTCTAAGAGGCTATTCTATGCTATATTTTTTGGTCTAGGATCATGGGTGGCAGGGGTATTGAGTGCTAAGAAATATGACATTTTAGGGTCATAAAAATGTCTTATATCTTGACTGTGCTGGTGTTTACTCAGGTGTATAAATTTGTCAAAATATATCAAACTACATTTATAATGGATGCAATTTATTTTATGCAAATTACACCTCAATAAAGTTGTATTTTTTAAAAAATACTAGTCTGAAGAACAAACCAAGACCCTCTCAGACTTGCATTCAGGATTCTTCATAACTTATCCCTACTTTTTTTCCATCCTTATTTCTCATATGCCCCGGATTAAATAACCCTCAGAGTCAAACAAATTGAAGGACGACATATCCTCCCCAAATAAGATTATTCACCCACTCCTACTCTCAGTTTCCTGGGCCTACATAAACCCTCTTCATTCTGCAGAGCCCAGGTTTATCACCACTCCTTCCACAAAGCCTTCCTCTAGCGTGTCCTGATTTTTCTAGCCTTTGTTATTTGTACCACTTTTAATATTTAGGTCATTCTTTATGTGTTTTCTGTGTGTTCCTCTCATCTCTCAAGGTTGGCTATCACCCTTTGATATACAGCTAACTCCCATTATTCCCAGTAGTTATGTTCTATAAAGTTGCTGGAAACACTGAATTAATGAATACTGAACCATTGCTCCTAGGGGAAACGTAAGGTTAGATTCCTGAGAGCCTCTGGTCACAACATTTTCAGTGATCAATCAATCCATTACCTTGTTTTACCTATGTTTCTGTTTTAAAGACTTCTTATTGGACATACATTGTTGATTCATTGAACTCATGGCCAACAACACTCTAACTCATGCCTGAAACAAACCTCACCTAACACACGCGTTTTTTCCACAATGCATATCACAGTCTCCATGTGCTTAGGAACATTAGAGCACACTTCAGCAGTATGCTTGGGAGCTATTTCAAACAATGAAATGACCAACAAAAAGCAAAAAAAAAAAAAGGCCAAAAAAAAGGCACTAAAGGGACACACCACAAAAGGGACACATTTAGAGTATGAGAGATGAAACAGAAAGGCACAGGATTGCCTTGTGCAACCTCAGCTGGGAACTGAGCTGGTCACATTGGGCGACCCACATTTTTCACCATTCTGTGCATGTCCATGGATAGCCAGGAAAGCGGCATGAGTATTGATTTGCAGGTCACAAATAAATTTTAGCAGGTAGGCAAATTCATAAATACTGGATCTGTGGAAAATGAAGATCATCTGTACTTGACAACATCTAGTGTAATGCAAGACTCTTAGCAGGCATTCTATAAGTATTACTCTAGATAATTGGAAAGACAAATAAAAGAAGAAACTAACTCATGGTTTCACTTAAATCTCTATCAAGAATGCATGTTTAAAATTCATTTTATGATGCATGTTCAGGCTGGGAGACAAGCTCCCCAGAAGTAAGTTATTGATATGCTTGCACAGAAAAATGGGAGGCCATTACTAGGAAGAAGTTGCCTGGAACCATCTGCTATTTGCAGCATCCATTAAGAAAAGGGGTTTCTTGTTCTTTATTAGTAATCTGAAATTTCCTTGCTTCTGACTGGGCAGAAGGTGTAAAAAGAAATTGATTGTTATGTTTTGAAAAGCAAAGACATATTTGCCATTTTACTTCTTGAAGAGAAAACAGAGAGATATTCACGGGATTTAATTCATTCCATTAGAAAACTCTAGGAATAAGCCAGAAAAGGAGCAATCAAGGAAAAAATAATAAGAGCACCAATAAGTATTTTAAGTTATAATGCCCAGTGTTGGCAGACATGTGGGGAAATGAGCTTGCTTGTACACTGCTAATGGGAGTATAAATTGATACAAGTTTTCTACAGGTGGATTAGTCATGTATATTAAGAGACTTAAAAACATCCATATCCTTTAATCCAGTGATTCCACCCCTAGGAATTTATCCTAAGGTAATAATTCAAGATGCAGGCTAGGATTTATATGCAATAATGTGCATAACATTGCAGTGTTATAGAAAATAGAAAGATCCTGAAACAAACTAAATGTCTACAGAGAAATTGTTAAATAAATAAATTATGATGCACCTCACAGCTCAGGTGTCATGCTGTCCTTCTTCCCCACCCGATCCCCACCCTTTATTTTCAAGGTCACCTTCCTCTACTATATGAGAAATGAGAATGTTTCACCTTAAAGATACTCAAGGTGCTTATCTTGCCATTTCCAGCTGCACTGTGGACCATCATTCACTTCATAGGTGGGCTCCATGTAGAACTCCTAGATACAGCCATCTCCAGTGACACCATGGAGGCTGGATTTGGGGCCAGCCACACTTCCTTTTACTGACATTTTACTTTATTCTTCATATATCTAGCCATAGGCTGTGAATGTAGCAGGTTTTTTTGTTTGTTTATGAAAAGCTTAGATTAATTAAAGGAAGTTATAAGTAGGAATAGAGAGTCTAAAGCTATATGCTGTATGAAGTTTCTCCAGCCTATGGGATGAGCAAGCTAAAGTTTGAGTTCTTCATGGAACTCCCATGGATGGGAAGAAGGTTTCTTTCGTTGATACATCCCATTTCCTATCTCTGCTCCCCAATCCCCATGTCTGTCCTCTTTTCTAACCACCTTCTTTGAATCTCCACACTAGTTTTGAAAAGCCCTCTTCCAATCTATAACAGAGGGTCCCCCTCTCTGAGTAGCACATGTCCCTCAATTTGAAGTAACCATTCCAGAATAAGGTCCTGTTTTTCAAGGGCGGGAGGGAAGAAGGGGAAGGAGAAGAGACTTCAGCAGAATAATCAACAATGGCTTTGACAATGCAATCTGGAGGAAATGGGCAAAGGTCAGCGGTTGGCAATCTAAGACCCATAGAGCAGAACAGGGTAAATATGGACATTACATATCTGATCTGTCTCTCTGTTTTTGTTTGTTTGTTTGTTTTGTTTTGTTTTGTTTTGAGACAGAGTCTTGCTCTGTGGCCCAGGCTGAAATGCAATGGTGCAATCACAGCTCACTGCAGCCTCTATCTCCCAGGCTTTAACAATCCTCCTGCCTCCTGCCTCAGCCTCCCAAGTAGCTGAGACTACAGGTGCATGCCACCACACCTGGATAATATTTTAAATTTTGCTATATTGCCCAAGCTGGTCTTGAACCCCTAGGCTCAAGCAATCCTCCCTCCTTGGCCTCCCAAAGTGCTGGGATTACAGGCATGAGCCACAATGCCCAGGCAATGATTGTCTGGGCACTTTTGTGATTCCCACTTCAGTAATCAGTCTCTTTTGTAATTCCTACTTCAGTAATAGTTGACACATTTGCCTGTTTGTTCTCCTAACTTTCCAGCAAGAAACTGTTGAGCTAAGTGCACAGCCTCCCAAGAACAAACAGCCATTCTCTGAAATAATAGTCTAAGTCCATGGCTCTCAACCTGATTGCACGTTAAAACTACCTGAACTGAGGAGCATGTTCTAACCCAACTCAAGGAAGCTAAGAACCTTGAAAAGAGGTTACATGAATTGCTAACTAGAATAACCAGTGTAGAGAAGAACATAAATGACCTGATGGAGCTGAAAAACCAGCATGAGAACTTCGTGAAGCATACACAAGCTTCAATAGCCAAATTGATCATGCAGAAGAAAGGATATCAGTGACTAAAGATCAACTTAATGAAATAAAGTGAGAAGACAAGATTAGAGAAAAAAGAGTGAAAAGAAATGAACAAAGCCTCCAAGAAATATGGGACTATGTGAAAAGACCAAATCCATGTTTGACTGGTGTACCTGAAAGTGACGGGGAGAATGGAACCAAGTTGGAAAACACTCTTCAGGATATTATCCAGGAGAACTTCCCCAACCCAGCAAGGCAGGCCAACATTCAAATTCAGGAAATACAGAGAACACCACAAAGATATTCCTTGAGACGAGCAACCCCAAGACACATAATCGTCAGATTCACCAAGGTTGAAACGAAGGGAAAAATGTTAAGGGCAGCCAGAGAGAAAGGCCGGATTACCCACAATGGGAAGCTCATCAGACTAACAGTGGATCCCTCAGCAGAAACCCTACAAGCCAGAAGAGAATGGGGGTCAATATTCAACATTCTTAAAGAATTTTCAACCCAAAATTCTTTCATATCCAGTTTCATATTCAGCCAAACTAAGTTTCATAAGTGAAGGAGAAATAAAAGCCTTTACAGACAAGCAAATGCTGAGAGATTTTGTCACCACCAGGCCTGCCTTACAAGAGCCTCTGAAGGAAGCATTAAACATGGAAAGAATCAACCAGTACCAGCCACTGCAAAAACATGCCAAATTGTAAAGACCATCAACGCTATGAAGAAACTGCATCAACTAACGGGCAAAATAACCAGCTAGCATCATAATGACAGGATCAAATTCACACATAACAATATTAACCTTAAATGTAAGTGGGCTAAATGCCCCAATTAAAAGACGCAGACTAGCAAATTGGATAAAGAGTCAAGACCCATCGGTTGTGTGTATTCAGGAGACCTATCTCAAGTACAGAGACACACATAGGCTTAAAATAAATGGAAGGAGGAAGTTCTACCAAGCAAATGGAAAGCAAAAAAAAAAGAAGGGTTTACAATCCTAGTCTCTGATGAAACAGACTTTAAACCAACAAAGACCAAAAGAGACAAAGAAGGCCATCACATAATGGTAAAGGGATCAATGCAACAAGAAGAGCTAATGATCCTAAATATATATGCACCCAATACAGGAGCACCCAGATTCATAAAGCAAGTTCTTAGAGACCTACAAAGAGACTTAGACTCCCACACGACAATAGTGTGAGACTTTAACACTCCACTGCCAATATTAGACAGATCAATGAGACAGAAAATTATCAAGGATATCCAGGACTTGAACTCAGCTCTGGACCAAGCAGACCTAATAGACATCTACAGAACTCTCCACCCCAAATCAACAGAATATACATTCTTCTCAGCACCGCATTGCACTTATTCTAAAATTGACCACATAATTGGAAGTAAAACACTCCTCAGCAAATGTAAAAGAACAGAAATCACAACAAACTGTGTCTCAGACCACAGTGCAATCAAATTAGAACTCAGAATTAAGAAACTCACTCAAAACTGCACAACTACATGGAAACTGCTGCTCCTGAATGACTACTGGGTAAATAAGGAAATAAAGGCAGAAAAAAAGATGTTCTTTGAAACCAGTGAGAACAATGACACAACATACCAGAATCTCTGGGACACATTTAAAGCAGTGTGTAGAGGGAAATTTATAGCACTAAAGGCCCACAAGAGAAAGCAGGAAAGATCTAAAATTGATACCCTAACATCAAAATTAAAAGAACTAAAGAAGCAAGAGCAAGCACATTCAAAAGCTAGCAGAAGACAACAAATAACTAACAGCAGAGCAGAACTGAAGGAGATAGAGACACGAAAAACCCTTCAAAGTATCAGTGAATCCAGGATCTGGTTTTTTGAAACGATCAACAAAATAGATAGACCACTAGCCAGGCTAATAAAGAAGAAAAGAAAGAAGAATCAAATAGATGCAATAAAAAATGATAAAGGGGATATCACCACCAATCCCACAGAAATACAAACTACCATCAGAGAATACTATAAACACCTCTATGCAAATAAACTAGAAAATCTAGAAAAAATTGATAAATTCCTGGACACATACACCCTCCCAAGACTAAACCAGGAAGAAGTTGAATCTCTGAATAGACCAATAATAGGTTCTGAAATTGAGGCAATAATTAATAGCCTACCAACAAAAAAAAAAGTCCAGGATGAGACAGATTCACAGCCAAATTCTACCAGAGGTACAAAGAGAAGCTGGTACCATTTCTTCTGAAGCTATTCCAATCAATAGAAAAAGAGGGAATCCTCCTTACTCATTTTATGAGGCCAGCATCATCCTAATACCAAAACCTGGCAGAGACACAACAAAAAAAAAGAGAAAACTTTAGGCCAATATACCTGATAAACATCGATGTGAAAATCCTCAATAAAATACTGGCAAACCAAATCCAGCAGCACATCAAAAAGCTTATCCACCATGATCAAGTTGGCTTCATCCCTGGGATGCAAGGCTGGTTCAACATACACAAATCAACAAATGTAATCCATCACATAAACATAACCAAAGACAAAAACCACATGATTATCTCAATAGATGCAGAAAAGGCTTTTGACAAAATTCAACAGCCTTCATGCTAAAAACTCTCAATAAACTAGGTATTGATGGAACGTATCTCAAAACAATGAGATGGAATGTATCTCAAATAATTTATGACAAATCCACTACCAATATCATACTGAACGGGCAAAAACTGGAAGCATTCCATTTGAAAACCAGCACAAGACAAGGATGCTCTCTCTCACCACTCCTATTCAACATAGTATTGCAAGTTCTGGCCATGGCAATCAGGCAACAGAAAGAAATAAAGAGTATTCAAATAGGAAGAGAGGAAGTCAAATTGCCTCTGTTTGCAGATGACATGATTGTATATTTAGAAAACCCCATCGTCTAAGCCCAAAATCTCCTTAACCTGATAAGCAACTTCAGCAAAGTCTCAGGATACAAAATCAATGTGCAAAAATCACAGGCATTTCTACACCAATAACAGACAAACAGAGAGCCAAATCATGAGTGAACTCCCATTCAAAATTGCTACAAAGAGAATAAAATACCTAGGAATAAAACTTACAAGGGATGTGAAGCATCTCTTCAAGGAGAACTACAAATCACTGCTCAAGGAAATAAAAGAGGACACAAACAAATGGAAGAACACTCCACACTCATGGATAGGAAGAATCATTATTGTGAAAATTGTCATACTGCCCAAAGTAATTTATAGATTCAATGCTATCCCCATCAATACCACTGACTTTCTTCACAGAATTGGAAAAAAACTACTTTAAAGTTCATATGGAACCAAAAAAGAGTCCACATAGCCAAGATAATCCTAAGCAAAAAGAACAAAGCCGGAGGCATCACGCTACCTGACTTCAAACTATACTACGAGGCTACAGTAACCAAAACAGCATGGTACTGTTGCCAAAACAGATATATAGACAAATGGAACAGAACAGAGACCTCAGAAATAACACCACACATCTACAACCATCTGATCTTCGACAAACCTGACCAAAACAAGAAACGGGGAAAGGATTCCCTATTTAATAAATGGTATTGGGAAAACTGGCTAGCCATATGCAGAAAACTGAAACTGGATCCCATCCTTACACCTCATACAAAAATTAACTCAAGATGAATTAAAGACTTAAATGTAAGACCTAAAACCATAAAAACCCTAGAAGAAAACCTAGGCAATACCACTCAGGACATAGGCAAGGGCAAAGACTTCATGACTGAAACATCAAAAGCAATCGCAACAAAAGCCAAAATAGACAAATGAGATCTAATTAAACTAAAGAGCTTCTGCACAGCAAAAGAAACTATCAGCAGAGTGAACAGGCAGCCTACAGATTGGGAGAAAATTTTTGCAATCTATCCATCTGACAAAGGGCTAATATCCAGAATCTACAAATAACTTAAACAAATTTACAAGAAAAAAACAAACAACCCCATCAAAAAATGGCCAAAGGCTATGAACAGACACTTCTCAAAAGCAGACATTTATGCAGCCAACAAACTTATGAAAAAATGCTCATCATCACTTGTCATCAGAGACTGTTGGTGACAGTGCAAATTAGTTCAACCATTGTGGAAGACAGTGGGGATTCCTCAAGGATCTAGAACTGGAAATACCATTTGACCCAGCAATCCCATTACTGGGTATATACCTGAAGGATTATAAATCATTCTACTATAAAGACACATGCACACGTATGTTTATTGCAGCACTGTTCACAATAACAAAGGCTTGGAACCAACCCAAATGCCCATCAATGATAGACTGGATAAAGAAAATGTGGCACATATATACCATGGAATACTATGCAGCCACAAAAAAGGGTGAGTTCATGTCCTTTGCAGGGACATGGATGAAACTGGCAACCATCATTCTCAGCAAAGTAACACAAGAAGAGAAAACCAAACACCACATGTTCTCACTCATAAGTGGGAGCTGAACAATGAGAACACATGGACTCAGGGTGGGGAACATCACACACTGGGGCCTGTTGAGGGGTGGGGGGGTGGGGGAGGGATAGCATTAGGAGAAATACTTAATGTAAATGACAAGTTGGTGGGTGCAGCAAACCAACATGGCACATGTATACCTATGTAACAAATCTGCATGTTGTGCACATGTACCCCAGAACTTAAAGTATATTTAAAAAAAAAAACTACCTGAAGTGCTTTTCAAAAATTCCAATGCTCAGGCCCCACCTCATAGATTATGATTGTATTGGTCTGGTGCAAATGTTCAAGTCAAGCTCTGAAAATTATGTGCAATGATTGAAAACATTCTTGAATAATACTTTGGGACCTGTTCTGGAAAAGTTTGCTCTGGAATCTAGAGCCTAGATAACGTTTCTTAACAAGAGCTCAAGGGACATTAGTTCAGCAAGATTTTTAACAGTTATTACAGCCCAAAAAGAAAAATTTTAAGTTTCTTTGCTCAAATAAGCTTTAGAAAAATCTAAACTCTGACAGAAGATAAATATTTATTTGCTGCAGGATTCTCAGAGGCCTTGATGTGTCAATACGCATTATGACTTTCCAAGAGGAGGTTGTATGTATAGAATGCAGCATTTTCTGAACTTATTTGACCACAGAAACTTTGTTTGTTTTCTTTTTGTTTTATAGGATGACTCTAGGAAGAGCTAAGAAATATAACTTGAGAAATATTACCTATATCATTTATAGTATATTCTTTTTGTCAAGCAATTTTTTAAAAAATATTTTTAAAGGAAATGGTGACAAAAGCAAATTATCCACATTTCATTAACCATGTATTTGGCTTAATCTTTGAGTTTCATTTCTCTATATAGTGAGCAAACCTCCTAAATCTTTGATAATCAGATATATCCTTTGATACTCTTCCCATTAGAGTCTATATTTCTTCCCTTTGGATATGAATGGAATTGTGACTCCTCCAACCTAGAGTATTCTGAAGGCTGGGTCATCAGGCCATGCAGCTTTTCTTTGGTTGCTGGAACACTTGCACTTGGAGCTCTGAGCTACCATGTACATAAGAAATCTGACTACCCTGGGGACCCGGGCCCAGGGAGAGGTAGGTATATGGAGGCATTCCAATCTACAATCCCAGCTGAGCTCAGTCTTCTGGCTATCCAGACATGCATGTGAATAGCCACCAAATGTTTCCAGAACCCCACCTTTCAAGTCACTCGCATTTGTTATATCTTCTCAGCTGAGGCACCAGACATCCTGAAACAGAAACAAGCCATCCCCACTGTGCACTGTTGAATTGCTGATTCACAGAGTCTGCGAGGATAATAAATTTGAGAGCAGTATATTAGGCAGCAGTAGATAACCAGAGCATACTCTAAAATAGGTTTTAAAAACATATCGAGCCTCGATCACAATTTTAATGAAGCACATTGAGTTCCATTTCTAAAAAGAGGAGAAAAGATTGAATTTCATGAGCCTGACAATAGTTCCATCAGACAGTAATATCCACAGCACTAATAGCCAGCATATGCTGAGCACTTAGTGTGGCCAGGTGCAGGCTAAGTGCTTTATGTGTATTTTCTCATGAGAATTATAGAAAAAGAAGCTATCAGATTGAGTGTCACTCTTAGAGCCAGTACCTTATGGCTCACACTGCTCCTGCACATGTCACTATATGTGCCTCAGTTTACTCATCTGTAAAGTGGGATAATATTAGTTCCTTCCTTAGGAAATTATTGCAAGGATTAAGTGAATTAATGTGTGTAAAGCACTTAGAACAGTGCCTAGCAAGGAGTGAGTGCAAAGCAAGTGTTTGCTTTTGCTATATGGGTTCCAAGGAAGAAAGGAAATGGAGCACAGGATGGGTATGAGAAGAAAATTTCTGTCTTTTCGGTAGCAGTGGTTCCCCTGGCCTCAGCAGGCCTGTATCTGTCCACCTTCACATCCCAGTTTCCAGCACAGTGCCTGGATCACAGCAGGCTCTCCATAAGTGGCTGCTGGATGCTGAGTTTCTGCCCATGGTTTCATTCCTCACCCCTATCTAATCCTAGTTAATACCTCCATCTGTGGAAACTGGGTCTTTGAAAGAAAAAATGACCCACGGAATGTCCACTGGTAGGAACCTCCAGCTCCCCAGTGCCTGTTTTGCCCTGCACTGTCCTGCCCTGTCCTGTCCCATGCCCTGCTTTCTCTAGCTAGCCTGGCCCCTTTGTTCAGACTGGCATGATGATCACTCTCACCAACCCCTGCCGGGCACTGACCCTTTTCACCTGCCCCTCCAGGGAACTGCGCTGGTGCAGGAAACAAACTCCTGCTGGTGAACACATCTCTAGCTCAGGCTCAGGGGTACCGAGGCCCCCTGGAAGAAGACCAAGTTGCTGAAACAGGTTGTGGGATATGGTTTTCCCACTTTCAGATGAGGAAACTGAGGCTCAGGTGATTGGGTGGTCCAGTGTTACTCAGGTGGTAAGCAATGATGCCAAGACTTGCACCCAGGTCTGTCTGATTACAGACTAGAATTCTTCCCATTGCGAAATCATTCCCCTGTTCTGCACCTCACCTACCTCATTCCTCATCACTTAACTTTCCATGTGGCAATCTGGCCCATTCCTTCTAGGAATTCATCTTCCTGCCTTGGTTGTAAGGAGCAGCCTTACATCCAAGAACTTGGAATCTATGAACATCTACACACCCCATAAATGTCCTCATCCTCTTTTGTCCTCTGAAAGACTGCTAAACACACACACACACACACACACGCACAAACACACACACACACACACACACAATGCTTCTGTTTGTTGGGGTTTTTTCCAGTTGTCACAATTTTTTTTAATCCTACCAAATGGACTGGGTGTGGGGAAGTCAAATAGTTACTATATTTACATGGTGAATGGATTTAGGTGATAATAAAGGCAGATGTTGCTATAGCAACTAACATTCTAGGATCCCGTATACATCTTTTTGCCTTTGTGCAAAGTGCACTGAGTTGTAGCTAACATATTCCCGAATGGTTGGTGCAGAGCAGGACACACTGACCACTGTGGTCAGGTCAGAGTCTGCTCACACCTGTGGGGCTCCTTAGCCACCAAAGTGTCCACTGCAGCTCCCGGCTCCAGGTAGACCTGGACAACCACTCAGCCTCAGGGAAAACCATCCAGAGGCTGCCCTGTCTGTCTCCTGGGCAAACTCTCTCTTGCTCACCTTTTCTTTCTCTCTTTTTCATGCTGGTTCTAAATTATGCTAACTGGTTAAAGACAGCCTGGGTTGTTTTCTGAACACCACCTCGAGGTACAAGGATAGGGTGTTCACTCTGACAATAACCAGGTGAGAGGGAGGTGCTCCCTGTGTGCTGTAGTGGGAACAGCCCGGGCCCCTTCCCCTAGGACTCCTTCCCTGCTTGTGGAGGGTTCCTGCCCGAGGATCTCCCACACCTCCTCCTCATCCCAGGTACCCAGAACTGCACATGTGCTCCCTTACTCACCCAACCAAAGCCAGTCCTTGGGGTATCACACGTAGGGGAAAAGATAACTGGAATGTAAAGGGTGTGGTTCCAGACCCAGCTCTGCCACCTACGAGCTGCATGACCTCCCAGAATCTCAGTCCCTTCCACTGTGAGACAGGGCTGCACCGGTGGAAAAAGTGCTAACCTAGTCAATGCATTCACAAGTCGGTGAAAATGACCACATGTGGCAAATTTGCTTCCCATGGTTATTTTGCCTTTTTCACAAAATAGGAGCCTTAAACCAAAAGAATAAATTTCAGGTGCTCAATCTGCCAGACATCATGCTAAGTTAAATTAGCCAGATACAGAAAGACAAATACCATATTATCTTACTTATATGTGGAATCTAAAAAAGTTGAACTCATAGAAGCAGAGGATAGAACAGTGGTTGCCACGGGCTGGGGGTGGGGAAAATAGGGCAGTGTTGATGAAAGGGTACAAAACTGCAAGTTCTAAGATGACTAAATCCTGAGGATCTAATGTACAGTGTGGGTGGTGATGGGTGTGTTCATTCATTTGGTTGTGATAATCACTATATAATATATGTATATCAAATCATTACTTGTACACCTTGAATATACACAATCTTTGTCAATTAGTCTAAAATTTTTTTTAAATTAATAAAAATTTAAAAAGAAAATTACTTCCAGAAAAAGAATAAATTCCAAATTGTAGAAACCCAGGCATCAGTTAACAGTGGAAGATATTCTCTCACAGCAATGGGCTCCTGCGATGACCATCTACACACAGGGCCATCACCCACCCACCTCGAAGCAACTGCATGCTCATGGGCTCAGAGTTTGGTAGGGGAGGCAGGCAGGTAAGAGACTGTAGACACACATTGTGATGGACACCCCTGGAGGTGTGCTCTGAGGAGGGATGAAACCAGAGGGAAATAACAGGTGTGTAAACTTAGGCAAGCTACTCAATCTCTGAGCCTCAGTTTCCACATCTGTGAATTGGACACAATGTCTGTCTCAGGGGGTTGTTTCTATATGATCTTAACTACTCCACACTTTGGATCATCACTATTTCTAATGGCTCCCAAACATCTTATATCCCAATACCCAGCCCACAACTTTTCCTTGAGCCCTACGTCCATATGTCAAGGTGCCAGCTGGCAGCTATGTGTCCCTCAGACACTTCAAACTCAATATATCCCCAGCTGAGCTCATCATGGCCCCCTATACTCTCTGCCTTCCCCATTTTCTCTATCTGGGTCACTAGTGCCATCTTTTATTCTTGCCTCTCCTTACACACTCATGGGGCCAACCAACCATTCAGTTCTGTGGACTTCACCTCCCAAATAGTTCTGGGTGCCTTCTCTCCAATCCTTAAATAGTTGCTCTGGCCTGACTCTGTGTCTTTAGACTTTAATGGGCCTTCTTCTCCCAAGTCTTGTCCCATAATCTCATCCTCCCCTCGCACTCTAGAGAGGACCTTTTTTTCTTTTTCTTTCTTTCTGTTTATTTTATTTTTATTTTATTTTTATTTTATTTTATTTTATTTTATTTTATTTTATTTATTTTATTTTATTTTATTTTATTTTGAGACAGGGTCTCACTTGAGTGTCCCAGTGTCCCAGCTAGAGTGCAGTGGTGCCATCATAGCTACTGCAGTATTGACTTCCTGGGCTCAAATGATCCACCTGCTTCAGCCTCCCAAGTAACTGGGACCACAGGAGCATGCCACCATGCCCGGCTGTTTTTTATATTTTTTGTAAAGACAGGGTCTCCCTATGTTGCTCAGGCTGGTCTCAAATCCTGGACTCCAGTGATCCTTTCACCCTAGCCTCCCAAAGTGCTGGGATTACAGGCATGAGCCCCGCACCCAGTCAAGAGGCCCTTTTAAATGCAGAGGGCCTCTGCATTTGCTCCCCATCATCTACTGATAAGTCCAAACCCCTCTATGAGGCTTTTCAGGATGCAGCACCACCTTCCCAGCCTCACTAGCCTCCACCACCCACAGTCCTCACTCCAGGCTCACAGACCTGCTTACAATCCCCTGCAAATCTGTGGCATTCCTCACCTTTGTGCCTTTGTGGAGTTGTGTGTCCACTCTGCCTGAAATGCCCAATTTCCCAACATCTCCTTCCTAACTGCTTCCCCTAGTTTCCCTATCCATTCATAACCAGGCATTGCCTCCTCCTGGAAGCCTCCTCTGACTTCCCAGGGCTGGGCTCTTGAAAGCCATGTGCGTAGCACTCTTGTGGCACTCGCCACATTGTCGTCTGTGTATGTGCTCATTTCACTCACCAGACTTCAAGCTCCCCTGCAGCACAGACTAACCACAGCTTACTCACACATATACCTCTAGTTCCTAATGCAGTGCCTGGCCCCTAGCAAGTGCTCCAAATATGTCTGATGAAAATGTAAATGAATGAAATGTTTGGAAGAAAATATTCCTCTTAAAATTCAACTGAACCCCATGGACTTTCTAGCACCAACTGAGCCAAGCACAGGCAATAGTGCTAAATGGGATGGCTGTCTCTAGATTGGAGCCATGATGGTTAGTTTTGTGTGTCAACTTAACCAGGCTATAGTACCCAGTTATGCAAATAGCACTAAGGTATGTGTTCTTGTGAGGGTATTTTGTAGATGTGGTTAACATCTACAGTCAGTTGACTTTAAGAGAAGAATATTATCCTCAATAATCTTGGTGTACATAATCCAAGCCATTGCAAGCTAAAGAACTGAGCAGAACCGAGGCTTCCCTGAGGAGAAAGAAATTGTGCCTGTGGATGGCAGCTTCAGCTCCTATGTGAGAGTTTCCAGCCTGCCCTTCCTGACAGCTTGCCCTGTGGCTTTCACTTGCCTAGCCAACCCCATAATTGTGTAAGTAAATCCCTTGCAATAAATTCTACTGGTTCTATTTCTCTGGCAGAACCCTGATGGATACACCAGCCTTCAAATCCCTGCTAGACCCCTGAACTGAACACTTATCTTTGGACCAAAGCTCTTCCAGAGAGGAGCACACTTAGGGCCCTTTGGATTTTGCCACTTTATGGAAGCTCTGCAGCATCCTGGAGAAGTGGGTGGGTGGTGACGATCATGCCCCTGTACTCCAGGAGAGGCTCAGCACAGGGTTCAATGTCTTGTACAATATGGCACAGTAGGACTGATCATCAGTATCCTGCCTCCCAGTCTGGGCTCCCCAGAAAACCAAGTCCGGGGCATCAGTAATTTGTATTGACGAGAAGAAAGGGCTACTAAAATTATTAAACTTGGACAATTAACAAGTAAACAAACATGTAATTGCAAGCCAGAGCCCTGGCTAACCCAATGTTCTCTGCTCATTTAATTTGACATGAGTCGTTTAGTTTTAATGAGGACAATGCGTCACAGTATATTAGTAGGAGTTCTGTAGTATATGCTGTGGAAATAATGAAGGCTTAGCAACAAGACCTGTTTCAGTGCTGTGCTATTAAACCTTCACTGAGAAAGGAAGTGAGGCTGCCAGGCTCTTTGTGGAAGTGACTGGGTTTGGAAATTAACACTGTTAGAAAGAGCTAAGTGAGACAGAACCTGGCAAAGCCCCCAGACTTGAGCAAACCCAGGAATGCTCAGCTCACAGACCTGAGCACCAAGCCCACTGCTGAACCTCATGACCACCCAGCTCCAAAGACCCCAGTAAGTCCTGGAATATGCCCCACCTCCCACCCCCACCACCAGTGGCCAAACAGGCAAGACAAATGCTGCCCAGGCAGTTCCCAGAAGGAGAATGGCCCCACTCGGATCCTATGTGGTCGCCTTCGGACTGCACTAACCTGAGCCTTTCTAGGCAGATCATTTGGCCCCTTATAGGAGCAGAATTGAGATTCAGGCCTCACTCTCTTATTGGTGGGATGAAAACTGAGCCGCTGTGGCTTTCTTCTGCCTTCTCAAGGGTGCACAGTCAGGTCGATTCATCATGAAATCGATCCCTTCATGCTCAGAAAGCAAAGAGCAAATTTGTGCCTCTCACTCAATTTCAGTTTGAATTCCACAACTCTAGCCTTCCCTTTCCTAACTCCTGATTCCCTACCCCTCTCCTAAGGAATCGCTGTCAATTAATCCTTAGCAGAGAAGCAGCCCCACCTTTGTTCTGTCTCCATCGTTTGCAGTTTTAGCCTTTCTCATTTGTGGACAAGAAGGCTGTCTTTTAAAGCAGTTCTGGGTATTACTGAATAAGTAGAAGATATTCACCTAAGAGGGATACAACTATTCCTTTCCCCAAAGTCACCACCAAGTTATAAAGAGGACACTGAACTGGGAGACACAAGGGATGCATTCTAGGCCAGCCCTGCCACATAGCCACCTCTAAAGTCATAAGTCACTCACTTCTCTGAGCCTCAATTTTCCTTTTGTAAAATGAATGTGTTAAGCCAAACCATTTTTCTGCCCCAAGTTTCTGAGATGCCAGAGGAAAAAAAGCTAATTTTCCTAAGGTCGCCTCTTTTATGCTGAGCCACTATCCCTGTCTTGGGTCTCTTTCCCTCTTCCTCTCCCGATCTGCTCTCCTTTCTCTCTTCTTTCTCCCTCTCATCTCCTCTCCTCTCCTGTCCTGTCCTCTCCCCTCCCTTGCTCTCCCCTCCCCTCCCCTTTCCTTCTCTCCCTCTCTCTCCCCGTCCTCTCTCCTACCCCTCAGAATTCAACAGGTCACCATCAAGGCAGACAATGTATAAATGTATCTCCACAATTCTGAAGCCCTATTTCCTGGTACCTAGGTAGCTTGGCCAGAAGAAATAGTCCCAGAGTGTTCAGCATGATAAGGGAGAGGATTGTTGGTGGGGGCATTGGCTACTATAAAAGGAAGGCTTAAAAGAGTCTTCAGGCCCCTGGAAGGTGAAAAAAAAATAGAGAACCTCAGCTAGTTGAAACAAATCTGGAGGTTTGGGCAGTACATGGGGTTGGTGCAGGGGGGAGGTGCACATCCCCTTGGTTGAGTCCTGTGTTTTGTGAATTTCGTTAACTTAATACCACTGTATGCATGGCATGAGCTCAGTGTCATTAACAAGACACAATCTTCAAGGAACTTGGGGTACAGAGGGGGAGATGGATGTGACAGAAGATAACTACAATACAGAGAATCAGCAGTGGATGTGCAGGAGTGCAGGAAAAAGCCAAGGGTCCACTTTGAGGGGATAGAGCAGACTTCTTGGAGGAGCAGCCTCTCGGTCTCCTAGCAGCATCACAGCAGGTGACTACTCCCTCCTCCTTGAAACACTTTCTTCACTTAATTCTCCTCCTCCATCCACCCTTCCTTACCTCCCTTGCTGGCGCCTCGTCCTCCACACCTTCGCATGTGGGAATGCCCCAGTCCTCAATCCTCACACCTCTTCTGTCGCTCTTACTCCCTTGAGGAGTTCACACATGTCTTGGCTTTAAACACCACTTGCAATCAGAAACCACCAAATTTGTATTTCTAGCTCTGACCTGTTCCTCTAACCACAGCTCAACATCTCCCCTTCAAGTTCTAATGGTAATCTTTAACTAAATCTAAACTCGACATCTCCCCTTTAAGGTCTAATGGGAATCTTTAACTAAATATGAGCAAAACTGAACACTTGAGTTCCACCCTAATCTCTCAGAAAAACTGCATCTCCCTCAGTCTTCCCATTTCAGGCCAAATCTCTGGAGTTCTTGAGTTCTCTTTTCCTCTCATGCCAACATCCAACCAGTCAGCAAAGTTTGTGTTATCTCCACCTTAAAACTAAGACCCTAATTTATCACCTCTCACCAACTCCATTGCTCTCACCTTGGTCTGAGCCACCAGCTTCTCCCTCTGAGACTTTTGCATCAGCCTCCTAATCAATCTCCTTGCTCCATCTTGCCCTTAAAATCAGAACTATCCTTTAAAATTGTAAGCCAGATGATGTTCCTCATGGCTCAAAAGCTCCCAGTGCTTTCCTGTGTCACTCAGAATAAAATCTAAAGTTTCTCTCATCACCTAGAAAAACATTGGTGTAATCTGGGCCTCTGCCTCTCTGGCCCTGATTCCTATCATTTCTCCACCAGCTCAGTCAGCTCTGGCCATGGCCGCCTTGTTGCTGTTCCTTGAATGTGCCAAGAACCACTTTCCCACTGCTAAGTTCTCCTTTCAATCTGAACCATCTTCCTTCCCCACTGCAATACCTGCCTGACTTTTTTTTTTTTTTTGACAGGGTCTCATTCTGTTGCCCAGACTGGAGTGCCACGGTGTGATCTCGGCTCACTGAAACCTCCACCTCCTGGGTTCAAGCAATTCTCTGTGGATGGCAGCTTCAGCTCCTACGTGACAGGAGCAATTCTCCCACCTCAGTCTCTCCAGTAGCTGGGACTATAGGCACATGCCACCACACCCCGCCAATTTTTGTATTTTTTGGTAGCAAGTAGGGATGGAGTTTCACCGTGTTGGCCAGGCTGGTCTCAAACTCCTGACCTCAGGTGATCCACCTGCCTTGGCCTCCCAAAGTGCTGGGATGACAGGCATGACCCACCACACCCAGCACCTGCTTGACTTTCTCCCTCGCTTCAAATGTCATGTCCTCAGAGGGGGCCTCTGTAACACAAATCCTTTGACCTATTATATTTGAGGGTCCCAGCAAGAAGTGGCTAGAACATTCAGCAATGATCTTTGGAGAGATCTTTCCATGAATATTCTACTCAAGGAGGAAACCAAGAAGAGATTTTAAGGCCCCTCAAAACTAGCCACACTAGGAAGCCAATACCACGGTTAGTCCTGCAAGAGGAGAAACTGGTGTTACCAGAGCCCCTCTGAGAGCCAGAGCCATGGAAGTGAGAGTGCTTGATGGCGCTGTGGCCTGAGGAAAACAATCATTGCAAAACTGTGGCCAAGCAGAGAGCAACAGAGCAAGCACCTGGCTCTCTTCCCACCCTCGAGTCTCCTGATGATGCCTCCAAATACAACTGGAAATCAGAGGGCAGAGAGCCCTGATGATGCAATCCATGGAGTTCAGGCTCAAGAGCACAGAGTGGAGCAGAGCAGAGCTATAAGAACAGATCTGGAGCAAGCAGAGATTACTCAGCACATCAATATCCCTGGTTTCCCCTCTTCCAACATGAGTCATCACATTCCTCCTTCTGCCTGCTGTAATGACTGGTGATAGTCCAAAGGATGAGGACTCAGTGAGCCTGGATCACAGAGTGAGAAAGATGCAGAATAGAGCCCACCTGCCCACCCCACAATTAACATGGAGCATGAACAAAAAAAATCAGCCCCTGAGATTTGGGGGTTGTTTGTTACTGCAGTTTCATCTAGCTTCTCCTGACTGATGCACTTCCTCTATCATCTTAACATGCCTTGTTTTCTTCATCAGACTTATCACCACCTGATAAACTTTCAGACTTGTTAATTATCTGTCTCCTTCCTCTAAAATGTAAACTATGGGGACAGGACTTTGTTTGTTTCACTACTAATTCTCTGCATCTAGAACACGACCTGGAAAATAGTGGATGCGGTTCTTTGTTTATCAGGGGAACCCGCCCCCAATATTTCAACGTAGGTTCTATTTTCCATAAGTGTCAGCCAACTGAGAAATAAAGAGAGACAGTATAAAGAGAGGAATTTTACAGCTGGGCCGCCAGGGGTGACATCACATATCGGTAGGACCATGATGCCTGCCTGAGCCTCAAACCAGCAAGTTTTTATTAAGGGTTTAAAAAAGGGAGGGGGTGTAAGTACAGGGAGTAGGTACAAAGATCACATGCTTCAAAGGGCAAAAAGCAAACTACTAGTAAGGTTCTAACAAAGATCACCAGACAAAGGGCAAAAGCAGAACTACTGATAAGGGTCTATGTTCAGTGGTACGTATTGTCTTGATAAACATCTTAAACAACAGAAAACAGGGTTTGAGAGCAGAGAACTGGTCCGACCACAAATTTACCAGGGCGGAGTTTTTCCCCATCCTAGTAAGCCTGAGGGTTCTGCAGGAGACCAGGGTGCATCTCAGTACTTATCTCAACTGCACAAGACAGTCATTACCAGAGCGGCCGTGTATAGACCTCTCCCCAGGAATGCATTCCTTTCCCAGGGTATTAATATTAATATTCATTGCTAGGAAAAGAATTTAGCAATATCTTCCCTACTTGCACGTCCATTTGTAGGCTCTCTGCAAGAAGAAAAATATGGCTCTTTTTGCCCGACCCCATAGGCAGTCAGACCTTATGGTTGTCTTCCCTTGTTCCCTAAAAATTGCTGTTATTCTGTTCTTTTTCAAGGTGCACTGATTTTATATTGTTCAAACACACATGTTTTACAATTTGTACAGTTAACACAATTAGCACAGTGGTCCTGAGGTGATGTACATCCTCAGCTTACAAAGATAACAGGATTAAGAGATTAAAGACAGGCATAAGAAATTATAAAAGTATTATTTGGGAACTGATAAATGTCCATGAAATCTTCACAACTTACGTTTGTCTACCGCGGCCCCAGCCGGTCCCTCCATTCGGGGTCCCTGACTTCCCACGACACCTCTCCCTTTATTTTTATATAAATGTGCCATGGCGATGAAGACTTCTTCGTTCTCTCGGTTTTGATGCAAGATTCTTTGACTGGTCTGGCACACTAAAAACAAGCCGATTAAACAGAGAAACATGATTCCAAAATGTACTACAGTGGAGCCCCCAACAGACTTAATCCAAGTCGTGGGGTTTAGTCCAGAAAGACTTTCTGCCACCTGATCTAACGCATCAGCTCCAGGCACAATGGGTAAATGAGCTTGAGAGGCTTCAAAAATTTGTTTCTTTAATTTAGTTATGTCCAAGGATAAATTATCTTCCCTACCCAGAAGGTGTCCTTTGACCATTTCCCATGAATGATCAGTCTTGTTGTAGGAATATGGTGTGACACAGAAATCAGAAGTATTCCAGTCACACTGCATTTGCATGTGATATTCAAGACTCATTCGCCGATCTCCAAGCCAAATAACAGAATGTCTTAAATCATTAATTTGATTAGCTAATTTTTGATCACTGCCCTGTTGAGAATTCCACATTTGGGTGGAATTGGCTTGCCAATCATTAACAAAATGAGTCATTTGAATAGATTGGTGTAATGCCACTCCAGCAGTGGTGGCCAGTGCAGTGACTGTAATTAGGCCCATGGTCACAGTCATTAAAGTGAAAACAAATCTCTTAGATCTTCTGAGAATTCATTGTAATATTTCATTAATTAAACATACTGAGGGGAAAGATTCCCAAGGTCTGGGTAAAGTTACCAGTATCCAGATTCCTTCTCGAGCTCGAATCAACATTACACTTTTCCTGAAGTCAAAACGGGAATTAACACAAGTGTGTAAATGACAATTAATGCATTGGACAGTTTGATTGTTTGTCCAAATTTTGAAATTTCCCACTAACAGCATGTAAGGAGGCTTAACACAACTCTGTATAGGAATATTCAGGCTGGAGGTAAACAAAGCAGAATGTTTGAATCTACATTGATACTGAGGGAGAGGAGCGGTGGTGGCAACGCCCAATGTTCTCCACTGTAAAGAAGCAATCCGAGGTGCCCGGGGATGCCAAAGAGGTAGAGTTAAGTCAAAAAGAATTATCATAGAGAATTATCAGAATTATCAGTCAAGAAGAATTATCATAATGCCAATTGGAGTCCCATAAAGGAGGATCAGCATCAAAAAGAGGAAAAGCGTTCAAAGGAGATTTATCACGGGGTTCAGAATCACGGATGCAAGGGGTGGTAGTGGGGACAACAGACAGAAAAGTTTCCCCATCCCATACTCGCAGTCCAGACATGGCAATAGCCAGTTTCCAAAGTTCTGGGTGTTCTGGGCTCAGAATGGGAAATATAATATGAGGCCTCAGGGGAGTAATGCCCTTATCTTCCCATTTTAAGGGAAAGAATGAGCTGAACCTCCTATGCAAAGTAGGATGATGATCCTTGTCCTCCCAATAAGAAATAAAATAAGTAGACTCCAGGCATTCCCTCCCACCAGAGGAGCAATTGTTTTTTAAATAGCCCTTTGGTGCCCAGTCTATTACTAAACCATATGAGTCATTTTTTAATAGTACTGCATGTGAGTTAACACAAGCTTCCCAAATTTAAGTTTTAGATGGGCCCTCAAAATTTTTAGGACATGGTTTTCCTACAGGTTTATATTGAAAGTATGGGGTATCTCCTATTACTCCCCTTTTCATTTGTCTTAAAGGAGAAAGGGAGAGGCCAGAGACCAAATGTCCCTGTTCCCCTGTAGCTAATCTCTCCAGAAGATAAGCAGCCCAGACTTGAGTTTCTAGATGGATCCAACCAGGTGCATGTCCAAGGCACAGAGGAGGGTATTTATAACCCATAGTAACATTAAATGCAGTGTTTTCTTCTGGTTGAGTGGGGAAACAGTCATCTGTAGCTCCAGGCATCCACACACTATCGTTAGTATAGATTTCTGCAGGAGCATCCATCCAGGGGAGAGGTCAAATAAGTGGAGGAAAAGGCACATAAGCCCAATAAGAATAATTTTGTTTAGCAGGTAAATCAGTATGAGGGCAAACTGGTGAGACAGAAAGTATAAGGAGGAGAATTATTAAATAAAACCTATTGTAAGTGAGATCCAGTGCTGAAGGAGGAAGAGAACAAGGGGATGTTATTTTTAAGCTAATAGAAATGGTAAGATTTTTAGGTTCGTAGGGAGAAAAAGAAAGGCAATTAGGAGAAGTGGGATTAGTTAGAGGGGTCTCCGTTGCCATTAGGGAGGATTGAATCAGACTCTCTTGATTTGGCATGCCAGTTTCTGAGGAGTCGGCACAGATCTCACCAGGTATGAGGGCGGTCTCTGATGCAGATGTCTCTTCCCTGTGGTTTTCATTGTTAGTATTCACATGAAGTTTCAGCCTCTTAGTGGGCACCCAGACAGGGGATTGATGATCTCCTGGTGAAACGTAAACATAACCTCTTCCCCATGTTATAATTGTTCCAGGTTCCCAGGTATTGGTTTGGGAGTTTTTCCATAACACTGGCTTGCCTTCGTTTAGGGAGAATTTTTTGCCTGTGTAATGGCTTTCAGCTGCGGTCAGAGTATTGTCTTTAGGAACATTTAGAAAGTTTAAAGTAACAATGCTAAATGTAATTGGGATTGGGGAGTGGTTAAATTATGGTTTTGTTGCTCAGACTGTTTGGACAACTGAGTTTTTAAAGTGCGATTGGCCCATTCCACCACAGCCTGTCCCTTAGGATTGTAAGGGATTCTGATAATATGGGAAATTCCCCATTGTTGCATAAATAAATCAAAAGCCTTACTAATATATCCAGGGGTGTTGTCTGTCTTTATCTGATATGGAAGCCCCATAACTGCAAAGCAAGAATACAGATGTCTTTTTAACATGGGGTGTGCCTTCCCCTGTTTTGCAAGGAGCCCAAATAAAACCTGAAAAGGTATCCACAGAAACATGTACATATGAAAGTCTGCCAAAAGAGCTAACATGAGTCACATCCATCTGCCATAAATCATTAGGAGTTAGGCCTCTGGGATTAATGCCATGTTCCTGATTTGGAAGTACAAAAACTTGGCACTGAAGACAGCAGTGGACAATAAGCTTAGCCTCCTTCCAGGTGAGAGCAAATTTATCTTTTAATCCAGCAGCATTGACATGAGTGAGATTATGGAACTCGTGAGCCTCTTGGATAGCAAAAGAGACCAAACAGTCGGCCTTATGGTTACTAGCAGACATGGGTCCCGGTAAAGTGGTATGAGATCTAATACGTGTAATATAGAAATGGTGTCTACATTGGTGAACCACCTGTTGTAACCTTGAAAATAAAGAAGCCAATTCGGAATTATTAACATGTTTGATAGTAGCAGTTTCTATATTTTTAGTGGCATGTACAACATAAGCAGAATCAGAGACAATATTTAAAGGTTTGGGGAAATCCTGTAAGGCAGTAATTACAGCAATTAACCCTGCCTTCTGAGCAGAGGTATAAGGGTTAGAAATAAGCTTGTCTGTAGGACCCACATAACCAGCATTTCCATTACTGGAGCTCTCCGTGAACACTGTAACGGCCTCAGGAATAGGCTGATCTTTGGTCAATCGAGGGACCACCCAAGAAGTCATTTTTATAAAATCAAACAATTTGTTTTTTGGATAACGATTGTCAATAACACTGATAAAATCAGCCAAGTGAATTTGCCACAGTATGGAATGTTGAAAAGCAGCCTGAACTTTGAGCTGATTTAAAGGAACCACAATTAAATTCGGATCAAATCCAGAAATTTTAAGTATTCTACACCGAGCTTGTCCAATTAGGGTGGCCATTTGGTCCAGACAAACAGATAAAGTTTTTGACACAGAATGAGGAAAAAAACACCGTTCCACTAAATCATTATGTTGAACTATTAGCCCAGTAGGGGAGTGCAATGAAGTGAAAACCAGAAGCTGAAAAGGCTGAGATGGCTGTACCCTAGACAACTGGGCAGTGTGGATTCTTTCCTCCATGAATTCCAGTTCCAGTGAAGTCTCAGGGGTCAAAGTCCTGGGACTGTGGAGATTGGAATTTCCACACAATGTAGAAAACAAGTTAGACAGCGCATATGTTGGAATGCCTAAAGTAGATCTTAAATAATTAATGTTACCCAAAAGTTTTTGGAAATCATTTAAGGTTTTTAAAGAATCTCTCCTAATCTGAACCTTTTGAGGTTGAATACATTCTTTATTGACCACCATTCCTAAATATTGAACAGGAGTGGTCTGTTGAATTTTATCCTGAGTGATGTGTAAACCAGCCTCTGTAACACGGTGACTCAAAAATTGATAACAGTCAATTAATTATTTATCAGTGGGGGCAGCAATTAATATATCATCAATATAATGAAGCATATAGGCCTGGGGAAATTGAGCTCGAACTGGAGAAAGCACCTGTCCAACATAAAGCTGGCAGATGGTAGGGAGTCTTTAAGATCAATAACTATGAGAGGCCAATTCTTAGGTATTAAAGCAGGGGCAGGCACGCCAGGTTGGATGGCACCCATAGGTTTAATTACAGCATTAATGGCCCTTAAATCAGTTACCATCCTCCACTTGCCTGATTTCTTTGTTACTAGAAACACAGGAGAATTCCAGGGGGAAAGAGAAGATTCCACATTTCCAAGTTGTAACTGTTCAGAAACCAATTGAGTTAAAGCCTCCAGTTTTTCTTTAGAGAGTGGCCGCTGCTCAATCCAGACAGGTGCTTCAGATTTCCATTGTAGGGGAACAGGATTAGGAGGCAAGCAGTGGCCGTCATTGAAAAGGATAACCTAAACCAGCCCTGTCTTCTTTTACAGTAACTTGAAGAGCTTTAGTAATTCCTTCATGTCTTGGACTGAGACCAAGTCTGGGAACAAACCCCATGTTTTCCATTATATGCTGACTGGGAGCACTGTAAGAGTGATGTGGAATATTAATTTCAGCCCACCTTTGTGCCGGCAAATCTCTACCCCAAAGATTAATGGGGATTGGTGTGATATAAGGCTGAATTGTACCCTTTTGACCATCAGGGCCAGTGCAAGGCAAGATAAATGTGCTCTGGTGAACTTCATCAGCTTTTCCAACACCTACTAGTCCCACGTTAGTGGGATGTTTAAGCCAGGAGGAAGCCATAAATTAGAGGAAATAATAGAAACATCAGCCCCAGTATCTATTATGCCCTCAAACTTTTTTCCTTGAATGTGTATGGTGCAGGTGGGCCATTGTTTAGAAATTACATTAATCCAATAAGCAGCTTTTTCACTGCTGGAGCCCATCCCAGGGCCCTGTGTCTTATCTCCTTTGTTTAAAACAATATTAGGTAGTAAAAGTGATTGAGCAATTGACTCACCAGCCAGAATGGAAACAGGAACCTTGCAGACACCATAAGTTTAATCTCAACAGAGGAATCAGAATTAATGAGACCAGTATGAACTGTGATCTTAAAAGCTAACATACGAAGGAGAATACCTTGAGTGCACTCATCAGAGACAGATTTTTCAACAGCATCTTGTAATTTACCCATAAAATCAAGATATAATTCATTGTGACCCTGTTTAACAGTAGTAAAAGAAACAGGAGCTTGGCCCAGGGCACTTAATCTATCCCAAGCTCTCATACACACCTTTGTTACTTGTTCCATGGTGAGAGCATCAAAGCCTAATTGGGCGGTAGTGTGAGAGTAATTATCAGAGCCTGTGAGCTGAGCCTGAGTAATTGGAATGCCATAAGCCCAATTTAGCTGAGCCTGCAGACGGGCCTCCTCTGATCACCAGATACAGAATTGTAAATGCTGAGATGGAGTTAGAACAGCTTTTGCCAAAAGGTCCCAGTCTCAAGGAAGCAAAATGAACTCAGTACAAAGGGTCTGTAATACCATTTTAACATATGGAGAAGTAGGACCATACTGAGTACAAGCATCCTTGAATTCTTTTAAAAAGGTAAGATTGAGCAGCGGATATCGATGCACTTATACCCCTTGAGCATTGGGAGGTTCCAGCACAACTGGATAAGCCCATGCCTCTAATCCACTTGTTTCTTTGTTCTAGTATAATAAGCGTTGCATGGAAGTTTCAAGAACAGGCACATGAGATGGAATCAGCATAGAAGTGACAGAAAAAGTATGTGTAGATAAGGGAAACTGAGGTTGAGGAGGTCAGACCAGTATGAGAGCATGAGAAAGGGGCACTGGAGGAGCAGAAGAGGCAGAAGCATACTGGTGATTATTGTCCCAATCCTGTGCAACCAGAATGACAGGGGTGTCCCTGCATGAGGAAGGGTACAGAGAAGCAGGTTGAGTGAATGGCAAAGTGACCAGTTGAGGGACCGAAATAACAGGAGGGTGAGGGGCTGTGGTGGACGGGGGAGGGCCTGCAGAATTACAGGTAAATTGTAGTCTGGTCCCGGAGCCATCAGATGGCTCCGGAGGCAAAGGCTGCAAAGGTTTGGAGAGGGAAGAGTTAGCATAGATATGGTCCCAGGCTGTCCAAGTCAGGGCCATGGGAGCTACAAGTACTGGCTTCTCGTGAAAAGAAATAAGATCATCAGGGGGTGATGTTAAGCCAAAGTCACCGGAGTTAGATATTGAATCTTCAATATCTTCAGGTGGGTGAGGAGTAGGCAAACGGAGAGGCTGAGCAGATAACGAAGGCTGAGTGGGAGAGGGAAACTGAGGAAGAGGTAGAGGGTTGCCAGATTCAGAAAACTGTGGTAACTGCAGGGGGTCACAGGATTGGTATGTCATTAGAATGGCATGTACCAAGGCCCAATCACCCAAACAGTGACGGGAACATAATTTTCTGTCAGGACCAGTTCCCGGAATTTTCCACCAACATGATCCCATAGTTCCACATTTAACATTCCCTTTTCAGGAAACCAAGGACAGTGTTCTTCCACCACCCTGGATAGGGTGACAATATTTTCCATGGGTACCCGAACTCCTCCCTGTTTTAACAGGAGTTTAATATAGCAGAGATAAGCATAATGTTTAGACTCCACATGACCCATAGTTACCCTGGACAATACACAGACAACTCACCAATCGTCAGGGAGCTGAACAAGCGTTTCTGTGGACCGGACCGATGAAAGTTTCTCCGCACCTACCAAAAGGAATCAGGTTCCCACATGCACTTAGGAAAAAGAAAACCACGTTGGCATGCCAGATACTGGGGGAACCCGCCCCCAATATTTCAATGTAGGTTCTTTCTATTTTCCGTAAGTGTCAGCCAGCTGAGAAATAAAGAGAGACAGTATAAAGAGAGGAATTTTACAGCTGGGCCACCGGGGGTGACATCACATATCAGTAGGACCATGATGCCCACCTGAGTCTCAGACCAGCAAGTTTTTATTAAGGGTTTCAAAAACAGAGGGGATGTAAGAACAGGGAGTAGGTACAAAGATCACACACTTCAAAGGGCAAAAAGCAGAAATACTAGTAAGGGTCTAACAAAGATCACATGCTTCTGAGGGAACAGGACAAAGGGCAAAAGCAGAACTACTGGTAAGGGTCCAACAAAGATCACAAGGCAAAGGGCAAAAAGCAAAACTAATAATAAGGGTCTATGTTCAGCGGTACGTATTGTCTTGATAAACATCTTAAACAACAGAAAACAGGGTTCGAGAGCAGAGAACCGGTCTGACCACAAATTTACCAAGGCGGAGTTTTTTCCCCACCCTAGTAAGCCTGAGGGTTCTGCAGGAGACCAGGGGGTATCTCAGCCCTTATCTCAATTGCACAAGATAGACATTCCCAGAGCGGCCATTTATAGACCTCCCCCCAGGGGCGCATTCCTTTCCCAGGGTATTAATATTAATATTCCTTGCTAGGAAAAGAATTTAGCAATATCTCTCCTACTTGCACGTCCATTTATAGGCTCTCTGCAAGAAGAAAAATATGGCTCTTTTTGCCCAACCTCACAGGCAGTCAGACCTTACGGTTGTCTTCCCTTGTTCCCTAAAAATCGCTATTATTCTGTTCTTTTTCAAGGTGCACTGATTTCATATTGTTCAAACACACATGTTTTACAATCAGTTTGTACAGTTAACACAATTATCACAGTGGTCCCGAGGTGACATACATCCTCAGCTTAGGAAGATAACAGGATTAAGAGAGTAAAGACAAGACAGGCATAAGAAACTATAAAAGTACTATTTGGGAACTGTTAAACGTCCATGAAATCTTCACAATTTATGTCCCTCTGCCGCAGCTCCAGCCGGTCCCTCCGTTCGGTGTCCCTGACTTCCCGCAACATTTGTTGAACAAATGAATGAATAAAGGAGCTAATAACATATATTATTAATTATGTCCAAGGCACATTCTCAAGCTGAAGCAGTGGAAAATTAAGCAACTCACTTAAGCTCACCCAGCTTAAACAATGGAGTTAAGTCGTGAAGGCATTTTGACCCCAGAGCCCAAGCACTTGACCTCTGTGCCATGCCTCTTCCAAGTATCAACAGGGCTTGATGGAGAACTTCAAGAGAGACCATTCCAGGCACAGGCCAGAGGCTGGAGAGGGCCAGAGCCTCCTACATGCTGCAAAGTGTTAGTTATGGCTGGAACCGAGAGAGATAACCAATAAACTGTACGGGGTAACAGTGAAAATTAAAAACTTTGATCACGTAAAAATAATGCTAATTAGTCATTTATGTGGACTGCTTACCATTGCTGCCTAATTACTAGGCAGCACAATAATTATGTAGATCTTTAACTAATCTCAACCAAACTTTGTGGTAGGTTTTATTTGATTATAACTGTCCAAGTTCAAAACAAGAGCTTAGAGCAACAATGAGTTGGTTGCTCATGGAGAATGGTTCTCTCCCCAGAATTTAAAATTAGAAAAGAATTACCTGGTCCTTACCAGATACTGCCTGTATTATTAGTGATCCTCCAGGTATAAGAATTTCATCTGGATTAGGAGCTCCTTGAAGCAGGGACTATCTAGTTTTTCCTGATACCATTATTCCCTCCACACCCAGAGTCCAGCTCAGCCCTAACTACAGTGGAGTCCCCTTCACCAGGGTTTATCTGTTGGTGCTCACTCTGTACAAAGATGGTCCTGGTTCATGTGTTTCTGAGTCTCTTCTCGCTGCCTGGAGGTGGGGGATATGGGAAGCCCATGAGTGTTTTGAAAGCATTGGCTGGAGGGTGCCACCTCTACACCAGCTTGGACAATTCCAAGAGCCTTCCTGGAGACGTGCAACAGGCCTTCAGAAGAGTTGGGATGAGGGAGTAGGGGACTGCTTGGTGGCCTAGAAGCTGAGTAGAACCCTTGAAATGTTAGAGAGGGCCAGCTGTCCCCTAATATCCATTCTTTCCTTCTAGAGTTAGAAATGTTTTAGCTGGGCACATGGCAGCCCTGATGAAGACTATATTCCCAGGCTGCTTTGCAGCTAAATGTAGCCATTAAGGTAAGAGAGCAAAAGCAATGTATGCAAGGTCAAGACCATGAATTTAAAAGAAAAGAAGGGACCCTCCCTCTCCTCTTTCCCCTTTTTCCTTGGTCTAGGGTGCAGGCAGGAGTTAGAGCTTAGACAAGCCTCCTTGGATGCAGGATGGAATAAGGTGTTGAGATGCCAGAGCAGCAGGATCAAAGGAGACTGGATGGTCAGAACCCAGAGCTGCAGCCTCACCCCATTACAGAGCATTGCCCCATGCAGACATGATACATGCGAATCACTGCAATAGCGTCGAGAAGAGTAGAATGTAGTCAAGGAATTAGGAAGGCGGGAGTTTTGAGTATTCATTACATTGACTTTTAATATATTCACTTTTAAGTTTATAAAATTTAATTGTTAATTATAGCTCTGTGTAACAATCAGATCCCAAGACTTCTGAAAATGTATGGCAGCTCCAGCTTTGGGTCTTTGTCAGAGTAGCAGAACCTGCATCCTTACTAACACAAAGCTGTTGTAGGACATGGGAGCACACTGGGAGCATGTTCTTGGGGGTGCGTGATAGACCACTCAGCCCGAGGATGAGCTGGCGTCCCCTGAAAAACCATGGTGCCCCCAGGGATAACTGTGAGCAAAAAATTCTCAAGCTTCTATTATGTTTTTTAAAAGCAAAATACTTCTTGCGGCCTAACTCCCACATGAACAGCCCCCTCTCTGTGGAGAACTGCTGTTCTAGATGATTGTGAGGGTTCCTGCTCCAATGCGCAGGGGTCCTTCATGACCCAACTCAGCATTTCTGCCTCTTTCCCATGCTGCCTCTCTTGAGACCTTCTCTTACCAGTTTAAGGGCAAAAAGACATCTCTCTGGTGTGAGGCATAGCCCCTACCCTAATTCTCACTTTCACAAAACACAGGATGAAAGGCAGGTAAGCCATTCATCCAATAAATCTGCATAGATTAACTGGGAAAATACGAGTCTCTGAGTAATGTGTCTAGTAGACTTCCACTTTGTTAAGAATCACAAAGAAGAAGAGAGAAGAGAAAAGAAAAAGAGAGGAATGGGGAAAGGAAGGAGGAGAGAGAATGAGGGAAGGAAGGAAGAGAGAGAGGAGGGAAGGAAGGAAGAGAGAGAGGAGGGAAGGAGGAAGGAAAGAATCTGTATAGGCTCCTTTCTCTCTATTTATATTTATATATTTATACACATACACACACACACAATATAAGAATTTGCATGGGGGCTGGGTGTGTAAGTGTGAGCCTATAGTCCCAGCTACATGGGAGGCTGAGGCAGAAGGATCACTTGAGCCCAGTAGGTAGAGCTGCAGTGAGCCATGATCACACCACTGCCCTCCAGCCTGGGCAGTAGAGCAAGACACTGTCTCTTTAAGAAAATCCATGGGGATAATAAACCTAAATTTATATTAAGGGCTACTTCTAGACAGGGAGGACAATGAAATCCAAAGGAACATCCAGGTTCTTTCAGCTGATCTGCAACGCACGTGCGCGCGTGTGTGTGTGTGTGTGTGTGTATGTGTGTGTGTTTTCATTTAAAGTAAGTTTGGCCAAATTTATAAGAAAAAACAAACAACCCCATCAAAAAGTGGGCAAAGAATATGAACAGACACTTCTCAAAAGAAGACATTTATGCAGCCAACAGACACGTAAAAAAAAGCTCATCATCACTGGCCATCAGAGAAATGCAAATCAAAACCACAGTGAGATACCATCTCACACCAGTTAGAATGGCGATCATTAAAAAGTCAGGAAACAACAGGTGCTGGAGAGGATGTGGAGAAATAGGCACACTTTTACACTGTTGGTGGGACTGTAAACTAGTTCAACCATTGTGGAAGACAGTGTGGCAATTCCTCAAGGATCTAGAACTAGAAATACCATTTGACCCAGCCATCCCATTACTGGGTATATACCCGAACGATTATAAATGATGCTGCTATAAAGACACATGCACACGTATGTTTACTGAGGCACTATTCACAATAGCAAAGACTTGGAACCAACCCAAATGTCCATCAATGAGAGACTGGATTAAGAAAATGTGGCACATATACACCATGGAATACTACGTAGCCATAAAAAATGATGAGTTCATGTCCTTTGTAGGGACATGGATGAAGCTGGAAACCATCATTTTCAGCAAACTATCGCAAGGACAAAAAACCAAACACCTCATGTTCTCACTCATAGTGGGGAATTGAACAATGAGAACACTTGGACACAGGAAGGGGAACATCACACACTGGGACCTGTCTTGGGGTGAGGGGACGGGGGAGGGATAGCATTAGGAGATATACCTAATGTAAATGACAAGTTAATGGGTGCAGCATACCAACATGGCACATGTATACATATGTAACAAACCTGCACATTGTGCACATGTACCTTAGAATTTAAAGTATAAAAATAAAAATAAAGTAAGCTTGGCGAATGTTTGGCAAGATCTAGTAAGTTTGGTGACAGATATTCATTATAAAATTATTTGTATTTGTCTATATGCTATAAAATAAAAATAAAAATGACCTTAATTTTTTTATTTCAAAAAGTGTATTTACTAAAATGAATTCAACCCTAAAAAAAGAAAAATGTTCACATTATACATACCTCTATTAAAGTAAGTGTCTCATTGCATTGTCATTATATAGTTGTATGCCCATATCCCCTTTAGACTATGAGTACTTGAGGGCTAGATCTAAATCCTTTAATCTATGAATCCCCAGTGCCTGTCCTAATGCCTGGTTCAACATCTCCTGAGCCCCTGTTATGTACCAGATGTTCTACTGGACTCCAGAGATACAAAAAGGTAATTTGTATTCAGCCCCTGTTTTTTAAGAATCTTACACATAGCAGGAGAGACAGATAAATAAATAACTCATTATAATTAACTAGGTTTGCTCTGTGATAGACTTGTTGCCCTGGGAGTGCCTCTTCCGCTGACGGAAACAGTAGCAAACAGGTGTGGAGATGCATCATATCAGGGTCAGGGGAGGGAACAGACTTCTGCTCACCTCCCAGCTGCACCACTCAGAGACATGGGACATTGAAGAAACCCACAACTTCGCTAATACTACTCCTCATCCATAAATTCTTTGCAGGATTGTCAGTGTTCAATGAGATAATCTAATTGAAAGTGCCTGGTACCTTGCTGGGATGGTGAGTGCTCAATAACTATTAGAAGACATGGAAAAACTAAGGGTCAAGAAAGCTGAATGATTCATTCAAGATCAGATTATCATAGATAACCAATCCAAGACTCCCAACCATGTGTAGGCTCCCCAGGGCACCTTGAACACAGTAAAAATCTTGAGTTTTCTGGGTCCTCAATAAATGCCTGTTGACTTGAGACTTAATTTTGAATTTGAAACCCCATCTCTACTAAAAAATATAAAAATTAGCCGGGCATGGTGGCAGGCACCTGTAATCTTAGCTACCCAGGAGGCTGAGGCAGGAGAATCACTTGAACCCAGGAGGCGGAGATTGCAGTGAGTCGAGATTGTGCCACTGCACTCCAGCCTGGGTGACAGAATGAGACTCCACCTCAAAAAAATAAAATAAAATAAAATAAGTAAATCCTTTAATCATAGAATCATATCACTTTAAAGCTAAAAGAAATTTGAAAGAATAAATCATTGAATCACCCCCTCTGGTCCCCATAATTGTAAGGAAGGCCAAGACAGAGATGTCAGCTGTCATCTCCAAGACCCCACAGCAGGGCATGGTGGACTTCAGGTCTCCCACCTGCCATCACACTGCATCTCCCAGGTTGAGAGGCACCCTCTGCTCTCCCCTCACAGCACATCTCCCCTCTCCCTAGCCTGTGACACCAGCAGTCACCCCTCACTCATGAGAATCTTTTCTCTCTGTCTTTCAAGGAAACACTCGCCCTTGGTTTTCCTCCGGCTTCTTTGTCAGCTCCCGCCAGTCTCCTGCCTGGGCAACTCCTCCTCTCCCCATGTGGTACTGTGTGGCTTTGGGTATGTCTAGGACTTCTTTGTGCCTCTGGAAAGGTAAGGCAGGCCAGGGTTAGGGCCTGTAGAGAGTACCTGGAAGGTGAACACCAGCTTAGGCCACCAGAATAGGAAAGGTTCCGATGAGGATGCTATGATACTTACTGTGTGCCAACAGTGTTCTTTGCTCACATCATTTCACTGAAACCTCAGAATCATCCTGAGATAAACCCAATTACAATTTCTGCTTCACAGAGAAGGAAACTACAGCTAAGAAAAGTTAGAGGAATTGTCCAAAGTCACATAGAGAGTAAATGGTACAGCCAGGACTTGAATGCCTAAGGCCAAGACTTCACCACTGTGTAACTCTACCTCGTTGGAAGAGGATGTGAGGCACATCCACAGGGTTCTATCCTCCCAGCAATGGTAGCAGTCAGTCCTCAGCTTGACATAAACCTACAAGGAGGGGAAATGAATCTGCACATGTATTTACTTTCTTGCGTTAAAATTCAAGTTCACAGCCTGGCCAACATGGTGAAACCCCGTCTCTACTAAAAATACAAAAAATAGCCAGGCGTGGTGGTGGGCACCTGTAGTCCCAGCAACTCGGGAGGCTGAGGCAGGAGAATCACTTGAACTTGAAAGGCAGAGGTTGCAGTGAGCTGAGATCGTGCCATTGCACTACAGCCTGGGTGACAAGAGTGAGACTCTGTCTCAAAAAAAAAAAAAATTCAAGTTTAAATTGTTTCAGGCCCACACTCTGTGCAGTTGGGTCTGAAGTCTACAACCATGTCCCCAACCCTTTCCTTCTCATTTTCACCTGAAAAGTAACCACTGCCTCCATATGGCTCCACCTACTAAGGATGGTATTGAGCTTTATACTTCCTCAGGGCATTTTTCTCTACAGTCTCAAGTGACCCTTTAAAGTCTATCCTATGGAGCTGGAGGCCATAATCCTTAGCAAACGAATGCACAAACAGAAAATCAAATGCCTCACATTCTCACTTACAAGTGGGAGCTAAATGATGAGAACACATGGACACACAGAGGGGAACAACACACCTGGGGCATATAAGAGGGTGGAGGATGGGAGGAGGGAGAGGGAGAGGATCAGGAAAAATAACTAATGGGTACCAGGCTTAATACCTGGGTGACGAAATAATCTGTAAAACAAACCCCCGTGACAAAAGTTTACCATATGACAAACCTGCACATGTACCTCTGAACTTAATAAAAGTTAAATTTAAAATAATACATAAATAAAGTCCATCCTGAGGATGGGTTTGGCAAAAGCATTCAGGCCAAAACCCCACTCCCTTCCTGGGTTGCCACTCCATTCCTGCAAGCAACCCGTCACCCTGGTGTGTCACCTCCACCAATCTTATACTTCTAAAACCCTCCCCAGAGCCAGCTGCTCATAGCTCACGGCCCCCTCTCTCTTGCAAAGTCTCAACCTTTAACAGGAAGGAGAGATGAAAACTCATGAGTCCTCAAGTCCTTCTATTTCCTACTCAAAATCTCAAAGTCTGTAGAGACACATTCAAGGTTTGGTTTTTTCACCTTGACTAGATGATTTTTCCTGTGTGAATCAGCAGAAGTGGTCAGTCATGGGAGATTTGAACAAGCAAGCTGAGCCCTATCCATGTCAAATTAGGAGACAAAGGAAATGAGAGTGTTTTATAGGTGGCAGAGCACTAGTCAGATGTTAGATGGTGGCCGTTATTTGAGATGAGCCATCCAAGAGGACAGCAGCCTGTCTCCTTCTTAGTCCTGTCTAATCAGACACATCTGACCTCACACCCCAAGACAAAGGGTCACCAACCCCCTGCCTGCAGGCAGCCCACCAGGATACCTTCTAACTTCCAGATAGTACCTGTGGATATAGTTCTCCTGGGGGAGCATCTGTTCAGCCAGGCAGACAAAACTGCTCTTAAATGCACTGATTTGCCACTCTGAGGACCTTGGGCACCTACCATGTCACCAAAGTCCTCCCCGCGCCCCATAACTGGTTAAATGGCCAAGACTTTCCCTTGAGAGAGAGTCTTGCTTCTTGCCCAATGACTCCACTCCATGTGTTTGCAAAATAAAAACATGCAGCTAACATTATTAAATAATTTATACATCTTACCCCATTCCATCCTTTCAACTATGTTTTGATATTTCTAACACATTACATTTTGGCAACTCGAGACTAAGAGAGGTAACTAACTTTATAAAAGCCCCAAGCTAATCAATGGTAATGCTGGGATTTGAATCCATGGCTACATAGTGCAAAAGCCTACTCTCTCAATCCTTTGGATAGCGACCCTCATCCTCATAACCTAAAAATAAAGAATATAAGTGTTTACAACTGACTAAAAACTGAGGCCTTGTCTTTTATTCTTGGAAGACTAGGTAAAGGGGCAAGCTGCCCTGCTCATAAACACTTTCTTCAAAAATCCCCCAAATTGGAAAGACATTGAAGCAACAAACCCCTCTTAGGTAACTCACAACATCTGGTGCTTCTCAGATTTTCCAGTGCCAAGTGACAAAGGGGGTAAACTTTGTTGATTGTTCTCCATGTGTCCCCCCAAGTCCCTTCTCCACCTTCTGTCCTGCTTTGACCTCAGAAGGTTGGCCCCCATAGGCTGCTACACTGAGGGGCTCTTGCCCTCCAGTTTCTGGTTTAGCCAATGCAAGCCACCAGCAAGTCAAAGGGTCAAAGGGACAGGTGCTGGGTGTTGATTCCCCCTGCTCCCGCCATGCCTTGCCACAGTCTGGGCAGTGGTTGCATCTCCCTGTGACTATAGCTTCTGAGGTGACCCCTCTTGCCCTCTTCCAAGCTCCCGCTCCCCAGGGCTCCAGAAGCATAGTCCCTTCTGTTGGCCCTGAGGTCTCAAGGTGGCCACAGCTTCCCACTCTTGCTCATCCCTGGGGCATCACTACTGCACATGGGCATCCCAAACCCTGACCACAGATAAATAGACCCCTCATTAGATTTTCTTTGGCTAAACCACCTGTCTTCCACTGGGAACTGAACTGATAGAGATGGCATGGTAGAAAGACAGTGAGATGAAGGAGAAGGAGATGAAGACGCCCCAAGGCTTGCTGACCATCAGCTGAGATAGAATGCTGGAGAGCATGTGTGTCTGCCACGTGTTTTCACACACATACCATTGGCTATCGGCTTCTCATCCTCCCTCAGATCTTTTTCTTCTGAAGTCACTAAAGCAGATCTGGGTTTTGCCTGGAAAATCTTCTTAGAGGAGGTAAGAAGCTTCTAAAAGAAAGAAACAAAGCAGTAAAATGGAAGTACACAGGGTCATGTTTATCTGCCCCGTGGAGATTATCACCAAGGGCTGCTGTGCTGGTCACAGGAGGTACCAGTGTGGGCAAACACTGCATCCCCTTCACCTCCCAAATAGCTGAGAGTGTCCACTGGCCAGTCCAGCTCCTGGTCCACCCATGCCTCAGCCCTAGGGACAGTGGCAATAATTCACATTGGAGACAATTTATTCAAAGACATTCACTCTACACAGGCCATGCCCCCGTTTGCTCTTTCATCCATTCCCTGCCCTTTCCCTGCTCTGTTCTGTTCCACTGTAGACTCATTTCCCAAGCTCCTTTGCCATCCTGTAGGTTCAACCAAAGGGGGATCAGGGTAAGATTGGAGGAGAGAGTAAGGGAGATGCCAGGGTATTTCTCTTCATTTCTTTCTACCCCAAATGACATCTCTCAGATCTGTCTTCCCCATGATTCCAGCTCCTCCCCTGGCTCCAGAGCCCTGGCTCACACTGGGCAGCCCCTCCCACTGGAGGGCCCTTGGCTTCCCACCTCCTGCAGAATCCCTCTCTTCTTGGCCTGTGCTCTCGGTCTCCGTTTGGCCCCCGTTTGGCCGCTGTTTGTCTCCTCAGCTCTTCCATTGCCTGTGTAATTAAACACCCTCTGTGGAAAGACCTGGGCCTGTTTCTGTTTTCCTGACTGGCAGAGTGATTTGTGCAAGATCACATGGGTGGTAAGTGGCAGAGCAGAATCAAACCAGTTCTCCTGACCCCGGAGCGCCCACTATCCCCAGTCATACCACGCTAACCACCTCGGAGGACTCCAGGTCTTGGGATCTCACCAGGCCTTCTGCTTCCCACTGGACACTGTGCCTGGGAGTCAGGGTTTTCATATGTGGATTCGAGGCCATGACACTGGTTACCTGATTTGCCTGGATCAGAGCTTACTCAGGACCTAAAACGTAGTAGACAGCAGGCCTAGAAAGAAGGCCTCTCTTTGCTTTTGTTTGCTTGCTTCTTTGTTTATTTGTGTGCAAGAAAATCGTAAGTCAATTTAGGAACTCTCTCTACCCCATATACAAATGCCCCTCAAAATCTTCTGGGCTGGAAAGAGAACTTACTTACCCAAGACTTCCAAGCAAGGAAAGCACACTGTCGTGGCAGCACACCTCTGGGACGCTGAGGTCTGCTTCACTCCACTGTCTCCTGGAAAATTATATAACAGCCCAGAGGGCCTGACCATAATTGGTTTGGGTGTAGCTCTCTCTCCAGTTCTCTTGCTGGGTGATAATGATGAGAAACAGCACGTTCCCAGCTCCTCTCAGGTAGCTCAACGTGAAACAGACCTGATGTGCACAGCACAGTAAAATAATGAGATTTCATCTAACAGAGAGGAGGTTACATAACTGGAAATCAGCCCACCAGCAATAACAAAACAATCAGGGGGGTCAGAAAGACAGACAGCTCCATTCTCAGCTATCGATCTGGGTTCTGATGGGGGCTGGGCTGGAGATTAACAGCAGGGCCCAGTAGAGATGCAATTCTAAGTAACTCAACTGGACAGTTTCCCTAGTAGTGCCGGGAGGCTGGAGGGCTCTCAGGACCGGCTTCTCTTCCTCCAGAAACCAAGCCAGCCTTGCTTTTCCGCTTCCTTTCTGACCTCCTAGAACAGCTATTGTCAGTCCCACTGGCCCTCAAATATTTCTACCTGACTCAGAAAGGGATGTGGGAAATGGTCAGAAGGGCATGTCATTGCCATAACTACATTCCCGCATACCTACTGCATACAGAGCGATGCAGGGAGAGAATGGGAAAGCTCTCTACTTGACAGTTACATACAGGAACAAATAATGATCTTTATTCACCCACCTGACAATGGAAAGAGCTTTGATACAAAAGTATCACATCCAAACCAATCATTACAATAGCTCTGCCAGAGCAAGTGGATTACAAAGGATTATCCCCCACACAAACACACTCACTCTCCACAGACTAAAACAAAATAAAACAGGCAGAAAAGGCAAATCAGCACTACAATGAGTTCCATAGCTAGTTATATATCAAAATCTCCTGAAGACCTTTTTTTATTATTTGAGATGGGGTCTCACTATGCTGCCCAGGTTGGCGTGCAGTGGCTATTCATAGACATGATCATAGCACACTGCAGCCTTGACCTCCTGGGTTCCAGTGATCCTCCCTCCCCAGCCTCCTGAGTAGCGGGGACTACAGGCATGTGGCACCACCCCTGGCTCACTGAGGACCTTTTAAAAACTCATTCACTGTTCCCATCCCCAGAAACCAGGACCCTGTTGTCTGAGGTGGATTTTGGAGGTCACACGCTGGCCAGCCTAGCAACCTGGCTCAGAGACGAGCCTGGGTAACCACTGATGAACCCCCACAGAAGGCTTGCCTAGACTTCCTCTCTCCTTCACTCATACAAAAGGCGTGACCTTCAGTCCTCAACTGCTCAGCTTCGCTTCACCCAATCCAGAGTAGCTGCAAGAATCGAGAAAGAACTTCATAAGATGAGGAGACATCATCTAAGATTTCAAGCTCCATGTTTTTATAGGTCCCAAACACCTATACAGTGCACCTGCATGTTCAGCACTGTTCTAAAAACTTTACAAATAGCAATTCATGTCATTAATGCAACACTTCTACCAATTCCCTGGGGTGGGTACTGTGGTTATCACCCCATTTACAAAGAGGAAACAGAGGCACCCTGAGAGGTGAGGTGGGGAGCCATGCAGATCTTTGGGGGAAGGACATGTGGGCAGAGGGGACAGCAGGTGCAAAGGCCCTGAGGTAAGTCCACTTCTGGCCCATGCAGCTGGCTCAGAGTGAATGAGGGCAGGAGCAGTGGGAGGTGTCTATGTCAACTCAAACTCTATGTCCACCTGCCACAAACTATTTCAGTATTCTTTTTTCCCCAGAATATAATTACCAGAATAAACGGTTGTAGGTGTCTTTGAAGGAAGGAATGGTAGAATCATTAACATGTATACCTGCAGAGATGTCCTTCTTCCTGGGGACTTTGCCTCTCCTTCAGTGAGTCCGGGAAACTATCTCACGTCCAGAAACCAGACAAGGAACTATGACTTTTTATTGGGTGACTGCACTTACAGTCCTGATCATCTATTCTTTTTTGTTTCTTTTCCTTTACAGAAATCCTTCCTTCTAATAATAATATTCTTTTATGATTACTTTGAGACATTGTAATTGCACATATTTATGGGATACAATTTGATGTTTTGATACATATATACATTGTAAAATGACCAAATCAGTGTAGTTAGCCTGACGGTCACCTCACACATTTATCATTTCTTTGTGATGAGGACGTTCAAAAGCCTCTCTTCTAGCTATTTTCTAATATACCATATCTTACTGTTAACCATGATCACCCTACTATGCAATAGAACACCAGAACTTATTCCTCTATCTAATTGTAACTTTGTATCCATTGACCAACCTCTCCTCATCCTCCCCTCTTTTCTCTCCTCCCCAGTCTCTAGTAACCACTTTTCTACTTGCTTCTAGGATGTCAGCTTTTAATTTTTTTAGATTCCACATATGAATGAAATCATATGGTATTCCTCTTTCTGTGAATGGCTTATAGACTGTCCTCCAGGGCCATCTATGTTATCACAAATGACAGGATTTTGTTCTTTTTATGGCTGAATAGTATTTCATTGTGTATATATATGATTTTTTCTTTATTCTTTCATCCATTGTTGGGTACTTGGGTTGATGCCATATGTTGGCTATTATGAATACTGAACCAATAAACATGGGAGTGCAGATATATCTTCGATATACTGATGCCTTTTTTTTTTTTTTTTCAAATACATACCCAGGAGTGGGATTGCTGGGTCATATGGTAGTTTCATTTTTACTTTTTGAGGAACCTCAGCACAGTTTTCCATTGTAGCTATTCTAATTTATAATCCCAATAGTGCCTAAGTGTTCCCTTTTCTCCACATCCTCACCAACACTTATTTATTTTGTCTTTTTGATAATAGCCATTCTAACTGGAGTGAGGTGGTATCTCACTGTTGTTTTGATTTGCATTTTGATGTTGAGCATTTTTTCATGTGCCTGTTGGCCATTCAAATGTCTTCTTCTGAGAAATCTCTATTAAGGTCTCTGCTCACTTTTTAATTGGGTTCTTTGATTTTTTGCTGTTGAGTAGTTTAAGTTCCCTATATATTTGATATTAACTGCTTGTCAGACGTAAAGTTAGCAAATATTTTCTTCCATTCTGTAGGTTGTCTCTTCACTCTGTTAATTGTTTCCTTTGCTGTGCAAAAGCTTTTTAGTTTGATGCAGTCCCATTTGTCTATTAATGTTTTCATTGACTGTGCTTTTGAGGTCTTCTTTAAAAAATCCTTGCCCGGCCCCAGGTTGTAAAATGTTTCACCTATATTTTTTTCTACTAGTTTCATGGTTTTGGGTTCGACATTTAAGTATTTGATTTTTGTATATGGTGAGGGGTAGGAGTTTAGTTTTGTTCTTCTGCATGTGAATATCCAATTTTCCCAGCACCATTTCTTGAAGAGACTGTCTTTTCTCCAATGTGTGTTCTTGGCTCTTTGTCAAGAATCTGTTTGTTCTAGGTGTGTGAACTTATTTCTGGACTCTCTATTCTGTTTCTGACAATCTATTCTTGATTTCTTCTGCTGGTACAAGTTGAGTAGTACCCTTGTTTGCTACCCATATATTTTGCCCCTAAGGACACTGTCTTCCATTAATCATTTCCACAACTATCTGTGAGTCAGACCCCCTTTGGCTATCACTCTGAACTTGCAGCTCACTATAATAATTGCCTCCATGATAATGGATTCTGCCATGCATTACAATTATTGCATCCATAAATGGCTTCTGGACGCTAAATACTGCCACCTGGCTTCTATTGTATTGGGGTCCTATTCCTTCTGCTACTAGTCACCCTAGTTTTATCTCGAACTCCTTATCTCTGGTGATCCACATGCCTCGGCCTCCCAGAGTGCTGGGATTACAGGCAAGACCCACCGCGCCCAGCCTAGTGAGCCTAGTTTTATAATGGTTCCTCCTACCATTAGCTCTGGTCCACAGAGGAGAGCCACAACCAAACTTTGTGATGTTGGTGACTCTCTCAACAGTGCATTCCTTAAATTGTGTAAGCTCATCTAGTGGGTTTCCTGGGCTCGTGTGGTATATGCATCGAGCATACCTATGACCCTGAGTCTTTTAATTCTTTCTCTGCCACTTGTTTTGGCCGCTATGGCATTTTGACCTAACTTAGGTGGGCACAGTTCTAGGAGCCACTCTAGTTTTGGGTTCACACCATCTGATTAAATCATGTGTCTTGTGAACATATTCAAATCAATATGCTTTCCATATTTGATCTTAAGCTCTGGCATTCATGATCAAGCACTCTCAGAATCCAGTCTAAAGAACTCCTCCAGTTCCTGCCAGTAAATGCTGGCTAGATTTGGGGAGATAGATAGTTCCCTTCCTCCTTTATCAAGCTCAGCATATCCCTGGCTGGACTGTGCTGTGACTTAACCCTGGTTACATATCCAGTGGCCAAAAGGAGGCAGGACAAATACTGAGGGAGGAGAAACACAATTTATCCTGCAGGGAGAGGCCTCTGCATTGTCTTCAAGCAAGAGGATGGAGGTAATCCTAGTTTTTGTTTTGTTTTGTTTTGTTTGAGACGGAGTCTCACTCTGTCACCAGGCTGGCGTGCAGTAGCACGATCTCAGCTCACTGCAACCTCTGCCTCCTGGGTTCAAGCGATTCTCCTGCCTCAGCCTCCCGAGTGGCTGGGACTACAGGTGCGCACCACCACACCCAGCTAATTTTTAGTAGAGATGGGGTTTCACCATCAAAACCAGGATGACTTTGATCTCTTGACCTCACAATCTGCCCACCTCGGCCTCCCAAAGTGCTGGAATTACAGGCATGAGCCACCACGCCCAGCTGTAATCCTAGTTTTTAATAGGGGGGATGACCAACTTCTGCAGGCTCAAAGAGTTCAGGGAAATCTGAGAAGTCAAGATTTTGGAGATTTGGCCCAGATATACATGTGTCAGGATTGTATCCTCTTCCAGCCAGGGCCCTGACCTTGGCATAGAAGACCTGCCTTGTTTGGGAGTTTAGCCTTCTTTGGACATCAACCACTCTGACCACTAAGGCCTGGACCTGGCCTTCTTTTCCTGTCCTCCCTCTGTAAGACAAGACAACCTGTTTACATGCTGCCAAGGAGGATTTAACCCTTGCTTTAAATTGGCTGATAACCACTCTCAGCCTCTTGTTATCTTTCTCTATCTCTTCATAAAACTCAGCAATATCCATCTATGAATGGAAAATAAGGGTCCTCAAAGATAGCCATGCTCTGATCCTCACAGCCCATGGAATATGTGACCTTACATGTCAAAAAGGACTTTGCAGATGCAATTAAGGTTAAGGACCTTAAGGAGGGGAGATTATACGGGATTGTCTGGGTGGGCCCAATCTAATCACATGAGTCCTTAAAGGCAGATAACTTTTCCTGACTGCAGAGAACTAGAGAGATAGCAGCATGAGAAGGACTCCACCCATTACTGCTGACTTTGAAGATGGTGGAAAGGGCCATAAGCCAAGGAATGCGGACAGCCACTAGAAGCTGGGAAAGGTAAAGAAGAACACTATCCCCTGGAGCCTTCAGAAAGAATCACAGTCCGGCTGACGTCTTGGCTTTTGAGACCTCTGTCAGACTTCTGACCTACAAATCTATAGGATAATAAATTTGAGTTGTATAAGGCACTACATTTGTGGTAATTTATTACAGCAGCAATGGAAGACAGACATCACCCAGTCCTATTGTGTCTATAGCAGTATTTTTCTCATTTTTTCTAACACCTGATGGATAGCACCAGCTAATGTGTTTTCTTCTACTGGTACACCATTCAAACCCACAACTGATGAAAGGTTGAACCACTAGACTAGTACCAGGGACTGTCTGTGCCCCACCCAGCAGCAATGATGGGATCATTATTCTTGGGAAGACAGGTGAATGATCCAGCTCCAAAGCCCCATCTTATCATCTGCTTTTATGGAATGCTCCTCAAGAAACTGCTGCAAACTGGGTTGCCTAGAAAGTGGACTATGAGACAGAGTTTACCACACAGGAAGTCTATTAGGGAGTACTCTTGGGATCAGCACTTGAATAGAGCTGCAACTCAAGTCTGACAGCTTTAGCCAACCCTATGGAGTCTCTAGAACTGAAATTGTCCCATGTTGGGCCAATAGAACTGGCCCACATTGGGCCAAAAATGCCAGGCAGTTATATCTCCACCTTAATCAACCATTGGATGTGGGCCAACACCGGAAGGACCTTGGGCAAGGTGGCTTCCTGCAGCTTGGATATCCATAAAGGATGACACCTGAGGGCCCGTCACTAACAGCAATCCCAGAAGCTGGCCCAACATGTCCTTTTTCGAAGGTGGAGATCCATCTCCACTACAGACCCCTTCCCCTTCTGAGCAGCCACTGCTATACTCCAAAGCAAGAGAATGAAGGATTTCTCTGTTGGGAACTGGGCCATAAAAAAAATATAGGGATACTGACCTTTGGGAGCCTGCAATGTATTGGCTTTAGGGAGGCTCACCTGTCAACAAACCTCTCAGAAGTTCCCAGGAGACTTAACACCTCTCTCTTAAATATAAACAGCCAAGAATTGCCAGATATTTGGAAGAAATTCTCAAACATGACAATGAAGGGCCAAAACAGAAAAAGAAAGAAACACAGAGGTAAAAGAAATAATGCAATAAACAGAAGAAAACATTTCTTTAAACTGTAATTTTATCCTCATAGAGATAAAAGAAGATACCATATTCATGAACCAAGGATACAACACTGGGGGAAAAAAGTAAGATTGATCGATTGATTCAAAGAAAAAAAAGGACTTTTGAGGCCAGGCACAGTGGCTCATGCCTTTATTCCCAGCACTTTGGGATGCTGAGGTGGGAGGATTGCTTAAGCCAGGAGATTGAGACCAGCCTGGACAATACAGTGAGATCTCGTCTCTACAAAAAAACAATTAAGGCTGGGCACAGTGGCTCATGCCTGTAATCTTAGCACTTTGGGAGGCCAAGGCGGGTGGATCACTTGAGGTCAGGAGTTCGAGACCAGCCTGACCAACATGGTGAAACCCCGTCTCTACTAAAAATACAAAAGTTAGCCAGGCGTGGTGGCACACACCTGTAATCCCAGCTACTCGGGAGGCTGAGGTAGGAGAATTGCTTGAACCTGGGAGGTGGAGGTTGCAGTGAGCCGAGATTGTACCACCGCACTCCAGCCTAGGTGATAGAGTAAGACTCTGCCTCAAAAAAAAAAAAAAGAGTATATATTAGATGGAAAACAAGATTATAAATTGTACAAGAATATAAACCAGACATACAAAATTTCTTCAATTTTACCTATAAATTGTACAAGAATATAAACCAGACATACAAAATTTCTTCAATTTTACCTCTCATGTACCCTTTCTTAGAAACTACTGGAAGATCTTTTTTGTTACAACAAAACAAATGAATAAATAAGGAAAAATTAGGATGTAGAATCCAGAAAACAGGCTGCAACACAGGAGAGTAGCAAAAGGAATTCCCTAAGATGACAGTAAGCGTTAACAGCTATACAACAGACCTAGCAAGAAAACAGATTAGAGGAGTTGAGCAATCCCTAGAGGGCTTTCCCAAAGAAATCACTGGGACTGATACATTAGCAAGCAGGTTTAACTGTGCTGCAATGAGATTTAGAGTTCTGTAAGGTGGGGATCAATTAGTGACAGGCACTGTATTAGGTAGAGTAAGCTGATCTGTAGAGACAAATATACCCCTCCAAAGTCTGCAGCTTACAGTCAACATGTTTATTTCTTTTTGGTGTAATGGCCTTGAACAGACATTCATACTGGCAAGTGACTCCCCCATCACATTCATCAGGGACCCTGGTTGACAAATGCTCCCCCATCTTCAGCACCTGTCTTCCAAGCTTCTTGTTGTCACCCTCCCAAGCACACAGAATGGGGCAACGCACAGAGAAGCCTGGGGGAGGCTTTTATGAGCCAGTCCTGGAGGCAGCATACACCATTGCCGCTCATAGGGTCACACTTAACTGGAAGATAGGCTGGGACACGCAGTTTAACTAAGGTCCAAAGGAGAGGAGAGTGGATGCTGGTGGAAAACTAGCAGTCTTTACCTTAGATACTTGGAGGGATGGGATCCAATTTTGGGGCCCTGAAGCTTATATAACTAGAGGGCTTCCTTAATGAAAAGAATACAGAACTACAAACACAAAATGACTAGGGCTCCTTCCAGGGCCCTGAAAGGGGCCTGGGCAAGTGAGAGATCCTGAAGCTTGAGCTTCATTCACCTCATGGAAAATCTGCCCACAGGTACTATCATGGCTATTAATACTAGGCCCCACAAAGACCCAACAGTATAGGAGCTCAAACAAGATAGCAGGCATCTTTCTTTCTCATGGTAACACAGGCATCTTGTATTATGTTGTCCTTCCTTCAACACACAACTTCTACCCTATGGTCTAAGTTGGCTGATCACACTCCTGCCACCACATCTGCACTTCAGTCCACAAGAATGAAGAAGGAGAAATGGGATGGTACATGCCTAGCCTGTTATGGCAAGATCCAGATGTGGCCACATTACATTTGCCCACCTCCTGTTAGCCAAACCTCATCACAATGACTGTAGCCAGCTATCAGGGAGGAGGATAGGAACTGTAGCTTTAGCTGGGCACCAATAGATGCAGCTAAAAATTCTCTTACTACAGAGAAGAGAAGGAAGGATGCTGGGGCACAGCTAGCTGTCTCCATCACAGGTACATAGAAAACAAAGCCAATAAGAAATAAGCAATTACTATTCTAAGACACACCTAAGTTATATCGTAAAAGATATGTAATCATAATACACTAAATGGCTTAGCTGTGAATAATTTTACCTAGAAAACTAAACACTGATTTTTATTTAACCAAAAATTATGAAAAGCTTTGCAGGGAAGATGGAGGGAAAGAACTGGGTCTGTTGAGAGGGACAGGGATGAATGGAAAAATTAATCATCAACCTGAGGGGAAAGTTGGGAGATAACACCAAAAATTGAAACATCAGGAAACAGTAGTACACATGTGTCATTTAAAAATATGGAGGCTAAAACGCAGAATAAATATTAGCTAAAAGAATTGAAAGAGGTTGCCTCTGGGAATATGAAAGAGGAAGATAGGAACTGATGATTTTTATTATAATTGTTATAGTAGTTTTAGAATTCTTAAATTTATATTTTTTTAAGAAAAATAAAAATTTAAGGTATGGTGTAGGTATAAAAAAAAATGCTGAGGATGGGCACGGTGGCTCATACCTATAATCCCAGCACTTTGGGAGGCCGAGGTGGCGGATCACAAGGTCAGGAGTTCGAGACCAGCCTTGCCAATATGGTGAAACCCCATCTCTACTAAAAATGCAAAAATTAATCAGGCGTGGTGGCTCATGCCTGTAACCCCAGCTACTCAGGAGGCTGAGGCAGGAGAATTGCTTGAACCCAGGAGGCAGAGGTTGCAGTGAGCTGAGATCACACCATTGCACTCCAGCCTGGGTGACAGAGCAAGACTCTGTCTCAAAAAAAAAAAAGAAAGAAAGAAACAAGAAATGCTGCGTAAATGCCTTCTTTTGAGAAGTGTCTGTTCATGTCCTTCGCCCACTTTTTGATGGGGTTGTTTGTTTTTTTCTTGTAAATTTGTTTGAGTTCACTGTAGATTCTGGATATTAGCCCTTTGTCAGATGAGTAGGTTGCGAAAATTTTCTCCCATTTTGTAGGTTGCCTGTTCACTCTGATGGTAGTTTCTTTTGCTGTGCAGAAGCTCTTTAGTTTAATTAGATCCCATTTGTCAATTTTGTCTTTTGTTGCCATTGCTTTTGGTGTTTTGGACATGAAGTCCTTGCCCATGCCTAAGTCCTGAATGGTAATGCCTAGGTTTTCTTCTAGGGTTTTTATGGTTTTAGGTCTAACGTTTAAATCTTTAATCCATCTTGAATTGATTTTTGTATAAGGTGTAAGGAAGGGATCCAGTTTCAGCTTCCTACATATGGCTAGCCAGTTTTCCCAGCACCATTTATTAAATAGGGAATCCTTTCCCCATTGCTTGTTTTTCTCAGGTTTGTCAAAGATCAGACAGTTGTAGGTATGCGGCGTTATTTCTGAGGGCTCTGTTCTGTTCCATTGATCTATATCTCTGTTTTGGTACCAGTACCATGCTGTTTTGGTTACTGTAGCCTTGTAGTATAGTTTGAAGTCAGGTAGTGTGATTCCTCCAGCTTTGTTCTTTTGGCTTAGGATTGACTTGGCAATGCGGGCTCTTTTTTGGTTCCATATGAACTTTAAAGTAGTTTTTTCCAATTCTGTGAAGAAAGTCATTGGTAGCTTGATGGGGATGGCATTGAATCTGTAAATTACCTTGGGTAGTATGGCCATTTTGCTCATCATCACCGGCCATCAGAGAAATGCAAATCAAAACCACTATGAGATACCATCTCACACCAGTTAGAATGGCAATCATTAAAAAGTCAGGAAACAACAGGTGCTGGAGAGGATGTGGAGAAATAGGAACACTTTTACACTGTTGGTGGGACTGTAAACTAGTTCAACCATTGTGGAAGTCAGTGTGGCGATTCCTCAGGGATCTAGAACTAGAATTACCATTTGACCCAGCCATCCCATTACTGGGTATATACCCAAATGACTATAAATCATGCTGCTATAAAGACACATGCACACGTATGTTTACTGCGGCATTATTCACAATAGCAAAGACTTGGAACCAACCCAAATGTCCAACAATGATAGACTGGATTAAGAAAATGTGGCACATATACACCATGGAATACTATGCAGCCATAAAAAATGATGAGTTCATGTCCTTTGTAGGGACATGGATGAAATTGGAAATCATCATTCTCAGTAAACTATCGCAAGATCAAAAAACCAAACACCGCATATTCTCACTCATAGGTGGGAACTGAACAATGAGATCACATGGACACAGGAAGGGGAATATCACACTCTGGGGACTGTGGTGGGGTGGGGGGAGGGGGGAGGGATAGCATTGGGAGATATACCTAATGCTAGATGACGAGTTAGTGGGTGCAGCGCACCAGCATGGCACATGTATACATATGTAACTAACCTGCACAATGTGCACATGTACCCTAAAACTTAAAGTATAATAAAAAAAAAAGAAAGAAGAAATGCTGAGTAGTAAAGCAAATAATATTTTAAATTTTGCTAATTTGAGAGAATAAAGTTAGTGTGACTGCAATCCACTCCTTCAACTTTCTACCTCAATGGTCCCCAAACTCAGTGTTTCTCAAAATGTGATCAGCGAATCGCCTAAATGAGAAGAACCCAGGGAGCTTGTATTACACACAGATTTCTTGGCACCACTCCTCTGGCATTCAACACACTGAAGTTTAAGAACAATCTCCCTTCATAAAATCTCAGCTCCAGACAAGCTTGTTCATGCTCTTGTTTCCCAAAAATTTTGGACACATTTCTAGCTCCAAACTTTCACCTGTTCTCTCCAGGGAATCCATCCCCTTTCCATCACCCACTTCTCCCTGCTTCTATAATCCCTACCAGCTCGAGTTCTTCTTGACCATCATGTGACCAGCAAGGAGAAAACCAAAAAGGTTGCCAACCCCAGTCCTGACCACGCACCGTGTCACTGCCCATCCTGCTTGGTAGTTGCCATTGTATCCAGCATTGGGCTGGTCCCCTGGTTAATAGTAGTTGACCAGTTGGCTGAAGGATTGAATTCAGTAGGTTTTATGCTGGGCTAGGGAATGCAGGTAATTAGCCCATAAAGGGTAACCCTGACCTAACATTTCACATGGCCTCTCATGAAGGGCAGTGTATGAGTCTCCTGTGGCTGCTGTAACAAATTACCATAAACCACATGGCTTAAAACCAACACACATTCATCTCACAGTTCCAGAACCAGAAACCAGAGTTTGTTTCACTGGACCAAAAGCAAGGTGTCAAGAGGGCCACACTCCCTCTGGAGGCTCTAAGGGAAAGCCCATTCTTTGCCTCCTCCAGCTTCCAGTGATTTCTAGAATCCCTTGTCTTGGGATCCCTAACGAGCACTCCGATCTGCAAGGCCAGCCTCTTCACATTTCTCTCTGCTCCATTTTCACATCGCCTCATCCATGGGTGTGAATAGCACCCTCTGCCTTCTCTTATAATAGTTCATGTGATAGCACTTAAGACCCACCTGGGTAATCCAGGATAACATCCCCTTATTAAGATTCTTAATGTAATCACATCTTCAAAGACCCTTTTTCCAAATAAGGTAGTATTTCATAAAGTAGTAAGTTCCATGGGTTCGGACATGATATCTTTGGGGGCCATTGTTCAGCCTACTACAGGCAGTGTCTTAATTCACAGAGCTGCCTCACCAGCAGGTGCCCCCAACACCATCTGGTCAAAGAGCTCAAGGGTGGTGTTTACAGATTCACCTCTGGAAGCAGTGCTTCCAATGCTGGCTGCATATGAGAATCACCTGGGAGTTATAAAAACATCTTGCTCACCCCCAAAGCTTCTGATTCTACTGTCTGAGGCATGGGTATTTTTTAACCTCCCAGTTGATTCTCATATGTACAGCTGGGCTGGAGAACCACAGCACAAAATGCCTTGGGGAACCCGGAGGAGCTGCAAAGCTCCCTTCAGCTGCTTGTAGCTCGGCCTCTCTTTCCTGACTAGTCAACCAACCCAGGAATCCCAGAGGCCTTCTTCTGATGCCCGGAAATAAGATGAAAAGTCCAGGCTGACAGACAGGGGCTGAGCAGAAGGGTTCAGGTAGAGCTTGTTCTCTTCCAGTCTGGCTGCCTGGGGCTCCACACTCGCTCCCTCTTCCCCTAACTGGGCTGCAGTCGTGATTCTCCCAGCACAGATCTAATTCCTGCACTTCCAGTAAGAAAGGATTGAAAAGGCAATGAGAGGAGCAGGGGCCCTGGGCAGAAAAATTATTGAAGAGTACAACCATAATCCAGTAAACCCATTATGTTCTCTCCAGGAATAAAGAGAGCTTCACAGACTATAAACACACATACACACACACACACACACACACACGGAATTGTCCCGCCTCAGTCTCACTCCCCACATACACATACACACACACACATGCACACTTATACCGTCAAACACATGCGCATACACACAAATGCATAGTAAACTCACTCTAGCTGCCTGTCAGGAGTTGGCACCCTAGCCCACCTCTGGGAAAACAGATGTTCAAGAAATGAAGCTGGAGCAAAGGAAGGCACAAGCCAGTTGTTCTCTCCTGTGCCCGGTATACAAAGAGATGTTTCTCAGGCTCCAAGGGCAGGGCAATGCCAGTGCTTGGAGTATAATCTAACTGCCTAAATAGGCTCAAGGCCACGTCACAGTTTTCTGGGAGCAGGACCAATTTGGCATTGCAGAGCTCAAAAGTGACCTCTGGGGTTTGGCAGCAACTGGCTGCCATTTGGAGCCAGGAGACCCTTACTGAAAGGTGGAAGGGCCACTCTGAGGTCTGCCTCTTGCTGTAAGACCTCAGACACAGCCTCAGACCCTGGAGCGATGTGTGGAGAAAGGCCAAGAGGCAGCAGACTATGGAGGTTACAAGCATGGCTATGGAGCACACCTGGCTTTGACCTTCACCCACATTCTCGGGGTCCCCATCAGCTCAGTGCACCCGTCTTCCTGAGCTAATCCCTTCCTGAGCTAAGGTTTGGTCAACCAGCTTTCTTACTCTTTTTTTCCTGTTTCTACATAATATATTTAGCTAGTTCTTCAGATTTCTAGTACTTTCCTAACCCTTAAAGTGCCTCTGTATCTATTAGCTATTATCAGTAGACTGCTGCTTAACAGCCACAAAACCCCAGTAGCATACAAAATTAAATAATGACAGCTCACACACCTGCATGGAGCAGCTGATGTGGGCTAAGCTCACTGCAGCATCTGTAGACCTGCAGGGGCTCTCTCTGGGATGCTCAGCTGGGGTGGCTCTGCCCTATGTCTCTCATCCTCCCCATCTCTGAGGCTAGCAGACCAGCCCAGACACGTTCCTTTCAGGGAGACAGCAAGACAGCAAGCAGAAACACACAAGGCCTCTCAAGGTCCAGGCTGGAAGCCTCAGACTCCCTTCCACCTTATTCTATTGACCAAAGTGGGTCACATGACTAATCCCAGATTCAAAAAATAAGGAAATCAAATCCACAAAGTCACATGGCAAAGGGCATGGATACAGAGTGAGGGAAGAATAGAGGCCTTTAGTGCAATCTACCACAGCCTCTCTGAGACAAGGAGAAGCACCACCCAAGTCAGGCCAATGATCCATCCTCCTGGGCCTGAAGGAGGTTTCGTTGGAATCAGGTACTTCCTACAAATGTGCAGGCTCCTCTTCCCCGATGATGCAGCCTGAAGAGAACTCTGGGCTCCAGAGACTGCTGCCTTGCTCCACCCCAAATGCCAGAGCCTCTGGGCTTCCTAGGGTCCTGGGTCCAGGGTGAAAAGTGTCACCTCATGGGGTGATGGAGCAAAGCAGCAGAACCTGCCAGGCTTGGGCCTCAAAGGCTCTTGGTACCTGGATCTGACTGGAACTGAAGAGGAGGAGGCTCCTGAGAGACGGGTAGGAGAACCGGGAGGTAAGGGGTAGGTACAGCCTCCAGGGACCTGCAATGCTGACCAAACACCTGACCAGGGTTTGATCTCAGCATCAGAAAACCTGATTCAAGTCCTGGTTCTGCCCTAACTAGCCAGGGGCCTCAGACAACTCATTCAACCTCTCAGGGCTTGTCTCCATATCTAGGAAATGGAGATGGTGTTATGTTCCTTACAGGTAGGGATTAGGCTATTTACATGAAATGGACTTTACTAAGTCCCACTAAATGTCCTTTGAAGCCCAGGCATCTTTGACCATCCTGCTCTGGGAGGGTAGGGGAGTGATATTTTCCATCTCCCTCCGCCTCCCCCAGACACTGCCCCATCTCCGAGCACTGCCAGTTCTCAGGGTGGGTTGTGGTACCCTCTACCCACTTCCCTGGGCACTGCCTGGCTGGCTTTCCCACTGTGGCACCCACTGTTTGCAGGCCTCCACAAAAGCCCTCTCCACTCACTGGGCTTCTTCTTAACGTTCAATTGCTGGCTTCTGGAGTTCTTTTAATTTCCTGTTCTCTGGCTGCCCTTTCTACAGGCTATGCCCCTGGCCACTCCGCCCTTGACTGGTTTAAATTTGCCATCAGCATCTCTTGGCTTGATTCCTTTGGTCTGTCCCAGCACGCTGGCCTCACACGCCCACATTAAAGGTCACCTCTTGGATGGTATTATAGCTGAGCAGCTGGAAAAAGTCTCAGAAGCTGATTTCCCTTTTTCTAGCTACGAGATCATTCTTTTATCCACCAACTCCCAGGTGAGCCCCTGGGCCTCAAAATGGGCTGTTCCCTGTTGCCTCAAACAATGGCTTATTTTAAAACCTCATCTGGACTCATCTCCCTGAGTGATCTCCACCTCCCTTGAGAACACAAACTGCCAAATCTATTCCTTGAGGCTTGCTCAGTGGCAAATGCTCACCATTGGAGGCCTCAGGAAAAGACGGAGCCATGAGGGACAGGAGGGGGTCTCCTCGACCTCATTTTCCCAGCCATTCAGGCAGAACCAGGTGCTCACCAGCTCCCTGCTGGCCTTCTCAAAGCTGGTAGGCAGGGGCCAGAGGGAAGGACAAAGGAAATGCTTCCTGACTTCATGAGTATATGCACAGGGCCCAGAGCAGAGGGAGAGAAGGCCCTGTCCTGCCAGCCAAGCCAGCTGATGGACTTGATCCAGAGATGGGCACCTATCTTCAGGGCGCCTCCTGCCCAGGCCTCTCAGACTTGGGTGAACCTCTTACCACCAAACTCTGAGGGGTATGTCCCGATCTCTCCTCTACCCCAAGATTAACAGATTAGATATTTCTGTCCTCCAGTTGGCAAATACATATTAAAACCCTGCCATGTGACAAGTAGGGGTGGGGCTGGGGTAACACCACGCTCAATAAAAGAGACAGGGTCCCTGCCCTCATAGAACCTACATCTAGTGGGGTCCCAGAGATCATAAACAGCTAGAGCAACTGATGACTAAAATTATTTCAGACTATGAAACATTCTGTCTAGAAAATAAATATAGTGCTGTGACAGAGTCCAGCAGAGCAGGAGCCTACTCATGATGGGTCATCCAAAAGGCCTATCAGAGGAGGTTAGTGATATTTAAGCAGAGACTCCCAGGATAAGGAGCTGGAGGAATAGCAGGCAGAGGCACTGGCTGCACGCACAAAAGTCCTGAGGCAGAGAGCACTTGGTGTGTCCTAGGAAGTGTAAGAGGAGCCCTGTGTCTAGAACAGAGTGAGAGAAGTGGAGGGCAGAGACTGCTGGGGAGGCAGGCAGGACCTGCTCACCAGGGTGGTGAGTCACAGAAGATTCTGGGTTTCTTTCAACTCAACGGGGAAGCAGTCACTGAAGGGTTTTAAGCAAGAGCACCGACATGGTTAGGGTTTTGAAAAGATCTCTCCAGTTGTGTAGAGAAAAGACAAATAAACGTTAAATCAGAACAGAGGAGCCAGGGTAGCCAGAAGAGAAGTCTTCCTGATAAACAAGACCAGCTAGTAAGGAACTTGCTAGAAATTTCTACTTTCTTGAAAGAACTTAAATAAGATGGAAACATTTATGTAAAATGGTGTCTAATTGTCTCACCTTGGAACAATGGTCTAATTCTGGTTCCTACATGAGCTGTGTCTCAGCTGAAATTTTTGATTCTATAAAGCAGAGAAAATATCTACCTGTTCTGCCTTTTTAAATTGAATAGATAGCAAATTTTTAAAACTTTAAAAACATTACAGGAATTATGTTCAAATAAGCCAACAGATAGGTGTTGAGGCATTTCCTATGAACCATGCTTTGTGGAAAACCAGTCACTGTCTTCAAGGAGCTTACACTCTGATTTGGGGAGGGATGACAAAATATGTATACAAGACGTTTAATCACAATCTGGTATTGAAGTTCAGTTCAAGACAAACAACAGAAGAAATATCATAAAGTTGTGCCTGAGAACTTCTAAGTGGATTTTAAAGAAAATGCCCAGGACTGTTGGAAGGAGGAAAAAGTCGTGCCAGGCCAAGCATAGCTGACTTTGAGCCAGGCTCTGGCCCCACTATGAGGATTGGGAAGGACACGCCAGTGGGTGAATGATCCAGACAAAAGCACCAACAGCGTGAAGTACAGGGTGTGTTTGAGGGACTGCTGGACATAGCCCTGTCTGGTCCCTGTTTCTACAGTCTTTGTGCTCTCTAAGCACAAAGAAAGAAAGAAAAGAACGCAGAATTACTAAGATAAAATTAGGTGTGAAAGAACATTTATTTAGAATAAGATAAATGATGACAAATTATTACTGGAGCCTTGGAAATTCAGGACCTTTTCTACTAAGATCTCTTTAGGCAACTTGCCAGAAATGCTTACATAGAAATTCTCCTTTCACTTAGAACACTCTATCACCCCCACCATCCCCCACCGGCCACAGTGCCTCCTAGAGCCTGGAGATAAAGCCTTATGAATTCCAAGCAAATCTTTCCCGAGCATAAGAAAACGAGAAATTGATTTGGATTAAATTTCCAGAAAACAGAAGGAGTGAGTCAGTCTATGGGACAGATCCTGGGGATGACCCTCATACCCCGTTGAGGACGTGGAAAACACAGAGGACAGTGACCTATGTGACCTGGCACATAAAAACCACCTCTGATTCATGTATGCACTTGGGTTCCTGCCATCATGGGCATTTCCCTCATGTGAACCCCCATGCTGGGCCCCCCAGTGGGGCCGGTGGCTCTTCTGCTTTGGCTGGGGCAGTGCCTTTGAAGAATACTGACAAAGCTGGAGAGTTTTGTGGCCCAACAGGTCAAACGTGAATTCCGTAAATTTGCCGGAGTGCTTCCAGTCATCAGTAGATCAGCGCTGGTTTGAGCAGGGTGGGACCCAGGGTCTCCAACCATGCCTCCCAGAGTCTCACGTGTGCTCCGTGAACCACATCCACATTGGTAGTCCACATTTTACTCCCCAGCCATGGCTGAAACTATACCATTTTCACAGGTGTGCCCCCTGGTGCACAGCAGTTCTGGGGAGGGGAGATGCAAGAGGAATTCCCCTAGTTTGGGACATTACCACCCTCAAGTCACCATTAAAGCTACCATGTCATCAAGTATCTATTCCAGAAAGAACCTTAGAGGTCAGTCAGTACGGTGGGTTGCAAACGTGTAGTCACCTTTCCTCCAAAAGAACTCTTATCTAAAGGCCAAACAAACAGAGGATTCCCCCACATCATTCACATTCTTTATTCTTCTAAAGTGCCTTAAATCTGGCCCCAGTCTCTACCCATCATGGTAGCCAAGAGGTCCAATATCAACCATGTCCAGTCTGTAAAGCTACCTCTTTCCCAGCTCACACCTCAGTCACCAGGGAGGGGGCTCTGCTCTTAATGCCATCTGCTGCTGCTCCTCATACAGGGAGGACCACCCTCCTCAACCCTCACCCATCTCTTAGACCCTGCTACTTAGGAAGACACAGAAATGCCTCTTTTGGTGATTCCTTACACCAGCACATGCTTGATGATATTCCCACCCGTGACTATTCTCAAGGCCACAGCATTGACCTTCAAAATCACAGCAGCCAACCACCCACCAAACACCACCACCTTGGCAGGAAAGGCATGGACCTCTATCCCTCATGGCCCCTGCCAGCCCCTCTCTTCCAGGAAGGAACACTCTTAGCCCCAGACTCCTTCTCCTCTCCTCCAGAACTCCCCACCTCCAAACAAAACCCAGCTTGGTCCCTGTGCATCGGTTTTTCATCCTAAAACTCAAAAGTTGTTCATAAACCCCTAAAGCAAGAAGGTCAGAATTCCAAATGGGAAGGTTTGGCTACTTTCTTAAGATGGAGGGAGAAAAAATCTCACTTTGATCTTTGGAGTCTCTCATGGCAGTCAGAACAGAGCATGAATTAATGGATGAGCTAAAACCTCAATGGATTACGCAAATGAAATAATGAATGCAAGACTTTTCAGGCAAAGGAGGCCAGGACCCTCTGACCCCATCACTCACCTTTATGATCCCTGAAGGCCAGTGGTTTGAAAAGTATTGAGTGCTCCATCCTCCCACCCGGACCCCCGACTCACAAACTTTGTTTTGTTTGTCTGTTTTGAGATGGAATTTTGCTCTTCTTGCCCAGGCTGGAGTGCAATGGCATGATCTCAGCTCACTGCAACCTCTGCCTCCCGCGTTCAAGCGATTCTCCTGCCTCTGCCTCCCGAGTAGCTGGGATTACAGGCATATGCCACCATGCCCAGCTAATTTTTGTATTTTTAGTAGAGGCAGGGTTTCTCCATGTTGGTCAGGCTGTTCTCGAACTCCTGACCTCAGGTGATCCGCCCGCCTCTGCCTTCCAAAGTGCTGGGATTACAGGAGTGAGCCACTGTGCCTGGCCTCACACACTTTGTTTTACAGGTGAGGAAATTCCAGGGGCTGGCCCAAGGTCAATCAGACCCTGAGACAAGCCAGAGGCCCCTTCAGCTCTAACAGAATCTGACATTTGACACCAGCTCTGGTGCGTGAGCAGAAGCCCTTTAGTCCTTGGCAGGTACCCTGACACCTCCCCAGGAGCTCTCCAAGGACAAAGAGAAAGAAGCAGCAGGACTTCCTCCTCTACCACTAGGATAGAGAGGAGCTCCTTTACCTATACGTGACTATTTGTCTGTGTGGGTGGGGGTTGTCTGCTTTAGGTCTGATCCTCTCAATTCGGAGCCTGCTGAATAACTGGAAGAGCTCAGGGCCTGAGAGGGACATGCTCTCTGCCCTGAGATCACCTAGGAGAAGTCAAAAGGGTATGTGAGACATTCCAGGAATCTGCCAAGCAGAACTCCTCTTCTAGAAGCTGTCAGAAATGTCACCAGGGGCTGGAAGACATTTACTTAACATGAAACATTGCTCCTGGAGGAGGGGAAGGAAACTGTATCAAGAGACCAGTGCAACCAAATGTTGGCAGAAGAGGTGGTGTCTGAAAATCACTGGTGGGATGCCTGGAATGCTTAATACAAATCCCAGAATGCCTGAAGCCATCTGGCTAGCAGGTATGAATTTAAAAGGAAATAAATATTTTGGTTGGGAGAAAACTGAATTGCGAGGAAGGTCTAACATGGTGAAAGAGTATTAGTCAGGACAATCCATAACATGCTGCAGTAACAAATCTTGAAATCTTAATCAGATTAATTTTAAATCTGAAGGCTTAATATAACAAAGATTTCTTTCTCATTCACAAAGAGGCTGGTGCATGTCAACAGAGCCTCCTCCATCTTGCAACTATGCCCTGTGGAAAAACATGGCCATCAAGGTAAGGAAAGAGATTTAAAAAGTACACTGAGGCCAGGCGCAATTGCTCATGCCTGTAATCCCAGCACTCTGGAAGGTCGAGGCATGAGAATCATTTGAGCCCAGGAGTTTGAGACCAGCCTGGACAACATGGTAAAACCCTGTCTCTACAAAAAATTTGCTGGGCATGGTGGTACGCACCTGTAGTTCCAGCTACTCAGGAGGCTTAGGTGGGAGGATCACTTGAGCCAAGGAGGCAGAGGTTGCAGGGACCGGTGATCGTGCACTACACTCCAGCCTGGGTGACAAAGCAAGACTCAGTCTGAAAAATGAAAGGTAAAAATAAAAAGGCATACTCCATCTTAACTGTGTCTGCCTGGAAATGGCTCCATTACTTCCATTCACAGCCCGCTGGAGACAGCCAGGCATGGCCCCGGTGTAATGCCCAGGGAAGCCAGCGTATGCGAGGAGCATGTGGATATTTGATGAGCACCATCTCAAGCACATTGGATTTAAACTCCCAACTGTTTGCCAAAATATCTCATCTTTTAACTGGGGTACTGAGCTCCTGGCCTCCAAAGAGTCCATTCATTTCCCTTTTGTCCAGAGCTGCTGTCAAACATGACTAAAGCATATTGTCCCAAGGGTTTGACTCAGCCCAGGTCTCACAAAAGCACTGCCCAGAGAGCTACCAAAAGAAAATATGACTTTTCCTCATTTGAGGCCCCTAGTGGCAAATGAGACACCCAGAAAGGCTAGGCAGTGGCGATGGGTGACAGCTTCTCATCCAACACATTTGTGGAGCCCTCACTCTGTGCCAGGCACTGTGCTCTGTGCTCAAGGAAAAACAGAGGCCAGGCACGTTGGTTCATGCCTGTAATCCCAGCACTTTGAGAGGCCAAGGTGAGCGGATAACCTGAGGTCAGGAATTCAAGACCAGCCTGGCCAACATGGTGAAACCCCATCTCTACGAAAAATACAAAAATTAGCCAGGCATGGTGGTGCATGCCTGTAATCCCAGCTACTTAGGAGGCTGAGGCACAAGAATTGCTCGAACCAGGAGGCGGAGGTTGCGGTGAGCCGAGATCACGCCACTGCACTCCAGCCTGGGCACAGAGTGAGACTTCATCTCAAAAAAAAGAAAAAAAAGAAAAAGAAAAAGAATGAAAGAAACAACAGGGACTCAAACAGACATGGCTCCTGCTCTCAAGGGACTTAGAGTCTAATCAGGAGGGCAGCCACTAATCAAATCACTCCCCAAATATATAACTACTAGCAAAGGTGAGTGCTATGAAGGAAGAGAATAGGGAGTGATGGCCGAATGCTAAAGTGGACCCAACCTTGCCTGGGTCAGTGAAGACTCCTCTGAAGAAGCGAGGTGGAGCCAGGTAGGAAGGGTGAGTAAGGGGAAGCCAGGCAGAGCATGAGGTGAAGGGAAGAGGGCTCCAAGGAGCAGCCCCAGCAGGTGCCAAGGCCCTGAGGAGGGAAGCACGTGGAGAGTTTGAGGAGCTGCAAGGTGGCCAATATGGCCAAGCTCAGAGGGCAAGAGTGCCCCTGGGTGCCACAGCCTTGGGGTATACAATGCATATGGAAAACCATGTGTTTTATTTTTTGTTTTATTTATTTATATTTTTTTGAGATAGAGTCTCTCTCTGTCACCCAGACTGGAGTGCAGTGGCGCAATCTTGGCTCACTGTAGCCTCTATCTCCTGGGTTCCAGCAATTCTCCTGCCTTAGTCTCCCAGATAGCTGGGATTACAGGTGTGTGCCATCATGCCCGGCTAATTTTTGTATTTTTAGTAGAGACGGGGTTTCACCATGTTGGTCAGGCTGGTCTCAAACTCCTGACCTCAGGTGATCTGTCCACCTGGGCCTCCCAAAGTGCTAGGATTACAGGCGTGAGCCACCATGCCTGGCCGTGTTTTATTTTTAAATGAGAGGAGGTTCCTTCCAAGATTGCTGAGGTGCACAGTGGTTACAGTTTGACACTGGTTCTTTAGTCAGTGTGGGACATGTGTGTGGGTCCTTCCTGGTGCTGGCACGAAATGGTTCATGATCAGTCCCCTGACCCAGCTCCCACGTGCCCTTCCCCCACAAAAGCAAGGGCTCCCGACAAACCCTCAGCCACATTTCCAAGGAAAACATGCAGAAAAAAAAAAAAAAAAGACAGGCTTACTAGAAAAAGAAGACTATAAAGTTCCAAAAGGCTTCTATGCTGTCAAACACCCTTGATGCCTCAAACCCCACTGACATGGGAAAAAATTGTTTAAAAAAAATAGAAATTAGGGAAAAGAGTTTAGCATGGAAGGCCAAATGCAAAAGGTATCCCAGCAGCCCAGAAGGCACTGAAAGCCTGAGTGAGAACTGAGGGGAACTAAACTGGCTGAAGGAGGCTCTGAACTTGTGACTCTTCTGTAGGGGGGAACATGCTCCCTCCTGCTCTTCCTCACCCTTCTCTCAGTTCAGCCTTCTCCTCTCAGGGAGATGCTCCCTGACCATCTCCGACTGCACTATGACAAGGATCCCTTACTGTTAGTCCTTCTTCCCTCTCAGACCACAGGCTTCCTAGAATCTAGCACAGCCCACTTCTACATGGGCCACCACTGTCTCTCCAGTGCCCAGCACAGTGCCTGACACATAGGAGGGGCTCAACCACTGTTTCCTGAATGAATGAACAATCCAACTGCAGAATGAGGGCTTACATTTCTCAAAGCCGGGAGTTAGTGTCTGATTTATTCAGGGCTACATCCCCAGCCCCTAGAACAGATACTTGTTCTATGAATGTATGAACTTCTAAGCCAGGATGGGCAACTCGGAGGTTAGTCTAATGCACTGTTTTTCCATGTGAGGAAACTGAGGCCCAGAGAAACGAAAGACCTGCCCATGGTTTCACAGTTCAGACAGCTGGACTGGGCTCCCAGAGCCAATGAATAAAGTCATCTGTAACAAACCGCCTGTCCTCCTCCCTCCATTCTCTGCCCCCACCCACATTCACCAACCAGATTTATTTGGAGGAAAACACATTCAGGTACTGACCCCTCCTGGAAGCATCTGCCTAAAGTATTTATGTATATGTGAAGGTATTTATTTGCTTATTCCCTGCCCTGCTCTAAAAAGAACTGGAGGCAGTTTGCCCACTGCAGCTGATGTCAATGCTGTATTTTCCAAACTCAAGAACAAAACACAAAGTTAAAAAAAACCTGTTCAGAAGGAGGGCTGATAGCACCTCAAACAGAATCAGCTTCCTTGTTCAGAAGAGAAAAGCTCCAACAGAGAGGGTTTTCTCTGTAATCAAATTACCAAAATTAGTGACTGAGAGGAACACAGCAGATGTGGCAGATTTCAATTTTGCTGAAGGGTTTGGCACAATGTCTCAAGGAACTGAGTTTGCAAAATTCTTGTGTAAGGACAGTGTCCCATGTAATAAAAATCTGCCTGCAGGACTACAGATGCGGGCAATACCAACAGCCAAACCCACAAAGTGATGTGATCATTGGCATGAGCCTCAGTTTCCTCAGTTGTAAAAAGAGGGCATTCTCAGTTGTAAAAAGTTGCCCATTCTGGCTTAGAAGTTCATCCTTCATTTAACAAGTATCTCTTCTTGGTGCTGGGGATATAGCCATGAGTAAATCAGACACAAGCTCCAGGCTTTGAGAAACGTAAGCCCTAGTTCTGCAGTTGGATTGTTCATTCATTCAGGAAACAGTGGCTGCGTCCCTCATATGTGTCAGGCACTGTGCTAGGCACTGGGGAGAGAGTAGTTGCCCCTTATCTGAAAGGGGCAGCAGGCAGCTCCTTGGAGGACCTGCAGCCACAGTGACAACAATCAACACCTTATATTTTTACATCACAGTCAACTTTCTAAAGCCTTTTCAGCCACACAGTCTTAGCCAATCCTTGCCATCAAAAGTAGAGATGCAAAAGTGATCCCCTAAGTCCCTGGGGCACCTGGGTGACTAAAGTACCTGCTCTGAGGTCCACTGTTTCCCATCCACTCGTGAAAACATCAGTTATCCCACTTGAGGGAGTGACTCATTGTGGGAAGGACATTTAACTCTTTCAGGACAGAAGGGCATCATATTTTTTAATGACTGCAAGTTACCATTACACTAATAGATAAATTAGTCTCCCAAATAAGTATTTTTAAGTGATCATTTCTCATGGAGGTATGAATGGACACACTCAGGGAGGGGAAAAGAGACAGAGAAACATCTCTGTCAGTGGTTTGTCTCTGAATCTAATTTCTGAATCCAGAGATGCTTGGGGAAAAAATGAATGAATAAAACATGGACACAGCCAGATGGGGAAACTGAGTCATCACTGGGCTGAAGGGCTTTGATGAAGGATGTAAAGTATAGCTAGAATTAGGCAGACCATGGACACCATCCAACATCCAGAGATCTGGTGACTATGCCCTCCCTAAGTTAGAAAATGCTACTCTTCAGCAGGTTCAAAATTTGGGAGAAGGAAACTGCAAAACACAAACAACATCAGACCTAGCAGTAAGAAGGGCTGGCAAGGGAGGCTCCAGCTCTCCATCTCTTCCCCATTATCCACCCAATTAAGGCTGGATAGCCCATGAAAGAGTCAGAAGCTGGAGCATTCAAGAAAGCAAAGAGTAACTTCAAGCCTATGATGTTATGAAGGGGTGTGGAGGTGTAGGGGATTGATCCCACCCTGATTATAGAGTTGGTAGACTCCCTGAAGCATCATCCACTCATTAAACAATTATTAAGAGCCTAACATGTTTCCACCTGAAAGACTGGTGGAAAAACACAGTCTTTGACCTCATGAAGCTCAAGACTAGAGAGGAAACAGGTCTGTAAATAGATCATTGCCATCTAGCAGGTAAGTGCTAGAATAAAGGTATGTCCAAGGTGCTGTGGGGGTCCAGAGGAAAAACAACTGACCTCCAGAGTGAGATGGGGAAAGGGCTGCTCAGAGACAGTGCCACTGAGGGCTGCATCTCACCAGGCAAAAAAAATACATCCTGTTCTCAGCTTGCTTCCACCAAAGGTTAGGAAAGCTTCCATTGTCCCGCAGTGACACAGGGAAACAAAATACCCAGAAGAGCGATGACTGTCACCAAGGTGGCCCTTCAAGTGGCCAAACCAAGACCAGAAGATCATAGTGCCTCCTCTTCATATCCAGAGAGGTGAAGAAGTAAAAATGCCATTCAGAAAAAGAAAACTAAAGGCAGAAGTCAGCAGGACAGCGAATCAGGGTACTTAAGAGTCAGAGGGACATCAGAACTCAGCCAGAGCTGGGTGCAGTGGTGCACGCCTCTATTCCCAGCTTCTCAGGAGGCTGAGGCAGGAAGATTGCTTGAGCCCAAGAGTTCAAGCCTGCAGTGAGCTATGATTATGCCATTGCACTCCAACCTAGGCAACAGAAAAAGACCTATCTTAAAAAAAAAAAAAAAAAAAAAAAAAAAAACAAACTACAACAACAATGGAAGAAATCAGCTTGGTCCCGAGGTTTTAGCCCACATGCTACACTGTGTTGACTAATGATCCTCTAAAATCCATGTCCACCAGGAACCTCAGTATACAACCTTATTTGCAAATGGGGTCTTTGCGGATGTAATCAGGTTAAGATGAGGTCATACTGGCTTGGGGTGGGCCCCAATCCAATGATTAGCACCCTTAGAAAGGGACATGGGCACCCAGGGAGAATATGGCCCTGTGATGATGGAGGTAGAGTTGGAGTGATGCATCCACAAGCCAAGGAGCAGCAAGCATGCCCCCGACAACACAAAGCTAGAAAGAAGCAAGGAAGGGGTCGTCTTCCCCCGAGCCCTCAGGAGTGCATATGGCCCTGCTAACACCTTGATCTCAGACTTCTGGCCTCCAGAACTGTGAGAGAATAAACGTCTATTGCTCTCAGCCACTCAGTTTGTGGGAATTTGTTATGGCAACCCCAGGAAACTAATATACATGCCTAGAGAACCAAATAGGTAAAATTACTGAGTGACCTGGCATGGTAACAGAAGTGGGCCTGATAGCACATCCCACAGCCAGGGGCAGCAGTTACTCAGGTCCAGCCAATGGCCTCCAAGAGGCCCTGATGATGCCAGATATGCCAATCTTCCTAGAGAAGGAAGAAATCTATACTTATTCTAATTCTTATTCTTGTAGAGACTATACCTCGCTATGGTGCCCAGGCTGATCTTGAATTCCTGGCCTGAAATGATCCTTCCACTTCAGCCTCCTAAAGTAACGGAATTAGAGGAATGAGCCTGGCCAAAATCCATACTTTTATATGAAACTTTTCAATGTTAGTACAAATGGGGTTTTTTCTTGGTTTTGTTGCTGTTTATTGTTTTTTGGAATCAGGGTGGGCCAGATAAAGCCAAACCAAGCTTCTCATTTACAGATGAAGAAACTGAGGCCAGGCATGGTGGCTCATGCCTGTAATCCCAGTACTTTGGGAGCCTTAGGTGGGAGGTTTGCTTGAGTCCAGGAGTTGGAGACCAGCCTGGACAACATAGTGAGACCCTGTCTCTACAAAACATTTAAACATTAGCTGGGTGTGGTGGAGCATGCCTATGGTCCCAGCTACTCGGGAGGCTGAGGTGGGAGGATCACTTGAGCCTGGGAGGTCAAGGCTTGATTCTGCCAATGCACTCCAGCCTAGGCGACAGAGTAAGACCCTGTCTCAAAAAGAAAGGAAAAGAAACAGAGACCCATGAGGCAAGGTGATTTATGTCTCACAACTGTTAAGTGACAGCCAGGACTGAAACCCCCACTGCCTTCTACCATGCTGCACCCCTGCCATCCACTGTCCATTCGGTGTTTCCTGCCAGGCTGGTTTCCCAGGAAGAATCTACACTGGTTCACAGCAGAGAAGTCCTCAGCTACAGAGAGAGAAAAGGATAGGCTGAGGCTTAGAGAAACATGGGGTATGGGGATGGGAAGGCCGTGTTAGTAACAGGTCTGGCATCTCCAGAAAGTGGCAGAAGGCCTCACCGGGCAGCATCTGTGATTCTACAGCAGGTGTTTCACAGCAGGCTATGGGGCAGCCTGGCCAGATGGGGAGAGCCTGTTCTCAGCAGTGTCCATGGAGACATCCTGAGCAGCTCCACTGGTTATTATAGGAGAAAGGACGTGGAGGCAAAGCAGCACGAATAAGATGCCAGGACAGGCAGACCCAGAAGCCCTTCGGAAGCATGTTGCTAGCTCTACCCAGCACACCTTTTCAGATAGGTTTTTGCTTTCCTGTGCAGGTTCTAAAAGTTCCTGGACATGAGGAGAGGGGCCTATTCAGTTCTGTCTCAACAGTGCCTATTGTGGCACCAAAGGCCAACAGCCCTGCAAGATACTCCTCTTAAATAACGAAGATGCTGACACCAATGCTGGAACCACACACTCAGGGACCTTATACCATCAAAGTCCGAGCACCAACTTCTCTTGTTGTGATGGGGGAAGCTTCTTGGGAAAACCAGCGAGAAATGAAGAGAGTGGTTTTAATATTTTGGCAAGATGCAACAGAACCTCTGCTAAAAGTTTTTCATGGAGACCAGAAATGAAACTTACAGCACTGTTTGGATCTAGCAAGCACATTACACTGTACAGTTCAACAGCTTCTGCCCCCACCTTTACCAGTCCTCACAGAGCTCAGTGAGGCCAGACACAAGACAGAGGTGGGCAGAACCGGCAGAGTACGGGCTGGCCTATGACTCCCACCAGGACCTCTGGCTGGTGGAGATGCCCTCATGCCAGTGTAGCTTGGCAAGACCCCCAAACATGCATACACAGACACACAGCCCGCACAGTGGCTGTTAAAGATGAATAAGAGGGCAGGCTCCAAGGACAGCAGCTCTCATGTTAAAACATGAGCCATATGCAGAGGCACGCCTCTCTGCTAAGCCCTCATCCCCCTGGCATCTGTGCCCTGCTATTTGCATAAGTAAATGGCAGCTCATTAAGAAAACATTAGTGGTTCTGCAACCATGTAAGGAAGCCAAGCTAGCGAACCCTAAGCCACTGGAGATTTCTCTGATTCCGTTTTACACCCTTGGAGGCATGAAGCAGACGCTGTCATCTGCCGTCTGTCTGTCCACCTAGAAGAGAAAGAATAGACCCTTATGAAAACACAGAAGAGAATTAATAAAAATTTGTTGAAGCGTGAATGATGGTAGGCCAGGGTTGCAAAGGGCAAATCTTGCTAAAAATAGGGAAGTGTTTGGACTGGCCTGGGGAGACATTTCTCCCGGTGTCTAGCCATCCACTAAAGGCTTGAGGATAGTGGTTGCAAATCAAAGTCATGCATCAAATCACCTGTTAGCTGTTTGGACACATCATGTAATGACTCTGATTCAGGAAGTCTCAGACAGTGCCCAGGAATCTGGAACTTTCAAATGCTTCCCAAGGATTCGTATTTGCTTCCCTGTTTGAGAACCATTGCTCTCAAGCTTTCCTTCTCACGGTGTTGCTCCAGAGAAACGCAACATGAGCATCACCTGGGGGCTCCTTAGGAAGGCGGAATCTCAGGTCCCACCAGGCCTGCGCAATCAGAAACCGCACTGCAACAGGAGCCTGCGGTGACTTTAAAGGTGGGAGGAGCACCCACCTAAAGGCAGTTAGGGTCGCCTCTGTGTGTTAGGGTCGCCTGGTGGGTCGTCTGACAGCCAGGCAGTCCCCTGCTTGAGCACTGCAGGGAGGCGGCCTGTCACCAGGTGTGTGGCCCTTTAGTCACAGTCTGAGTCTCCACATTACCGTCCTACAGGGCTCTGAGGTTGTAGCAGTGGCCTCAGAGGTCCTTGTCAGAGGGAGTTTCCTAGATATCAGAATCCCAAGACACCTTCAAACCCACAGCACTATGGGGTCAGTACCACAGTGAGGACCTAAGCTCTTGCCACACGGAAACTCAGAATGAGGGCTGCCTTCTGAAGCATGGACTGGCAGCCTGGGAGCAGCAGAAGCTTGCCTTCTCGGCTTCAGTGCACTTCCCTGCAGCACATAACAAAAGGAGCAGGAGCCGCAGGCTGGCAAAGCTCAGAATGGCCCAGGCCCAGGCTCTGCAATGACCCAGGAGGGCCTCCTCAGCTCTCTGTGGCCACGAGGGAGGGAGGGCGGGCGGGTGGGCAGGAGACCCTTCTGTCTCCTGTGTCTCCAGTGCCCCCAGGAGCTGCCAATGGTTTTACGGGTTTAAGCAGGCTGCCCAGGAGTTACCAAGCTAATGACTTCCAGCGAGGTAAAACAAGGCAGGCCCTGTGTCTGCCAGGGAAGTAGCTGTCCTTCTCTTCACACCGCCCTAACTCAGGCCTCTGCACCTGCAGCCAGTAAGGTCATCGTCAGTTCTCCAATGTGCCTGCCCTCCTCACCCTCAAGCAGTGCCAAGCCCTGCTCAGGGGAATCAGAACACAGCCAGGGCACAGTTTCTGACACACTGAGATGCAAGGCAGAGGCCTCCAAAACCATGCGGGTGTCAATTGTGGGGTATTTTTAGCCTGGATCCCTACAGAAAAACAGCTCTGAGATCCTACTGTCAGCACGCCCTTCCTCCTGTGTCCTGGGCGGAGCAAGGTTGCCTTGGTAACCCGGCAGCGTGGATCCACCGCTTTGGGAGACACCTGTAACCCACCCACAGGTATTAGGCAGAGGCATCCAGGGGTGTTCTCACCCTCAGGCACTGACCTCCTTTTCGGGACATAGTCCCTGGGGAATACAGCCCCGAGGGCTCAGGGGTCCAGGAAGCCCCCCCAGATGTCACAGTGGCCTCCATGGGAGACCTTGAGGCTTTGGGTTTTCAAAGATATTTAAGCCACCACGAAAACAACATGCAGAGCCTGCTTCAACTCGGGTCTTTAAATTTTCATGAAATCTCTGCTTGCTGAAAGTCAGTTCTTCATCCTGCGGGGGGTTAATTATTCACAGGATGTGATTCTGCAGGAAAGCGAGGTGGGACTGTGGAGACAGGCCCTGCCAGCCTCCTCCTCCACCACACTTTGCTCTGCAAAGCCCTTTCTACTCTTTCCTCGAAAGGGGTTGGTGCAAGGGGCCACGGTTGCTCTGCGGCCCAGGATTTCTAGGTGGTGGTGCCGCTCCTTCCTTTTTCACTTCTTCACTCCCATCAGGTGCGGGGTAAGGTTCAGCCCTAAATCTGCAGTTCGCCTCCTCACAGCGTCCACCTCTTGACAGTGATGAGCTTGGAGTGAGGCAGATAGGCTGCTTGTGAACTTGCAGCACGGAGGGGAAATGCTCTGAATGGAGCAAACAGGAATGAACCACGCAGAAGCTAAACCACCACAGCTTCCAATCAAATTTAGCTCTTTGACCCACTGGAGAAGAAGAAATCACCCCCATCCCCATCCAACTAGTTCCATCCTGTTTTTGAGTTGGTTACTTCAGTTGGTTTAAAAATAAGTAAACAATACAGACTGTATTTTTAAAATGTATTACCTGGTATCATAGATATAAGGCAATAAATGTAGGAAAATTCAACTTCTTTTGAACTGTAATCTAGTTCTACATTTTAACTGGTGAGAAGGTTAAATGTATCAGCAGAACAAAACACAAATCCAGTAATCGCCCTGAATCTTTCATTCTTCTACCAGGAAAGTGGCTCTGCTGGCTGGGCACCGTGGCTCACGCCTGTAATCCCAGCACTTTCGGAGGCCTATTGAGAGGATCACCTGAGGTCGGGAGTTTGAGACCAGTCTGACCAACATGGTGAAACCCTATCTCTACTAAAAATACAAAAATTAGCCAGGTGCAGTGGCACACGCCTGTAGTCCCAGCTACTCAGGAGGCTGAGAGAGGAGAATCGCTTGAACCTGGGAGGCAGAGGTTGCAGTGAGCCGCACCATTGCACTCCAGCCTGGGAGACGGTGAGACGCCATCTCAGAAAAAAAAAAAAAAAAAAAAAAAGTGGCTCTACTGAATTTTTTTCTGGCTATATAAATAATACCTGCTTCTTGTAAGAATTTAAAAATAAGTAATCAATACAGAAATATATTTGGAAAAAAAGGATCACCTGAAACCTGCCACCCAGAAATAACCACTGCCTGTTTTTAATGACCAGTTTTCACACACCTCGAGTACTTCTTACATACATACATGTGTAATTTTACATAAATGGAATTGTACCGTCCACACTGCAGTTTTCATAGCCACTTTTCTCTCTCTTTTTGTCAAGAGCGCTTTCAAGTTTATTTCAAAGCCTCCCCCTCCGACCTCTCTCCCTAGGTACCCGATGATTCCATCCATGTTTCTCCATGCTCAGGCCCAAATTGAAGGTATCCTCACCTGGGCCTTCCCTCGAGGAACCATCTCACCATGCCCCCAGAGCTAGAGGCCAAACACTGTTTCAGTCTCTCTTCAGCATCCTGCAAAAGCCGTCCTGTAAAACCTGAAGTCACTCCTCTGCTAGCAACTGTCCAGCAAAGGCTTTGAGGCAGCCCACACAGCGCTGCATGACTCACCCCTCTTCCTATACCATCTCCTACCTGTCTCCCTTTTGTACTCTCTGCTCTGGCCTCACTGGCCTCCCCTACCACAGGGCATTTGCACCTGCCATTCCTCCTCCCTGTTCTACTCTTTCTCTAGATAACCACAAGGCTCACTCCCTCACCTCCTTCAGGTCGTCGTGTAAATGACGTCTTCTCAGTGAGGCCTTTATTAGCCACCCCATTTAAAGTTGTACAACCTTTCCCCCAACACTGCTTTCCTATCCCTTGTTTTTCTCCAGATGCTTCTCTCCAGCTAGTATGCTGTGTATTTCACTTGTCCATTGTCTAGCACCACTAGAAGGCAAGCTCGATGACAATAGGGTTACTGATTCTGTCCTGCCTGCTACTCTGACTCCAGCACCCAGAGCAGTGCCTGTCGCAGGTAAGTGCTCACCAAATGATTGCTGAGGGAGTGAACCTTGGGATCTTCAGGGCTCAGCAGGGTGCCAGAATAACCAACCAATGTGTGTTCAGTAATTGCAAGTTCCTTCTAGAGTCACACCTTCAAGGTCAAACAGTGTCATAAGCCTTGCTGTTCACCGGAGCAGCCACCTGACTTTTCACCCATAGGGAAAACTCTCTGCTCCCTGAACTCCAGCAGCAATGGCTCACTCCTCCCCAGCTGCATTAAAAGTCCAGATAGATGCTCCAACACGTTCTCCACATGGGATCTGGGGGCATTCCTGCCTCTGAGTTCTTGGGAGGAGAACGCTTCCATGGGGGCAAGCTAGTCAAGCTTTCAGCTCAGCTTTCAGCCTCAGCTGGGGGCTGCTGGCAGCCTGGACTCTTGAGCAACACTGCAGCTCACCATGTGCCCTCCTGCTCCCAGACTGCAGAGAGAGATCCAGAAATGTCAGCCTCCTTCCTGAGGCACTAGGGAAGGGACTGCAGCAGATAGCGTGAGCCTTTGATTTGTTTATTTGTCTTATGTGTTGCCTATTTCTTCTTTTGGCCATTGATGATTATTATGTAATAGGGACTGTATTTTTAAAATGTATTACCTGGTATCATAGATATAAGGCAACAAATGTATGAAAATTCAACTTCTTTTGAATTGTAATCTAGTTCTACATTTTAACTGGTGGAAGAAGGCATGCTTGGGGGTGTGGTTGGGGAGACAGTTGATCAAAAACTCCCCTGCACCTGGTTTGAGACCTTCTGACATCTGGCTGGAGAGTCTACCTATGAACAGACACACACACAGGGACACACACATACACACACAGCACTCACAACCCAGATGGCAGGAGCCTGAGTGCCAAGCTGTCTCTGGCTAAAGGCTGTCTGCCTCCCCTCACTACCCCATGTCCAGGATCAGAAGCACAGGGAACTAGAAATTTCTAAATACTGCCCTTGGCCTTGCTGTTGGAACACTCCCTAGAAGTCGATACATATTGCAGCTGCCCCCAGGGCCAGTCCAACCTGGCTTCTCCAGAAGCTCTCCCTACTACTGCCTCCCTGGAAAAGGAAGGGACAGCCACATCTGAAGCCTCCTATCCCTTTCTTCCAGGAAGAAGCAGCCCGGCATTGTCCACCGCAAGTTCAGGAAGGTAAGGACACTAAGCCAGTCCGTAGTGACCGAATCCCTGCCATCCGAAAGGCAGATGGCTCCCTTGATCACAGGAAGACAGTGATGGCCAAGGTGGACATCAGCTCCTTAGTCAGTTCAACACTTGGAGAATTCGCTTGTCCCAGGGTACAGTGAGATGAAGGTTTTCAAAAATGAAAACATGACTGATTTGGAATAAATGTGAATGTGGGAACACTAGTGAAATCTTTAATTCTACCACTAGTAGAATTTTTAAAATATAATTATGTCTCTTTTAACTACACAGAGAAATATGAATTCAAGGCTAGACATTATACATAAAACAGCTCATTTAATACTTGCAGGCAGTCTGTAAGGCAAATATTAGAGATGCTATCTTATACGGGTGAGTGAATTGATGTTCAGAGAGGAGAGTAGCTAACAGCTGGTAAGTGGCGTCCCTGTAGCTGTTTACATTGTATTGATCTTGTCCATGGATAGAGGGGCAGGTAAATGGATGGACAGATGAAGAGGAGAAGAAAAGGCAACTAACCCTCATAGCCCCTCGGTTAGCTAAAGAAGGAGTGGAGCTATTTAAAAGAATAAATGAGAGTGAATGGTAATTTCCTTTTCCTGGTAACTGCTTTTAAGCAGTTACCAGGAAAAGGAAGAAGGAAGAGAAGGAACTACTATCATTAGAACTTGTGCTCTGAAGCCCAGCTGCCTAGGTTCAAAGCTCAGATCCACATTTACCAGCTGGATAAGCTTGGTCTAATTATTTAACTTCTCTGGGCCACGGTTACCTCATGTGCAAAATGAGAATATTATAACCTGTAAGGTTGTTGTGAAAATTAAATGAGCTACATAAAATAATGTCAAGGATTTAGAACTTTGTCTAGTGCCCAGCAAGTGCTCAGTGAGAGTTGCTATTGTTATTCCCATTTTGTATGAGAACACCAAGGCCCAGAGAGGTAAATAATTGTTTATTCTGTACCTCTCTCTCTTTTTTTTTTTTTTTTTTTGAGACAGAGTCTCATTCTGTCACCCAGGCTGGAGTGCAGTGGGAACCTCCGCCTCCTGGGTTCAAGTGATTCTCCTGCCTCAGCCACCCGAGTAGCTGGAATTACAGGCATGCGCCACCATGTCTGGTGAATTTTTGTATTTTTAGTAGAGACAGGGTTTCACCATGTTGGCCAGGCTGGTGTCAAACTCCTGACCTCCAGTGATCCACCCGCCTCGGCCTCCCAAAGTGCTGAGACTACAGGAGCGAGCTACCGCACCCAGCCTCTGTACCTATTTCAATAATGCCATTTTGGTACTGATAGTTGGCATCCCTTTTATTCAGCCATGGTGATAGCAGAAGATTTGACCCAACAGTTGCCAAATGATTTTCAGTTACAGTGAGGATCTAGATTTGAAGTAAGATTTTTCTTTTTCTTTTTTTCTCATGAACTTTTTATTATTATACTTTAAGTTCTAGGGTACATGTACACAACGTACAGGTTTGATACATAGGTATACATGTGCCATATTGGTGTGCTGCACCCATCAACTCGCCATTTATATTAGGTATTTCTCCTAATGCTATCCTTCCCCCAACCCCCCACCCCCTGACAGGCCCCGGTATGTGATGTTACCCACCCTGTATCCATGTGTTCTCATTGTTCAGCTCCCACTTATGAGTGAGAACATGTGGTATTTGGTTTTCTCTTCTTGTGTTACTTTGCTGAGAATGTTGGTTGCCAATTTCATCCATGTCCCTGCAAAGGACATGAACTCATTTTTTATGGCTGCATAGTATTCCATGGTGTATATATGCCACATTTTCTTTATCCAGTCTATCATTGATGGGCATTTGGGTTGGTTCCAAGCCTTTGCTATTGTGAACAGTGCTGCAATAAACATACATGTGCATGCGTCTTTATAGTAGAATGATTTATAATCCTTCAGGTATATACCCAGTAATGGGATTGCTGGGTCAAATGGTATTTCTAGTTCTAGATCCTTGAGGAATTGCCACACTGTCTTCTACAATGGTTGAACTAATTTACACGCCCATCAACAGTGTAAAAGTGTTCCTGTTTCTCCACATCCTCTCCAGCATCTGTTGTTTCCTGACTTTAATGATCACCATTCTAACTGGCGTGAGATGGTATCTCATTGTGGTTTTGATTTGCATTTCTCTGATGGCCAGTAATGATGAACATTTTTTCATGCCTCTGTTGGCTGCATAGATGTCTTCTTTTGAGAAGTGTCTGTTCATATCCTTTGCCCACTTTTTGATGGTGTTGTTTTTTTCTTGTAAATTTGTTTGAGTTCTTTGTAGATTCTGGATATTAGCCCTTTGTCAGACGGGTAGATTGCAAAAATTTTCTCCCATTCTGTAGTTTGCCTATTCACTCTGATGGTAATTTCTTCTTCTGCGCAGAAGCTCTTTAGTTTAATTAGATCCCATTTGTCTCTTTTGGCTTGTGTTGCTATTGCTTTTGGTGTTTTAGTCATGAAGTCCTTGCCCATGCCTATGTCCTGAATGGTATTGCCTAGGTTTTCTTCTAGGGTTTTTATGGTTTTAGGTCTAACATTTAAGTCTTTAATCCATCTTGAATTAATTTTTGTATAAGGTGTAAGGAAGAGATCCAGGTTCAGCTTTCTACATATGGGTAGCAGGTTTTCCCAGCACCCTTTGTTAAATAGGGAATCCTTTCCCCATTTCTTGTTTTTAATCAGGTTTGTCAAAGATCAGATGATTGTAGATGTGTGGTGTTATTTCTAAGGGCTCTGTTCTGTTCCATTGGTCTATATATCTGTTTTCATACCAGTACCATGCTGTTTTGGTTACTGTAGCCTTGTAGTATAGTTTGAAGTCAGGTAATGTAATGCCTCCAGCTTTGTTCTTTTTGCTTAGGATTGTCTTGGCAATTCAGGCTCTTTTTTGGTTCCATATGAACTTTAAAGTAATTTTTTCCAATTCGGTGAAGAAAGTCAGTAGTAGCTTTATGGGGATAGCATTGAATCTATAAATTACTTTGGGCAGTATGGCCATTTTCACGATATTGATTCTTCCTATCCATAAGCATGGAATTTTCTTCCATTTGTTTGTATCCTCTTTTATTTTGTTGAGCAGTGTCTTGTAGTTCTCCTGAAGAGGTCCTTCACATCCCTTCTAAGTTGGATTCCTAGGTATTTTATTCTCTTTGTAGCAATTGTGAATGGGAGTTCACTCATGATTTGGCTGTTTGTTATTGGTGTATAGGAATGCTTGTGATTTTTGCACATTGATTTTATATCCTGCGACTTTGCTGAAGTTGCTTATCAGCTTAAGGAGATTTTGGGCTGAGACACTGGGGTTTTCTAAACATACAACCATGTCATCCGCAAACAGGGACAATTTGACTTTCTCTTTTCCTAACTGAATACCCTTTATTTCTTTCTTCTTGTCTGATTGCCCTGGCCAGAACTTCCAACTCTGTGTTGAATAGGAGTGGTGAGAGAGGAAATCCTTGTCTTGTGCCAGTTTTCAAAGGGAATGCTTCCAGTTTTTGCCCATTCAGTATGATATTGGCTGTGGGTTTGTCATAAATAGCTCTTATTATTTTGAGATAGGTTCCATCAATACCTAGTTTATTGAGAGTTTTTAGCATGAAGCGCTGTTGAATTTTGTCAAAGGCCTTTTCTGCATCTATTGAGATAATCATGTGGTTTTTGTCATTGGTTCTGTTTATGTGATGGATTACATTTATTGATTTGCGTATGTTGAACCAGCTTTGCATCCCAGGGATGAAGCCAACTTGATCATGGTGGATAAGCTTTTTGATGTGCTGCTGGATTCAGTTTGCCAGTATTTTATTGAGGATTTTCGCATTGATGTTCATCAGTGATATTGGTCTAAAATTCTCTTTTTTCTTGTTGTGTCTCTGCCAGGCTTTGGTATCAGTATGATGCTGGCCTCATAAAATGAGTTAGGGAGGATTCCCTCTTTTTCTATTGATTGGAATAGTTTCAGAAGGAATGGTACCAGCTCCTTTTTGTACCTCTGGTAGAATTCGGCTGTGAATCCATCAGGTCCTGGACTTTTTTTGGTTGATAGGCTATTAATTATTGCCTCAATTTCAGAACCTGTTATTGGTCTATTCAGAGATTCAACTTCTTTCTGGTTTAGTCTTGGGAGGGTGTATCTGTCCAGTGTCCAGGAATTTATGCATTTCTTCTAGATTTTCTAATTTATTTGCATAGAGGTGTAGTATTCTCTGATGGTAGTTTGTATTTCTGTGGGATCTGTGGTGATATCCCCTTTATCATTTTTTATTGCATCTATTTGATTCTTCTCTCTTTTCTTCTTTATTAGTCTTGCTAGCAGTCTATCTATTTTGTTGATCTTTTCAAAACACCAGCTCCTGGATTCATTGATTTTTTGAAGGACTTTTTGTGTCTCTATCTCTTTCAGTTCTGCTCTGATCTTAGTTATTTCTTGCCTTCTGCTAGCTTTTGAATGTGTTTGCTCTTGCTTCTCTAGTTCTTTTAATTGTGATGTTAGGGTGTCGATTTTAGATCTTTCCTGCTTTCTTTTTTGGGCATTTAGTGCTATAAATTTCCCTCTAGACACTGCTTTAAATGTGTCCAGATATTCTGGTACATTGTGTCTTTGTTCTCATTGGTTTCAGAGAACATCTTTGTTTCTGCCTTTATTTCATTATTTACCCAGTAGTCATTCAGGAGCAGGTTGCTCAGTATCCATGTAATTGTGCAGTTTTGAGTGAATTTCTTAATCCTGCGTTCTAATTTGATTGCACTGTGGTCTGAGAGACAGCTTGTTGTGATTTCTGTTCTTTTACATTTGCTGAGGAGTGCTTTACTTCCAATTATGTGGTCAATTTTAGAGTAAGTGCGATGTGGTGCTGAGGAGAATGTATATTCTGTTGATTTGGGGAGGAGAGTTCTGTAGATGTCTATTAGGTCTGCTTGGTCCAGGGCTGAGTTCAAGTCCTGGATATCCTTGTTAACCTTCTGTCTCATTGATCTAATATTGACAGTGGGGTGTTAAAGTCTCCCATTATTATTGTGTGGGAGTCTAAGTCTCTTTTTAGGTCTCTAAGAACTTGCTTTATGAATCTGGGTGCTCCTGTATTGGGTGCATATATATTTAGGATAGTTAGCTCTTCTTGTTGCATTGATCCCTTTACCATTATGTGATGGCCTTCTTTGTCTCTTTTGATCTTTGTTGGTTTCAAGTCTATTTTATCAGAGACTAGGATTGCAACCCCTGCTTCTTTTTTTTTTTTTTTTTTTTGCTTTCCATTTGCTTGGTAGATCTTCCTCCATCCATGTATTTTTGAGCCTATGTGTGTCTCTGCACGTGAGATGGGTTTCCTGAATATAGGACAGTGATAGGTCTTGACTCTTTATCCAATTTGCCAGTCTGTGTCTTTTAATTGGGGCATTTAGCCCATTTACATTTAAGGTTAATATTGTTATCGGTGAATTTGATCCTGTCATTATGATGTTAGCTGGTTATTTTGCCTGTTAATTGATGCAGTTTCTTCCTAGCATCAATGGTCTTTACAATTTGGCATGTTTTTGCAGTGGCTGGTACTGGTTGATTCTTTCCATGTTTAGTGCTTCCTTCAGGAGCTCTTGTAAGGCAGACCTGGTGATGAAAAAATTTCTCAGCATTTGCTTGTCTGTAAAGGATTTTATTTCTCCTTCACTTATGAAGCTTGGATATGAAATTCTGGGTTGAAAATTCTTTTCTTTTTTTGTATTATTATTATACTTTAAGTTTTAGGGTACATGTGCACGATGTGCAGGTTAGTTACATATGTATACATGTGCCATGCTGGTGTGCTGCACCCATTAACTCGTCATTTAGCATTAGGTATATCTCCTAATGCTATCTCTCCCCCCTCCCCCCACCCCACAACAGTCCCCAGAGTGTGATGTTCCCCTTCCTGTGTCCATGTGTTCTCATTGTTCAATTCCCATCTATGAGTGAGAACATGCAGTGTTTGGTTTTTTGTCCTTGCGATAGTTTACTGAGAATGATGATTTCCATTTTCATCCATGTCCCTACAAAAGACATGAACTCATCATTTTTTATGGCTGCATAGTATTCCATGGTGTATATGTGCCACATTTTCTTAATCCAGTCTATCATTGTTGGACATTTGGGTTGGTTCCAAGTCTTTGCTATTGTGAATAGTGCCGCAATAAACATACGTGTGCATGTGTCTTTATAGCAGCATGATTTATAGTCCTTTGGGTATATACCCAGTAATGGGATGACCTGACACACTTCCCAAAACAGGTCTAAAATCCCATATCAGAAATCCTTGGAGCCAGATGCATTTCAGAACTTAGAATTTTCCAATCTTAGAGAGAACTGGAGTGCATATACTTTATACTCTGTAATCCCCAATAGGGGTCTGAGCTAGCATCTCATAATTAAACAGCCTAGTAGTTCTGCAGAGAACTGCATGAATATTCACACCAAGTATGATAAAGACTATAAAGAGGCCAGCATCAGCTCAGGTCAGGTTTTGCAACCAAAAAAGTTTCTTGCAAACAAACAGAAAACTTCAGAATCTGGAGATTTTTGGACTTCATAATGGCAGATAGGGGACTGTGACCTATGATGAATGAAGGTGTGTCCCCTCCTCCAGGCTGCTATGGGGTGTTTGGATTTGTGTCTCACTAATATTTTCTGAGCACTCACCATATGGGCACTGTTCTAAGCTTGTTTACATGAGTTGTCTCCTTTAGTTCTCAGAAGTAGATCAAAATAAGGCCTAGAGTGGAAAAGTAAGTAACCTAAAAAGTTGAACTGGAATTTAGCCTTCAGTATCTGCGATTGGCTGATAGAAGTTTCCCAGCCAGTGGGGCATTCCCAGTGTTTTTTTCCCTTCTTCCTCGACTTTTTATTTTTTGGTTACTCTTTTTTTTTTTTTTTTTTTTAAGAGACAGGGTCTTTGTCACCCAGGCTGGAGAGCAGTGGTACGATCATAGCTCACTGCAGCCTTGAACTTCTGGGCTCAAGTGATCCTCCCACCTCAGCTTCCCAAGTAGCTAGGACCACAGGCTTGCACCACCATTCCCAGCTAATTTTTGGTAAAGATGGGGTCTCACTATATTGTGCAGGCTGGGGTCTCAAACTCAAGCAATCTTCCTGCCTTGGCCTCCCAAAGTGCTGGGATTATAGGCATGAGCCACCATGCCCAGCCACAATCATACTTTCATGACAAGGTGTATTAGTCTATTTTCACGCTGCTGATAAAGACATACCCAAGGCTGGGCAATTTACAAAAGGAAGAGGTTTTTTGGACTTACAGTTCCACATGGCTGGGGAAGCCTCACAATCATGGTGGAAGGCAAGGATGAGCAAGTCACATCTTATGTGAATAGCAGCAGGCAAAAAGAGGGCTTGTGCAGAGAAACTCCTGTTTTTAAAACCATCAGATCTCACGAGACCCATTCACTATCACAAGAACAGCAAAGGAAAGACCCACCCCTATGATTCGATCATCTCCCACTGGGTCCCTCCCACAACATATGGGAATTATGGGAGGTACAAGATAAGATTTGGGTGGGAACACAGAGCCAAATCATATCATTTGGCCCCAGACCCTCCCAAATCTCATATCTTCACATTTCAAAATCATTCATGCCTTCACAACAGTCCCCCAAAGTCTCATTTCAGCATTAACTCAAAAGTCCGCAGTCCAAAGTCTCATCTTAGACAAGGCAAGTCCCTTCCACCTATAAGCCTGTACAATCAAAAGCAAGTTAGTTACTTCCTAGATACAGTGGGGTTACAGGCACTGGGTAAATACAGCCATTCCAAATGGGAGAAACTGGCCAAAACAAAGGGGCTACAGGCCCCATGCAAGTCCGAAATCCAGCAGGGCAGTCAAATTTTAAAGCTCCAAAATGATCTCCTTTGACTCCATGTCATGCTGGTGTAAGAGGTGGGTTTCTATGGTCTTGGACAGCTCTGCCCCTATGGCTTTGCAGGGTACAGCCTCCCTCCTGGCTGCCTTCATGGGCAGGTGGTGAGTGTCTGTGGCTTTTCCAGGTGCATGGTAGAAGCTGTCAGTGGATCTACCATTCTGGGGTCTGGAAGATGGTGGCCCTCTTCTCACAGCTCCACTAGGCAGTGCTCCAGTAGGGACTGTGTCAGGGCTCCCAACCCACATTTCCCTTCTGGACTGCTCTAGCAGAAGTTCTCCATAAGGGCGCTGCTCCTGCAGCAAACTTCTGCCTGGACATCTAGGTGTTTCCATACATCCTCTGAAATCTAGGCAGAAGTTCCCAAACCCCAGTTCTTGACTTGTGTGCTCTTGTGGGCTCAATGCCGCATGGAAGCCACCAAGGCTTGGGGCTTGCACCCTCTGAAGCCATGGCCCAAGCTCTATGTAGGCCCCTTTCAGCCATGGCTGGAGCAGCTGGGATGTGAGGCACCAAGTCCCTAGGCTGCACACAGCATGGGGACCCTGGACCCAGCCCACGAAACCACTTTTTTCTCCTAGGCCTCGAGGCCTGTGACGGGAGAGGCTGCTGTGAAGACCTCTGACATGTCCTGGAGACATTTTCCCCATTGTCTTGGGGATTAACATTCAGCTCCTTTTTACTTACACAAATTTCTACAGCCAGCTTGAATATCTCCTCAGAAAATGGGATTTTCTTTTCTATCACATTGTTGGGCTGCAAATTTTCCTAACTTTTATGCTCTGCTTCCCTTATAAAACTTTATAAAACTGAATGCCTTTAACAGCACCCAAGTCACCTGTTGAATGCTTTGCTGCTTAGAAATTTCTTCTGCCAGATACCCTAAATCATCTCTCTCAAGTTCAAAGTTCCACAAACCTCTAGGGCAGGGGCAAAATGCCACCAGTCTTTTTGCTAAAACATAACAAGAGTCACCTTAGCTCCAGTTCCCAACAAGTTCCTCATCTCATCTGAGACCACCTCAGCCTGGACCTTATTGTTCATATCACTATCAACATTTTTGTCCAAGCCATTCAACAAGTCTCTGGGGAGTTCCAAACTTTCTCACATTTTACTGTCTTCTACTGAGCCCTCCAAACTGTTCCAACCTCTGCTGTTGCCCAATTCCAAAGTCATTTCCACATTTTTGGATATCTTTTCAGCAGCACCCCACTCTACTGGTACCAACTTACTCTATTAGTCTGTTTTCACACTGCTGATAAAGACATACCCAAGACTGAGCAATTTACAAAGGAAAGAGGTTCAATGGAGAACTCACAGTTCCACGTGAGTGGGGAAGCCTCACAATCATGGTGGAAACAAAGGAGGAACAAGTCACATCTTACGTGAATGGCAGCAGGCAAAAAGAGAGCTTGTGCAGAGAAACTCCTGTGTTTAAAACCATCAGATCTCATGAGACCCATTCACTATCACAAGAACAGCATGGGAAAGACCTATCCTGTGATTCGATCATCTCCCACCCAGTACCTCCCACAACACATGGGAATTATGGGAGCTACAAGATGAGATTTGGGTGGGGACACAGAGCCAAACCATATCACAAGGACATTAAGTTCTTCAAGAAGTTTTAAGGATATAGCAGAGTCAGCTTCTAGCAACAGTAACAGCAAACACTTATATAGGACATACCAACACAATTTCTAGGGAGGTAAACAGAATCCTACTTTGATTAAAGCTTGGACAAAGACAATGAAGAGGCGACTCCCAGGACCTCAGGTGGTTAGATCAGGAGACTCTTAGCTCAGTTTTGCAAACAGAGGGCCTCCTTTGGTTTTCCCAGTCCATCAATCCCATTTGAGTCAATGCTTGTTAGGGAGCACCAGCCATGTGCAAGGCACCGTGCAGGATGCATTGGAGCTGGAGGCCAGGGAGTGGATGGAAAGGTAAAGAAGGGCACTCCAGACCTAAGACATTGCATCGTGTGTTTAGAGAAGGCAGAGTGGTCAGCAAGGCCAGAGCTGAGCTCACAGGCAGGTGATGGAAAACAAGGGGCTGCAAAAAGAGTCCAGGACTGACACTGACATGCTCCAAATGCCAACCGAGGGATGTGTGCCTTAGCCCCATGGTTCTGGAAACCCCCAGAACGCTATGGACAGAGGTTGCCCCATGGACACTGGAGATCCTGTCTTGCTCACAGCCATCTCCCTCGTGCCTGGAACAGTACCTGGCACGTTTATTGATGGAAGTAAAGAATAAACGAATGATTTACATTGGAGAACATACTTAAATGTAGAGCCTGTGGAAGGACTAAAGACAGGAGGACCCCATTAGGAACTCACAGCAATATGGAATCCAGGAGGCAGAGGTTCCAGTGAAACGAGATCGCCCCACTGCACTCTAGCCTGTGTGACAGAGCGAGACTCCATCTCAAAAAAAAAAAAAAAAAAAAAAAAAAAAAAGAATTCACAGCAATCATCCAGGTGAGAATTGACCAGGGAAATCAGTGGTGATGGGTACAGAGAGAAGAGCACACAATCAATCAACAGTGAGGGTGGGCACAATAGGACTTATAGACTAATGGGATACAGTGTACAGAGGACAAGAGGTGTTAAAGACACCTGGCCAGTATCCTGATGAATGAGGGAGAGGGGAATGGGCTGCTTGGGAGAAGAAACCTGTAGGGCTTGGAGATGTGAGATGCTCCAGGCCCACCCTGGAGAACAGCATGTGCATCCTCCACCGAGCAGATGTTGTGGGGAGGAGCTAGCGCGGGTGGTGAGAAGCAAATAGCGTGGAAAGTAAGAAAGAGCATGGTTACTGCAGCCTCCTGCAGAGAGCTGACAGCCTCCCTGCAGCTCTTTTCTCTGCTCACCAGGCCATGTAGCCCCTTACTCAGGGACACAGCCCTAGAGACAGAGGAGTGGCTGGATAACAGGAAGGGAAGCAGGGGTGCAAGGGAGTACAACTCGTGGTGGCAGGGTGTAGTGCCAAGCTGGGGCCTGTGGCAGCAGCTGAGGTGTCAGGGAACACAGAAGATGTGAGGACAGCCCATCTCACCAGTGGAAGCTCACAGGGAGGTTTTCAAGCCGCATCCGAGCTAGGGCTGGCAGGACCGAGGATGGATTCTATGTTTCATGGAGAGAGGACCAGGGTGGCTCCTTTCCCATGTATAGGCATATGTTTTAGGTTTGGGTGATGACATCATTATCTTGGTGTTCCCTACACCCTGTTCCAGAAATTTTGAGAAGCTGGGAGGAGCCAGGGACCTGCTCATGTCTGTGATACAGACCCCACCCCTAAACTGTCCTCTACAGATATACAGCCAGGGCAGGGGGCTCCAGGTGCCCAGGGGATGTGCTCAGGGTGATCCTCCAACAGCCAGCCCTCAGACGGCACATGGTTCCCAGGAAGGACTTTGAAAAGCTGAAATCTCAACCAGCCATGCAGGCTCCTTGGGAAGGATCCGTGCAAGGGTCCACAGGTCCACCCTCCCCAGGCTCACAGAGAAGGCCCAGGCTGAAGGGTGGACCACATGTTTCACTCGCACAGGACTATAGCTTTGGGTTTGAAAGGGACACACTTATTGAGTACCTACTATGTGCCAAGCTCTGTACTAGACACTGGGGATACAAAGATAAATGTGACATAGTCCCTGCCTTCAAGGAGTTCGCAGTTCATTGGAAAAAACTGACATAAAATCAAATAATTAGAATGCGTAAGGCCATTCTAAGGATTAAATGTAATTAATTGTAGTTAAGTGGGAGACAACACTAAGTCATTTAATCCTCACACGAACAGCCTGGGAGAGGTGGTGTTGGCCCATTTTACAGGTGAAGAAAGTGAGGTTACATTGGTGAAATCACTTGCCTCAGGTCATACAACTAGGGAGAGACACTGCCGGCGGAGTGCGGGAGCACCACACAGCCTGGTGAGAGTCACTTCTGGGCCTCTCTTCCCAGCTGTTTGCTCTGTGGTATCTCACTGGTGGCTTGAAACCTACCAACAGATGGGTCACAGAAATCAGCAAACACTACAAAGCAGGTGACAGCCTGGATTCAGATTCCAGTTTGAAACTAAAGACTCCCTCCAGTCTCCCCTAGAACATTCTCTGATTTGAACCACCCACTCCTTCTAAAAAGTCTGCCTCCCCAAGAGACTCACAGCAGCTTGCCCTGGACAAGACCAAAAAAGACAATGGATGTGGTCCGCCTTGGGAGTCCCCAAGGGCTGTGCAACAAAGTCAAGTCACCGTCCACCCTTCAGCTCTGAGCTAGAATCTCAGCAGACACATCTGGGCCAGGTAAGCCAGTGGGCCTGGGATGGGAGGGATAGAGTGGACCAAGAGGAAGAGGCGGCTGCGAGGGAGAGCGCGTTCATTTCTCTAGAACGCTCATCTGGAGAACGTGGTTAGTGTGATTAGTTGAGTAATCTCTGTCTCCCCCACCAGGTCCACAAGGACAAGGACTGTGGCTGGCTTCACTAACCACGGTAGTGCAAGCACCACACCTGGGCAGCAGGAAGCCCCGCACCAAGATTTGTTGAGTGAATGAATGAGGTAGTGAATGAAGCAGGAGGCCATAAACGCTGAGGGTGTACACCTGCCTCCCTCCCGCATCTCCTACCCACCCTATGAGGAGGGAGGGGAGGCAGCAGGAGAGCTGGGCTACCTGGGGTAGAGTCCAGGTTCTGCTACTTACTAGGTAACCTGTGCCTCTGCGTCCTCCGCTGTAAAACGGGGTCTGTGGGGTTGTCCTGAGAATTAAATGAGTTAACATTTGTAAAGTACCTGGCACGCAGTAAGCGCTATATGTGCTAAACAGATAAGGAAGATACCCCCGCCCCCCAACCCTCCACTCCCCAGATCACTCTGTGGGCAGAGACCGTTTTCTCCTCTGCTCTTCCAAGGTAACGGTTCAGCCCGTTCCACCCCGAAAGGGTTTCCCTGGGGAAAAGAACCACCGCCTTGTCAGAGCTCCGAGCGTCCTCCCCTTCCCCACACCCCGTCCCACCTCCAGCGTCCCCACCCACCCACCTCTGTCTCTCTGTAAGTGACCCTGAGCCTCGTCCAGCTCCGCCAGGCCCCCAGGCTCGCGGAAGGGGCCCCAGCAGCCCCGCTGCGGGCTGGGGGTCCGGGAAGCTGCAGGCTGGACGCACCGCCCCAGTCAGCGCCAAGGCCCGGCCCGCACGCCGCGGGCGCCACCCAGTGGCCATCTGCGGAATCGGCGGCGGAGGCGGCCTACAAGAGCCTGGAGGCCCAGAGGGCACCCGGGGTGACAAAAGGGAGAGAAGGTGGAAGGAAGGGCGTAACACCGAAGGGACTGCTAGTCTGTAGGTCATAGAGCAATTCATTCAGTCCAGGAACAGTGATCCGTGGGGAGGGCTGCACGGGCGCCGGTGCGCAGAGCCTGCAGGGGCCCTTTTCTCTCTGTGGGTTAGATATCCCCGGCCCCAGGTGACCCCTCCTGTAGGACAATCTCTGGCATGAGTCTGAGGTTCCTGCTCCTGGAATCCCTGGCTTCCCTGTGCCAAGCGCATTACACCCACAGCGCCACAGCTCTGGGCTGATGAGAAGACAAAGACGGGACTCTACACCCTGACGTTGGAGAAGCGCCTCGCTCCCTGGCTGAGGTCTCTGGGGAATAGCATTTGGCGGAGACTCCAGGTTCTAATCCCAGCTATGCCCTGACTCTACGTGTGCCCCAGCCCATCTGTGCCTCGATGTTCCCATCTGTGGAAAAATGATGATAAAAATAAAAAATCTACCCAACCTCCTTTCCGGAGGTGGGGGAGGTGAGGCTTGCACGAAATAATGCTGACGAAAGCATTTTGAAGACCAAAAACCATGGTATTCCAAGTTTCTGATCTGTGATAGCTTTAGTAACCAGGTGAATACAAGAAATTACAAATACACTTACTTAAAGAGTAAGCCCCTCAAGTTCTGACATTAAAAACTCAAACAGGAGACTTTTGTTTGGAGGGGAAAGAAAGGAGCATGCAGTTGAGATCCAAAAATACGAAGTTCCATATGGGAAATTTAAATGATCTTAAGGATTTTACTATATAAAATTTAGAAGGCAGCTCACTCTTCAGGAAACCAGTAGAACAGACATTACCATCCCCAAAGACATTTGGAGGACAAAGGAAAAGCCAAAAGTTAACTAGGATCCTACTTGATCTACTTCAAAAGCACAATCACAGAACCTCACAGTGACCTAGGACATCCCAACAGCCACCAGCATCTATTCAGAGTGCGCATGAACACCTCCACCTGCCCACTTGTACAGGGCTATTCCTTGTACAAGAACAAATCCACCTGCAGACCCCATTCTGATAGCCACAGCAGTGGAACCCAGGCCCCTGACTATTGGCCCAGTATCATAAGAATGAAGCTGTCCCCCATTTCAGAGTTCAGACCTGGAATCTCAAGGCAGGATGAGAATTGACCCCAGAGTGAGGGAGAGAGGCACCCCTGACCCAACCTCTACCCCCGAAACAGAGCAGCGAGCCAAACAGCATTCCCTCACTGACTGGGTACCATGGGTAGCAGCTGCGGGGAAAGCGAGACCACCTGCTTCAGGAGAGAGGATTGGGGCAAGCTGAGCAGGGGCCCAGCACCTGGCAGGGCAGACCCGAATGAGGGATTTCAGCTCCTTTGATTAACACATCTCCTCAAAGTCCTTTTTATTTTTTTTATTTATTTATTTATTTATTTATTTATTTATTTATTTTGAGATGGAGTCTCACTCTGTAGCCAGGCTGGAGTGCAGTGGCGCGATCTCAGCTCACTGCAACCTCCGCCTCCCGGGTTCACACCATTCTCCTGCCTCAGCCTCTCAAGTAGCTGGGACTACAGGTGCATGCCACCACGCCAGGCAAATTTTTTATTTTTTGTAGAAACGGGGTTTCGCCATGTTGGCCAGGATGGTCTCGATCTCTTGACCTCGTGATCTGCCCACCTCAGCCTTCCAAAGTGCTGGGATTACAGGCGTGAGCCACCTCACCCAGCCCCAAAAGTCCTTTTTGACATGCAGGGTCCTATGCAGATCCTAGCAGCCTCCTCCTCCTCCCTTCCCCCTCTCTTACTGTCTTCCTTCTAAGTAGAGAGGGTCACATACACCATCACAGCCTGTGTACTTCTGCTTCACCGTGTTTTTTCCCCAGTTTGTTCTGTTTCTCAGGCTTTTCTTCCCCCTTACATCACATGGTGCCACACAATATCTGTTTCCTCTGTGGTCCTCCAGAGTGCCAGAATCTCTGGGAGTGAGCTTTGACAGACATCTCCTCTGAGTTCTCCAGGCCCCGTGGGTTGTTGGATTTTACTGAGCTCCACTGTCTAAGTGCACTCGCACAGAGGCAGGCAGAGGGATGAGATGCCTAGCAGCCAAGTGGACAGCACTCTGATGTCAATTCTCACCCTGTTTAGAAGTTCCACGTCCTGGATTCTGAGGTGAGGGGCAGACCCAGTCTCATGGTAGCAGTATTGACTTCAAATTAATTCAACAATTCCCTGTTGCTCTTACTCTGGCTTCAGCACTGTGCTGGGTATTGGGGGATTTCAAAGGCAGGATGAGAAGATCTCAAGACTCCCTCACCTCGCCTTTCATTCTGACCCAAGGAAGAAGAGCACTCATCTGGTTGGTCAGATTTCAGGACATTGACATATTTGAAGTGGGTGTAGTCACTATGCATAAAAGATAAGCTGAGGACGTAGCTGCAGAGGTTCTCTGTTCACCCAGCAGATGCACTTCACTGGCCCAGGCTGAGGCATTGTCCTTGTCCTTCCATGTGGCTGGCCAGAGAACAAGAAGAGCAGAGATTTGGGGAGAGGAAGGCCCCCATACTCAGCCCAGCTAACCCCAGTTCACTGCATGGGGTTTATGGTCCAAGCCCAGCTACGAGTAAAGGTGATTCTGCTTCCTCCTCTGTTCTTCCTCTAGGGCTCCCTTTGGGACTTTGCAGGCAGTGGTTGCTAGAGTCTAGGTCTGCCTGGATGCCCTAGCCCTTACACATGGCTTAGCACCTCAGTACTGCCAATAGCTTTGATAAGGAGCCATCACCCTCCAGCTCAACAGGGAGGCTAGCGCAGTGCTGAGGGAGGAGGGAAGAGCTAGAATATGATTTCATCAGGGAGTTGGGAAAGGCTTCACAGAGACAGCAGAGTTTAACACTGGCCTTGAAAGACACATAGGATTCCATAGAAATTTGGAGGCAAAATTGACAAATGGGATCTAATTAAACTAAAGAGCTTCTGCACAGCAAAAGTAACTATCATCAGAGTGAACAGGCAGCCTACAGAATGGGAGAAAACTTTTGCAATCTATCCATCTGACAAAGGGCTAATATCCAGAATCTACAAGGAACTTAAACAAATTTTCAAGGAAAAAACAAACAACCCCATCAAAAAGTGGGCAAAGGATATGAACAGACACTTCTCAAAAGAAGACATTTATGCAGCCAACAAACATGAAAAAAAGCTCATCATCACTGGTCATTAGAGAAATGCAAATCAAAACCACAATGAGACACCATCTCACACCAGTTAGAATGGCAATCATTAAAAAGTCAGGAAAAAACAGATGCTGGAGAGGATGTGGAGAAATAGGAACACTTTTACACTGTTGGTGGGAGTGTAAATTAGTTCGATTGTGGAAGACAGTGTGGCGATTCCTCAAGGATCTAGAGTCAGAAATACCATTTGAACCAGCAATCCCATTACTAGGTATATTCCCAAAGGATTATAAATCATTCTACTATATAAAGACACATGCACACGTATGTTTACTGCAGCACTATTCACAATAGCAAAGACTTGGAACCAACCCAAATGCCCATCAATGATAGACTGGGTTAAAGAAAATGTGGCATATATATACCATGAAATACTATGCAGCCATAAAAAAGAATGAGTTCATGTCCTTTGCAGGGACATGGATGAAGCTGGAAACCATCATTCTCAGCAAACTAACAGAGGAACAGGAAACCAAACACCACATGTTCTCACTCATACATGGGAGTTGAACAATGAGAACACGTGGACACAGGGAGGGGAACGTTACACACCAGGGCCTGTCGGGGGGTAGGGGGCAAGGGGAGAGATAGATTAGGAGAAATACCTAATGTAGATGATGGGTTGATGGGTGCAGCAAACCACCATGACACATGTATATCTATGTAACAAACCCAGGAGTTCAAGGTTACAGTGAGCTGTGATTGTGACACTGCACTTCAGGCTGGGTGACAATGAGACCCCATCTCTTAAAAAAAAAAAGAAGAAGTTTTCACCTAATTTAGTAGATACCTGGGAGCCGCTGAAATCTATTGAGCAGAGGAAGGATCTGAGCGCTAAAAGGATGACTCTGGCAGAAGTGTGCAGGATAAATTGGAGCCAAACAAGGGGTGGGAGGACCAGTTAGGAGACAGAGACAGCAACCCAGGCAAGCAGAACGTGAGGGTGGAGTGGTGGTGCTAGACCAGAGGCCCCAGCTGGAGTGAGCATGGAACCTGGAGGGCTTCATCCCAAGGAAGAGACAAGCTGGACTGTGGAGGATTGCTCTAACGGCTCCAGGACAATGAGGGTGCCCACCAGAGAACCTGGGAAGATGGGGAAGGTGGCGCTGGTTTGCAGAAAGATGAGCCTGGCCACCTGCCCTGGACCTCTCCACCTCACCTACTACCACTGCTCCCAGAATACACCTGCAGTGGTGTCCCTGGGCTGCTATTGTCAAGAGCTGGAATATCCTTCCCCCAACTCCCATCCCCTTCCTCACCAGGCTGTCTCTCACTTATTCTTCAATTCTCAGCTCCAGCATTGCCTCCTCCTGGAAGCAGCCCCTGAGTCCCACAGTCAGACTTAGTCAAATGCCCTTCTTCTTCCCCAGTACAGCTTCTTACTCACCTCCATCCTAACACTTGTGCTAGGTGAACTGCAGTTACTGGTTCACTTCTGTTTCCCTAATCTTCCCAAAGCCTTTTGAAGACAGGTGTTTAGTTTATCCAACATGTATGCAACAATATTTATTGAGCACCTACTATGTTCTAACTCCCAGGTGCTGAGAACTCGCTGTGGAGCAAGGAATGCTTGGTCCGGTGGAGGAAGGAGGTGGCCATTTGAACTGATGCAGGGCTAACTCTTCTTTGACTCTTTATTCTTCACACTAGCAAGGCCTGGCACAGAGAAGACTCTAAATAAATGGTGGTGGAGTAAAAGGAGGACATAATGATTGGGATGTGTTGCAGGACATCCAGAAAGCAACTAGGAACAGAGGGCTGGAGTTCAGGAGAGGTGACCGCAGAGGGATATTTTTGGAATTCTGCCCTGCTCATCTGTAAGTTCATGTGAGTTGCATTAAACCTGATGTGGAGAGTGCGTGGGGGTCTCGGAGCCTAAAGGAAATATGAAGAAAATGAGCAAGCTCCCATCCGCATTGCCTCTGCACTCCCAGCACTGCTTTTGCATGAATAGGGGACAGACACATCCCTGGCACAGGGAGGCTGTTCCCACTTAGAGCACATCTGTTGAAGGAATGAGGACACCAAGTCTGCCTGCACCCTAAGGCCAAACATCAGCTGGGCATCCAACACTTACACTACCAAAAGCTGCTGTCCAAGGAAGCAAGAGAGACTGGGGAAAAGCGCAGCTGCCTGCATGCAGTGTCCCAGCAGCAAATCATGTCTGCAGGCTCTAGACCCACCAATGATTTTTCTTCTCTTCCTAATTCAATGCAAGGTTTCAGCTCCATCTGAGTGCCTGTGGCACTGAGAAAATTAAAGGTAGACTTAATTGATCCCAAATGATCTTGGCTCACTGCAACCTCTGCCTCCCGGGTTCAAGTGATTCTCCTGTCTCAGCCTCTCAAGTAGATCTTCATGCAAAGCGACATTGAAAATGGAAAGACCCTATTCTGGGCATCATTTCTGCTGGTCCTAAAAAAGGGTTATCCAAATCCCCACTCAAGAGCTCCCCTTATGGCTCCCTGGTGGAAGCCAGCCCAGGTGAGGGCTCCTTCACTCTCCCACAACTCTAAAATGCAGTGTATAAGTTCTTGTGGACAAATTGCCATTAGGAACAGCTTCCAGCTGTCAGAAAACACTTGCAAGTAAACAACCCCATCCCAGTCAAACTGTATGACTTAGCTTTGGAGGTTTCTGAACTTCTGAGCCCTTTTGCCATCCCAGCCCCACCCCTATAGTGCCTATGACCTTCAGCTCCTCCTCCGATGAAGATTCTAGACTGAAAGCTCCATGAGGAAGGGGCCGTGCCATGGTTCACTATCACAGTATCTAGTACATCTCCTGGAACATAGTAGGCCCTTGCTAAGGATTTGCTTTGCGGATTCAAACCTCTCTTGTATAAGATACAAAGATGTATAGGAGGCCGGGTGTGGTGGCTTACACCTGTAATCCCGGCACTTTGGGAGGCCAAGGTGGATGGATCACCTGAGGTCAGGAGTTTGAGACCAGCCTGGCCAACATGGTGAAATCTCATCTCTACTAAAAATACAAAAACTAGCTGGGTGTGCTCGTGCACACCTGCAATCCCAGCTACTTGAGAGGCCGAGGCAGGAGAATCGCTTGAACCCGGGAAGCGGAGGTTGCAGTGAGCCAAGATCATGCCATTGCACTCCATCCTGGGCAAGAAGAGCGAAACTCCATCTCAAAAAAAAAGATGTATAGGATACGTTTCCCACCTTCGGACCCATCCTCCTTCTTAGGACACAGTCTAGAGAGGGTGGCTGAGGTCTCTTCCCACCAACAGTCCTTTCGCCAGATGTGCCAGGGCTGGCCAGCCCCAGCAGTGAGACGCACTCCTGGGTGGCACCAGGGTCAGAAGAGCACCGGTCTAGCCACAGTGGCTCCTTTAGTCCTCCACTCAGGACCCTTCCTCTGAGCCTACAAATAATGCAGGCTGGCCTCTCCCATTCTCGACCCTCATTTTCCCCCATCAGCCCAGCGCTCCCTGTTCCCTCTAGGATGCTTCCAGGAATATACAGCACCGTTTCAGAGAGGATTGAATTGCATGGCTTCTTGAGCAACCTGGAACACTTGAGCCAGCCAAATTTCTGCTTTATTTCAGACCACCAGGTATAACAGCAGAATTCTTCATCCTGATTAGAAAGGTGTTAGTGTGCAGTCCATAGAGAGAGAGACATCATGGTTAAGAGGCAGGTTCAAGAGCCTGGATACCTCAACTCCATCCTGGCTGTGCCACTTACTTTCTGGTGGTGGTGGGGAAAGTGCTTCATCTCTGTTTTCTCACCTCTAAAATGAGGCTGATATTAATAGTTCCTACCTCACCGGGATGTTATGAAGGTTAAATGAGATCATCCATCTGAAGCACTTAGAAAAGTGTGTATGCAATACAAACCTTCATTATTATCCGTATTTACAGTTTACAGAGGGCCCCACCAGAAGTGTTAACTCTAATTTACAAATATAAGAGGGTGCACACACACTGGCTCCCTTTTCTCAATTTAGGATAGCACTTTCCACTTCACCTTTCTATCTCCAGGAGGCTCTTCTCTGCCCCCTCATGGAAACACTTCCACCAAATCCCACTGCCTCTCCCCCAGCCCACAAAACTGATCATTTCCCATGCCCTCCTGGCCGCTCCGTATTAATCAGCACAGCCTGTTTCAGATGTCCCCCAAAACTTAGTGGCTCAACACAACAAAGGTGAGTTTTGCCTTCAGAGTCCAATACGAGTTGAGTGTAGCAGACATTCTGCTCCACTAAGGCATTCGGGACCTGGGCTCCTCCCAAGTAGCTCCACTGTCTTTCAGGGCCTTGGAGTACCACCCTGGGTCCCCTGCATCCAACAAGCAGACGGGAAGAAAACAGGGGGAGGATGGTATGGCAGGTTTTAGGACCGAGCCAGGCAGGGCTGCTCATCCCTTTAGCCCACGTTCCACAGGCCAGAAAACCAGCCCCATTGTTAGCAGCAGTGAATCTGCAGGGGTGCGCAGCAACTTGATTCTTGCCCTCTCAGAGGAAAGAATTCGGCTGCGGGGGCAGAAGTAGTTTTAAGGCAGAGGGAGAGACCGAGGCAAGTTTTAGAGCAGGAGTGAAAGTTTATTAAAAAGTTTTAGAGCAGGAACAAATGGAAGTAAATACACTTGGAAGGGGGCCAAGCAGGTGACTTGAGAGATCCAAGTGTGCCATTCAGCCCTTGACTTGGGGTTTTATATGCTAGCACAGTTCCAGGGCTTCTGTTTCTCCTCCCTTGATTCTTCCCTAGGGGCGGGCTGTCCAGGGCTGTCCACTTGTGTGGTGGCCTGCGGGCACTTGGGAGGGGCCACATGCACAGCATGTTTACTGAAGTTGTGCACATGCTCATTTGAGGCATTTCTCCCCTTACCAGTAGAGTGTTCCTAGAGGAAGGTCATATACAGGTTAAACTCTGTCATTTTGCCTCTTAGTGCCCAGGCTAGAGCCCACTTGCCCAGCTCCTGAGATCTTACCAGGAAGCGGCTGCTCACCAGCTTCAGGTGTTTTCTATTAGGAGTCTTCCTTTCCTTGGTGCCAGCTATGCCCTATTATTATTTTAGACTGACAGTTAACAACTGCCTGACCATCACCTGATGGTTGCCTGACATTCCTGTGGGCGGGGGGGGGGTGGGGAGTCCTCTCCTGTCCTGCTCATGTCTGCTTAGCTACCTACTCTAACACTATGACTCCACCTTACAGTAGTGGAAGCTCAGAAAGATAGCCTTTCCAGCCGGGTGCAGTGGCTCACGCCTGTAATCCTAGCACTTTGGGAGGCCAAGGCGGGCAGAGTTCAGGAGTTTAAGACAAGCCTGGCCAACATGGTGAAACCCTGTCTCTACTAAAATACAAAAATTAGCCAGGCATGATGGCAGGTGCCTATAATCCCAGCTACCTGGGAGGCTGAGACGGGAGAATCGCTTGAACCCAGGAGACAGTGGGTGCAGTGAGCTGAGATCATGCCACTGTACTCCAGCCTGAGTGGCTGAGCGAGCCTCCGTCTTAAAAAAAAAAAAAAAAAAAAAAAAAAAAAAAAAAAAGATAGCCTTTCCATGTGTCCAGGAGGGGAATCAAACCTGTTTGATGAACATATTGTATTTTTTCTGCTACCTGCTCCTGAAGCAGAGGCTTTTCTGGGAGAAAACTTGAATCTATTCTCTTCAGGCCATTCTCTTAGAAAATAGGCCCAAAGTGATACTCCATGTTTCCCTGCAAATCCTGTAGCAGACGATGTCTCATCATCAAATCCTGCAGGCAGACATGGGAGAAAGAAGGTGGTCTTCGGGAGAGACGGAGCTGGTGCTGCTCTCAGCTCTGCCACTCCTTGGCAGCTCAGCTTCCTCCTTTGCAGGATGGAAGTGGGGGCATGGAGGACTTTGAGCATTGGTGACTACATATATGAAGAGTGGCCAGGGATATTACTGTCCTTGGCCCTGCTTCCCTGTTCTCCCGTCCCCCAACCACCTCACACCACCCCACACCACCTGTCCAGAGTCAGGGCTGCCGGGACAGGCACAGTTCTTCTGGCTGCCCGGGTGGTCTGTTTTCAGCCAGTCAACCCCGCTGACAGGGCAGAAACAATGGGGAAGGGGAATGAGGATCAGGACAGCCTGCGAATGTAATTAAGCGAAAGGAAATCTGAAAACCCAAATCCCTCTCCCGCCCCAACCGATGCCAGCTTGATCTTTTTTGTTTCTGGACCCCACCCCCAATGCACGCCCCCACACTTCATGCTCAGCTGATCCAGATGGTCTGTGGATGCTGAGAGCCAAACAGTGTGGGGAATTGGTTGTTTCATAAGCTCCTACAGACTCTGTCACTAATTGTAAACCCATTTGGGACACATTCTGAAACAAGAGGCTTTTCACTAACCTCTAGTTCCTAAACAAACAAACACAAATCAGGGTTCATGCTTTCTCTCATTCTACCCTTCCCCAGGCTCCTCCTCACCTTGCTTTAAAACAATTACTTGGGAAACAAAGGGCAACACCCACTTTGTGCGCCCCTGGTAATACCGCAGTCACCTACCAGCTCTGGAAGCAAGAGAGTCATTGTTCTCCTAGCAACACGCACTGCCCCAGCTGCACGTGTTTGGTGCTTGGATTACACCAGCCAGCAGCGGGGGTGTGCATGTTGCTAGGAGAACTTGAACTTGATTCTAAATTTGCAACCTCTCCTCACTGCCACAGCTTTCTTTCAGCTGCAAACAGACACAACTCAACTGCAGAATCCACAACACTGGGCCCAACGGGGAAATCCCCAGCCTCAGATAAGACCAGTGTGCTTTCATCCTTTTCTTTTCTCATGTCCTTCTTTCTTGAATTTCAGACAGATAACAACCACACAAATAAGCAAGAATTATGAAGATCCATTGTACAATATCGACTGAGCACGTCCTATTGCCGGCTGCTGTCCTGGTCACTTCAGACACAGCATGAAGGAAACAGACAAAAGATCTTCCCCTTAGAGAGCCTCCGTCTGGGGTAGGGAGGATGATAAGCAAATAAACACATCAGTATCAGTCGGGGTTCTCCAGACAAACAGAGCCAGGAGGAGCTAGATTAGCTCTAAATCTAGATGACATAGATGTGTGTATGTGTACATATTACATATATGTATAAAGGAATTTATTTCAGGAATTGGCTCATACAGTTGTGGAGGCTGGCAAGTCTGAGATCTGTGGAGCAGGCTAGCAGGCTGGAAACTCATGCAGGAACTGATGCTGCAGTCTTGGGGCAGAATTTCTTCTTGCATAGGGAAACGTCGGTTTTCCTCTTCAAACCTCTCCACTGATTAGATGAGGCCCACCAAGATATCAAGGGTAATCTCCTTTACTTAAAGACAACTGATCTTGTTTACCATATCTATAAAATACCTTCACAGCAACACTAGGTTAGTGTTTGCTTCAATAACTGGGTCTTGCCTGGGCGCGGTGGCTCCCACCTGTAATTCCAGCACTTTGGGAGGCAAAGGCGGGCAGATCACAAGGTCAGGAGATCGAGACCATCCTGGCTAACACAGTGAAACCCCGTCTCTACTAAAAAATAAAAAATAAAAAAATTAGCCAAGCATGGTGGCGGGCGCCTGTAGTCCCAGCTACTCAGGAGGCTGAGGCAGGAGAATGGCGTGAACCCAGGAGGCAGAGCTTGCAGTGAGCCGATATCGCGCCACTGCACACTAGCCTGGGCCACAAAGCGAGACTCCATCTCAAAAATAAAAATGAAAAAATAAAAAAAAATAACTGGATCTTATAGCTTAGCCAAGTTTGACACATAAAACCAAGCATGCCAAATGCATGTCCAATGTGTTGGGTAGTGATAAGTAAGTGCAATGGGAAAAAAGAAAGCAAGTGGAGAGGGACAGGGAGCCCCAGGCAGTGGGGCACAGGAGACATACCATGTGAGATATAATACGTCGTTCAATACAAACTTGAAAGAAAAATAAATGAACATACCTAGGCACTGCATTCAAAAAGCACAACAAAATCCTCACTTAGTGACAGATCTGCTTAATCATGACTCTGCAGCACTGGAATTGAGGACAGGAGAGAGGCCGTTTGCAGAGCTCTAATTAATAGCAGCACAGCCAAAGCAAGAAGCAAGTGTTTAGTCTCCGGTCTTGATGGATCTTCAGAAACAGATCCCTGTCTGCAACGGCCTCCTGGCTGAATTCCTGCTTCCACACTCGCCCCTCCCTCCACTACTCTGCTCCCACCCCTGACAGTGGTTGCAGGCACTTGGCCTCTTCTGCCCGCTGCCCCCCCACCCCATCCCTTCACCACCCCCTCCCACTGCAGCTGCAGTCCCGGTAGCCTCTTGCTGGTTCCCCAGCACTCCTTCTCACTTCTGCCCCAGGCCTTTGCTGCTCCTCCTCCACATCCTGGAAGGGTCTCCTCCCAGCCATGTGCCTGGCTCTCCCCACACATCCTCCTCAGAAAGGCCAGCCTTGACCACCCCATAAAATAGCACCCTCGTCATCACTCTCTGCCTCCTTAGCCCATCTTCTTGGTCTTCATAGTGTATATGTTAAATATCTATTTCTCTGTTGATTGTCTTCTCTCACTCTGTTGTTTTTTTAAAATTGTAGTAAAATTACATAAAATTTACCACTTTCAATTGCACAATTCAGTGACATTTAGCACATTCCCAGTGTTAGACAACCATCACCACTACCTAGTTCCAGAACACTTTCACCACCCTAAAGGAAACCCATACCCATTAAGCAGCCACTCCCCATTTCTCCCTCCTCCAAGCCCTGACAATCACCACTCTGCCTTCTGTCTCTGTGGCTTTGCCTATTCTGGGTATATTACATGAAAGGAATCATACAGTATATGGCCTTTTCTGGCTGACTTCTTTCACGCAGCATGATGTCTTCGAGGTTGGTCCATGCTGTAGCGTGGGGCAGTACTTCATTCCATCTATGGCTGAAGAGCATTCCATTGTGTGGGTGTGCCATGTTTTGTTTCTCCATTCATCCACTGAGGGACATTTGGGTTGTCTGCACCTTCTGCTATTGTGAATGATGCCACAGTGAACATACATGTGTGGTGTTTGTTTGAAGGGGACTCTGTCTTGATCATTTTGTGTCCCTGGCCTGTGAACGGACCTGCAGATTAACCTGTGGACAGCTTAATCTTCAGGCAAATGAATAAAAGGCAAAGTTCAGCATCTAATTTAATTTTCCCCAGGCCCCTTTATCAACCTTCTCTGCCACAGCAAGGACCAAGCCTTTGTATCCACACCTAACCAATATCCACACCCTGAGCCAAACCCATCCAGCAGAGCGGCAGGGGTCCAGCTAGGCTCCTCCCAGCTCCCTGCTTCCCAAAGGTAAGACATCCAGGCCATTGAGCCAAATGTGCCCTTTGGAATTCCCATACAGCCCCAGGATTCCCCCAAAACAAAGCACTTTTGTCCTCAGGTAAAGGCTGACTAGTAGGCTAATAAGACTTCGGATATTTCTTTGAATGGGATAAAATCTCAAATTTTATGATTAGAAATCAGACCCTAAGAAACATCCCTGGGACTCGTTTCCAAGGCTGCCATAACAAAGTACCACAAACCAGGTGGCTTAAAGCAACAGAAATTCATTTTCTCATTATTCTGGAGGCCAGAAGCCTGAAATCCAGGAGTCAGCAGGGCCACGCTCCCTCGGGAGGCTCTGGGGAAGAGTCCTTCCCTGCCTCTTCCAGCTCACAGTGGTTTCCAGCAATCCTTGGCCTTGTTCTTGGCATGCAGCTGCCTAATCCCACCTCCACCTCCATATTCACATGGCCTTCCTCCCTTGTATCTCACATCAGCTTTTTTTTTTTTTTTTTTTTTTGAGAGGGATTTTCACTCTGTCACCCAGACTGGAGTGCAGTGGCGCCATCTCAGCTCACTGCAACCTCTGCCTCCTGGGTTCAAGTGATTCTCTTGCCTCAGCCTCCTGAGTAGCTGGGATTACAGGTGCCCATCACCACGCTCAGATAATTTTTGTATTTTTAGTGGAAATGGGGTTTCATCATGTTGGCCAGGCTGGTCTTGAACTCCTGACCTCAGGTGATCCACCCGCCTCCCAAAGTGCTGGGATTACAGGCATGAGCCACCACACCCGGCCCACATTATCTTCTTAAAAGGACATCATTCATATGGGATTAAGGGCCCATCCTACTCCAGCGTGATTTCATCTTAACTAATTCATCTACAATGACCGTATTTCCAAATAAGGTCATATTCTGCAGTAGTTGGGGGTTAGGACTTCAACATATCTTTTCTGGAGACATAATTCATCACTTTGGAGAAGGGGTCATGGAATGCATAGCCTTGATTTTACTAAAGCGTAAATCATTGGTAAGGTATTGGGGAGGGCAGGGAGCTGTGTGCAAATAAAGAAGACCATGCACAGGCAGGGTTCCACTGATGAGGAGAAATGGGCAAGAAACAGGAGAATGGAACCTTCCTCTCTCTTCCTCTGTCTTCCTTGCAATTTAGCTGAGGGCCAAATCTGTACCTTGCAGCCAGCGCAGCTGCAGAACAGGGCAAGGAGGTATCTCAGGTCTCCTAGAGGGATCCTTGGAATGCACGGAGCAGCTCACTTCTCGCTCATAACCCTCCAAGAGCTCCCCTGTGAGCCCGGCTAATGCCCACAGGACCCCAGGCCATCTTCCCTCCACATTCCCGCTCCTATCCCTTCCCCACCTCTCACTCCACACCAGCCACATTGGGTTCCATCCTGTCCTTGAAAATGCCCAGTATGCTCCTGTCCTGGCACCTGTGTCCTCCTGGTCCCTATCCCTGGAATGTTCTTCCTTCCTTCAGAGATCTAAGTGGCTCAAACTGCATTCTATCTGGCCCTCCCTGCCCACCCTATCTCCCTTCCATCCTACCACTTTCTATGCCCCTCTCTTGCTCATTTTTTCCATAGCCCTTGCCACCACCTGATGTACATATATTTACCTACTTACTGTCAGTCTTCCTCCACTAGAATATGCACACGTGATAGAGGGAACATCGTGCTGTGCTCCTCATGGCCATATTCCTGGCCTCCCAGCAGCCTTGGCCTGTATTAGCTGGTCAGTGACCTATCATCAGATAAAGGAAGCTGCTGTGCCACACCAGGTGCTAGAGGAGCTCTGCAGCTGCTGGAGGGCCCCTGCACTGGGGCTAGTGTCCTGAGGGTCAGGGGAGGGGCGGCTGGGCTTTAGATCCCTTCCTGCCTTGGGCACAGGGAAGACCCCAACCCTACCTGGAAGGGCTGCTGTCCAGCAGGCCCCACACCGCCTCAGCAGGCCCCACACGGCCCCACACCTCCCAGAATTGCTTACCTCAGGCTGGGGAGGGAGTGGCCTTGGGTTCACCTGTTTTCTGGCTCTTCCTGGCAGCCTCTGCCGCTCCAGCCTGGGTGGTGGGGAGTCAGAGGGTCCATCTAGGCAGTGCATTTTCTGTTTCCTGCAGCTGCCGCAAAAAATCACCACAAACTCAGAGGTTTAAAATAACACAGTATTATTCTTACAGTCCTGGAGGTCAGAAGTCCAAAATAAGGCTAATGGGGCTAAAATCAAGGTATCAGCGGGGCTGGTTCCTTCCAAAGTGTGGGGAAGACAATCCATGGCCTGCCTTGGCCCCTCCTCCATCTCCAAAGCACAGCCCTCCAGTCTCTGCAAGCGCATCACTTCAGTCTGTGCTTCCCGGATCTTCCTGCCTTCTCCTCTGACTCTTGACTCCTGGGTCCCTCTGATGAGAACCTTTGTGATTACCTGGGGCCCATTTAGATAAGCCAGGCTAATCACCTCAAGATCCTTAACCGCATGGACAAAGTCCCTCTTGATATATGTTAACACTCCTAGTGCCAGGGATTAGGGCATAAACATATTTGGGGGCTGTTATTTAGCCTCCCTCAAGCAGGAAGGGGGCAGCCCTGCTCCCCAACCACTGTCAGGATGTTACTGGAAAGAAGTCCTGATCCAGACCCTAAGACAGGGCTCTTGGAGCTCACACAAGAAAGAATTTGGGGCAAGTTCACAGAGTAAATTGAAAGCAAGTTTATTTAAAAAGTAAAGGAATAGGCCAGGTGCAGTAGCTCACGCCTGATCCCAGCACTTTGGGAGGCCGAGGTGGATCACCAGAGGTCAGGAGTTTGAGACCAGCCTGGCCAACATGGTGAAAACCCATCTCTACTAAAAATACAAAAATTAGCCAGGCATGGTGGCTCATACCTGTAGTCCCAGTTACTCGGGAGGCTGAGGCAGGAGAATCGCTTAAACCCAGGAGGCAGAGGTCACAGTGAGCCGAGATCACACCACTGCACTCCAACCTAGGCAATAGAGTGAGACTGTCTCAAAAAAAAAAAAAAAGTGAAGGAATAAAAGGGTGGCTACTCCATAGGCAGAACCGCCCCGAGGGCTGCTACTGGCTATTTTTATTTCTTGATCATATGCTAAACAAGAGGTGGATTATTCATGAGTTTTCTGGGAAATGGGGCAGAGATTTCCCTAGGAACCGAGAGCTCCTCCCCATTTTAGACATACATGGTAACTTCTGGGCATTTGTAAACTGTCATGCACTGATGGGAGTGTCTTCAGCATGCTAACGCATTCTAATCAGCATATAATCAGCAGTGAGGGTAACCAGAGGTCACTTTTGTCACCATCTTGGTTCTGGCAAGTTTGGGCCAGCTTCTTTACCACATCCTGTTTTATCAGTGGGGTCTTTGTGACCTGCATCTTGTGACCTCCTGTCTCATCCTGTGACTGAGAATGCCTAACCTCCTGGGGATGCTGCCCCAGCAGCTCTCAGCCTCATTTCACCCAGCCCCTATTCAAGATGGAGTCACTCTGGTTCCAACGCCTTTGACAATGACGTGCCAGGCACCTGCCCCACCCTGCTGAGGTGGGACCTTGCCTCCCAGAGTCCTTCTATCAGCTCCTCCTCAACCCCAGCTTCAGATCCCCCAACACCCAACCCCAGGCTTTCCCACAGTTCCAGGACAGCTGCAGCCCCTGGTTACACCTTTTTGCTAAGGCTGAACCAGGGCTGGGCAGTCTCAGGAACTGGCGTCTCTGAGGCCGGGATGGTGGCACCTCCTTCAACTTTGCGGGGAGGGGTACAGAGACAAGGCAGGGATGAGAGCGGGATAGGTTAATGTCTCAAGGTCAGTTTCACACTTTTTTCTTCTGTTCTTTTGCCTCCTGCTTCCTCTCTTCCCCAGAAAACACCCTGGCTTTTCTCCCTCTAGTTCTCCATCCTCCCCTACCTTAGCTAGTGACACTCAGTGCATCCAGCACTTTCCATAGTCAGTGCATGGAGAAGGGCATTCACGGAGTCTATGCTGGGGCTCTCGCTCCCCCCACCCCACCCCACACATGGGAATCACATTCTGAATGATGTTCGATGGGAAAAGAGGCCAAGCACATGGACACTGCCCCACCTCAGCCCAGGGTGACCACAAGAGCTGCAGAGCCAGAAGGGCCACTCCCAGTGCCACCATCATCCCTGATGGCTGTGAGACTCACCCCCACAGAGACTCAGTTTTCTCTTCTATAAAATGGAGATCATCCCTTTCAGGATGACCGTCCCTACCTGTGGTCCCCAAACTACTGTCATAACTCACAAAATATCCATGATATGGAAGAATCGTTGTAACAGCAGAACAAGGAAGAAACAGAGATCATGGCTGCAAGAACCTTAGACTGCATGGGCACCTGGGGCCAGAGGTCAGGGGAACCTACAGCATCCAAGACCAAGCCTTAACCAGGGAAAGCACCAACTTTCACAATGGTTTTATACGCTGGAACAGCCCCCAGGCCCCTTCCATTGTCCCCCCTCAGGCCCCAGCACACCCCACAGGGCCAAAGAAGAGGTCCTCTAACCGCCCAAGGGGTTCACCTTGCCTCCTGCCTAAACAGAGCCAATTTATCAAGACAGGGGAATTGCAACAGAGAAAGAGTAATTCACGCAGAACCAGCTGTGCGGGAGATCAGAGTTTTAATATTACTCAAATCAGTCTTCTGGAAAACTCAGGGATCAGAGTTTTTAAGGATAATTTGGTGAGTCAGGGGCCAGTGAATCAGGAGTACTGATTGGTTGGCCAGGGGATGAAATCATAGGGAGTCAAAGCTGTTCTCTTCTGCTGAGTCAGTTCCTGGGTGGGGGCCCCAGAACTGGTTGGCAGGTCCAGGTGGGGCCATCCAGTTGTTAGAAATGTAAAAACCTGAAAAGACATCTCAAAAGGCAGATCTTGGGTTCACAATAGTGATGTTACCTTCAAGAGTAACTGGGGAAGTTGCAAATCTTACGACCTCTGGAATAATGGCTGGTAATAGTTAGAATTCTAGCCACTGTCATCTTGACTTCATAGCTGGTGGCCTTTCATTTGTTTTACAAGAACAGTTTAGCCTTTTGGGAAGGGCTATTATATAAACTATACACTAAATTCCTTCTCAAAGCTAGTTCAGCCTATACCCAGGAATGAATAAGGACAGTTTAGAGGTTAGAAGCAAGATGGGGTCAGTTATGTCTGGTATCTTTCACTGTCATAATTTTCTCAGTTATGATTTTTGCAAAGGTGGTTTCAGTCTCTAGAGCAATCCTGTCTCTTATTGCCACACACTGGTGAGGCCAGCATTGTCCTTGGAAGAAACAACTTCCCTAGACATTCCACATCCCGTGCAGGCTGGTTCCAACAGTGACAGTCCTTCAGGTGGCTGAGTAGCCCGCAGAGACAGGGAAGTGAGGCAGGAGAGAAAGCACACTTTTTCCAGTCATAACTGCCTGATTCTTCCTATAATTCCTCAGCTGGCTGTGGGGGCCGCGAAGTGATGTGAGGAAAGCACAGAATGGGCCCTCGGGAATTGCTGGTTCTCTCCCCACTGCTGCCCTACAAGGGGCCCCTGCACAAGGCCCTCAAAGCCTCTGAGCCTCCGTCACCTGTTAAACGAGTTGACAAGTGGCCCTGATGAAACTGCCTTTGCAAAAATTATAACAGAAAATTATGACAGCAAAAGAGATCTGATCTAACCAACCCCCATTTTGTCTTTAACCTCCAAACTTTCCTCCATCATTCCTGGGCATGGGCCAAGCTACCTTTGGGAGACATTTAGTTTACAGTTTAAATGGTAATAGCCCTTCCCCAAAACTAAACTGCCTTTGAAATGAAAGGTGGTTTACTAATGAAAATCTATGAATGAAAGGCCACCAGGTTAAGAGGATGAGAAGAGACTAGATGCTGCTGAGGTGTAGACATAAACGATTACTGGCCATTATTCCAGAGGTCAGAAAATTTGCAACCTCCCCAGTTAATTCTGCAGATCACAGCACTATCACAGAACCTAAGACTGGTCTTTTGAGATCTTTTTCAGACTTACCCACCTGGACAAGTGGCTCAAGACTCAGCCAGCCTGTGGCTCCCCGACCCAGAGGTGGACTCAACACACAAGGACTGTTTTCCGCAGCCCTAGGATTGCATCCCCAACCAATCAGCAACACCCATTCCCCCTGCCTGCCAAAATAACCTTGAAAAACTCTAGCCTCCAAAATTTGGGGGAGGCTGATTTGAGTTATAATATAGCTCTGGTCTCCTGTTTAGCCATCTCTACGTGAATTAAACTCTTTCTCTATTGCAATTCCCCAGTGTTGATCTTCAGCTCTTTCTGGGCAGCAGGCAAAATGAACACACTGGGTGGTGACACCATTACCTCATGTATGAGGGCCACCTTGAAGTGACCTGGCACAACATACAAATGTGTTACATAAAAGAACAACAAGGAATAAAGAAAAGAATTGGTTAGGCAGTGCATTCATTTCCTAGGGCTGCCATAACAAACTGCCACATACCAGGTGACTTAAAAAAACAGAAATCTATTGTCTCACAGCTCTAGAGGCCTAAAGTCTAAGACCACGTTGCCCTCAGAAAGGAGCTGTTCCAGGCCTCCCTACAGGCTTCTGGTAGCCTCAGGCATAGATGCCTCGCTCTTCACAGGGTGTTGCCTCTTCACAGGGTGTTGTCTTCACAACATCTTCCCTGTGTGTGCGTTTGTCTCTGTGTCTAAATTTCCCCTTTTCATAAGGACACTACTCATATTGATTAAGGCCCACCCTAATGAACTTATTTTAACTTGATTATCTTTGTGAAGACCCTATTTCCAAATAAGGTCACGTTCTGAGGTACTGGAGGTTAGGACTTCAACATATCTTTCTGTGGGGACACAGTTCAAGGGTTGGTAAACGTTTCAAGGGTTGGACACAGGAAAGGGTTGGTAAACATTTTCTGGAAAAAGCCAGATAGTAATATTTTAGACTTGTGAGCCACTGTCTCTGTCACAGCTACGCACTTCTGCTGTGGCAGCCTGAAAGCAGCCATAGACAATACATAAATGAATAAGCCTGGCTTGTTCCAATAAAACTTTATTTATAACAATAAGTTGTGGGCTAGATGTGGTTGGCAGGCCATAGTCTGCCAATCCCTAGGTTAGAACACCAATTTTAAAACAAGGAAAAAGAGTTTCTGCAGCCTTTCTGAAAGAGGGGACTCAGTCAGGGAACCAGAGATTCGGAGCAAAATCTGAGTCCCCAGAAGTGCTAAGAGGGGAGTCAAGGAAACTCCTGGGGTTTAAGAACGTGGACTCAAAATGCGGGAGGAAGACAGGGCACCCTGGAGGAGTTCCACAGAAGGCCCTTGGCTTGCCCACAGGCACTAAAGGCTGATCTTACAGCTGAGGAAACTGAGGCACCAAACGATCAAGTGACTTGCCAAAAGACACAGCTAGTAGAGGAAGGATTCCATCCCAATCAATGTGATTCCAGGGGCTGAGCTTGTAACCACTAGCAATTACTCCAGAGGACAAAGAAACAACAGAGGATCAGGCACTGGGAGCTGGGTGTCTCAGGCCGAGTTCTTCAGGGGTTGGAGTCACAAGGGTGGAACACAAGGGGGCCAGGGAGTTAGAAAGGGCCAGTAGAAAGCAGCAGCGTGTCAGTCATTAGAATGTGCGGGCATCAGCCTTGCTGTCTAAACATCATCAGGAGGGTCTTTACCAATACCCCCCACGGAACAAAGCTATAACACCTCTCCCGCAGAAGCAGTGGAGATGGGCGCTCTTACTCTGAGTTAACAAAGGTCTTATGAGTTGTGTTCAACATAAACTAATAAATACATACTCAGGGAATCAGTTCACCAGGATTGTAAAGAAATAAAAATAGAAACAAGGTCAGGTACTAATGGGAAGATGCTAATTGTGCTCTGTCATGGAACCTCACCCTTGTTGGCCTGTCATCTTCACACTTCATTGAAAATCCATTAAAACGATTGTGAGGCCATTAACCCTGACTTTCAGGCAGAAGCTTCCCTTGGGCGCAGTTGTGTGACTAGGGTTCTTTCATTAATATTTAGTGTAATTGCTTGAGAGCCGGATAATTGTGATTACAGACTGCCACTTAAATATGGAAGGGGAGCATGAAGATGGGATCTTTTCTTTGCATCTTTTTTATTTTTAATATGTGTGGAATCATCTCCCTCAGGCAAGATAATATATTAAAACTTGAATTTTTAAAACAAAGAGAGGGCTGATTACTCGGTCTACAAAAGAATTCACCACAGGATTCCTTAAATTGTGAGCTCCCAGAGCAATCAAAATTATTTGATTTACAAAATTTCAATCTGCTGGCATCTTTTCCATATTATGACTCTACCATAAAGGTTATATTTGAAAAAAGAAACACAGCTACTAATGAGTGCCGTAGAGGCTGCTGAGTGGAGAATTAAGGCCTGCATTTATAAACAGGGTGACCAGAAGACATACCTTAAGGACACCTTGAAATTCAGCCTTGATGCCTGGGATAGGACTGTGACTTGCTAGGACATGCAGTCAGACAGATGAACCAAGGGGGACACCAATTAGAGATGAGAGGACCCTGAGACCAGTCTGCAACTTGGAGCAACTGCAAGAAGATGCTCCTTCCAGAGTACAGAGGGGAAAACTGCTGCTCCCAAAAAAGATTCTTCCCCCTCTGTCCCTCAGCCCCATGAAATGGGACAAACTGATCCAGTACCACCTCAGATTTAGGCCTGTTAAAAGCCTGGGAGGATATTAACGACCTTCCCCATAAAACAGTGGCTTTCTCTTCTTATATTTTATCAGCTTCCATTGCTCTGCATTTAAAAGGAGGCACACAAAATTGCAATGCCATCCTCCAAGGTGTGTGGCAACAGCCAAGGTGAGTGGAACAAACGTGAACAATGTTTCTTCTGCTCTCACACCACCAACAACATCAATACAGAAGACTTTTGGCCGGGCTCAGTGGCTCAAGCTTATAATCCCAGCACTTTGGGAGGCCAAGCCAAGCAGATAGCTTGAGGCCAGGAGTTCGAGACCAACCTGGCCAACATGGTAAGAACCCCTTCTCTATTAAAAATACAAAAATGAGCCAGCTGTGGTGGTACACACCTGTAATCCCAGCAACTTGGGTGACTGAGGCATGAGAATTGCTTGAATCCAGGAGGCGGAGGTTGCACCACTGCATTCCAGCCTGGGTGACAGAGCAAGACTCTGTCTCAAAAAACAACAGACTTCTGTGACCAAATACTCGGTGGTTTTACCCCACCAACATGCAAGCAATCAATTCAGCAGCAGACGTGAGCTGCAGGGGTATCTTCCAATTCAATTCGGACACTGTCTACCTGGAGATAGCATCAGATCCCACAGGTTGAGGGCTCAGTCCCACAAGAATGCCTCCCTCTTCCTCCAGACACCAGTCACAGATCCTCAAGCTGGGCTTTCCACATTTCTTTAGGTTTGATTAATTTGCCAGAGTGGCTTACAGAACTCAGGGAAACATGTTTACCAGATTATGAAGGATATTACAAAGAATATAAACAAAGAGAGGCATAGGGCAAGGTATGGGGGAAGAAGCATGGAGCTTCCATACCTTCCCTGAGCACGCCACCCTCCAAGAACCTCCACGTGTTCGGCTATCCGGAAGTTCTCCGAACACTGTCTCTTTGGGTTTTTATGGAAGCTTCATTATGAGGCATGATTGATAAAGCCACTGGCCATTGGTGATCAACTTAAACTTCAGCTCCTCTCCCCTCCCCGGAGATTGCAAGAGCAAGGACGGAGTTTGGAAACCACCGCCCTTGACCTTTGCTGTCCAAAGCAGTAGCCACTAGTCCCATGTGGCTACCCACAATTGCAGTGAGGCTGGTCTGAACTGAGGTGTGCTATAAGTGTAAAATTCATACCAGATTTCAAAAACTTATCAAGAAAAGAATATACAATATCTGGTGAGTAATTTTTACATTGATTACATGTTGAAATGATAATATTTTAGATATATTCGGTTAAATAAATTATATCATTAAAATGAATTTAACATGTTTTTTATTTTTTAATGCGGCAACTAGAAAATTTTAAGTTACTATGTGGCTCATGTTATATTTCTGGGTTTTTTTTGTTTTTTTGTTTTTTTTGGAGATGGAGTCTCATCACCCAGACTGGAGTACAGTGGCACAATCACGGCTCACTGCAGCCTCAACCTCCCAGGCTCAAGTGATCCTCCTGCCTCAGACTCCCGAGTAGCTGGAACTACAGATGTGCACCACTACCGCTGGCTAATTTTTTTATTTTTTGTAGAGACAGGGTCTCGCTATGTTGCCCAGGCTGGTCTTAAACTGCTGGGCTCAAGCAATTCTCCTTCCTTACGCTCCCAAAGTGCTGGGATTACAGGCATGAGCCACCATGCCTGGCCTCAGCCCTGTGTGATATTTCTATGGGACAGTGGTGCTTAAATGATCAACTTCAATGGGAGAATGTGTGTACCTCTACATACAGAGGTAGATATATAGTTTCTGATTATATAAATAAATATAATATATTTGGCTTTGAAAGACCAAATAAACAGGACTTGAACTTTTTTTTCCATGAATGGTAGGAAAGTTATGACTATGAGAACCTTAATGTTTGCTATGAACGGCTTGGGGTGGCTTTACTCACTGTTCCAGACTACAGAGTTGATGCCTGGGTTGACCACTAGAGAGCAGTGGCGTATATAAAATGTGAGCGTTCACACAGCCATTAACTGTGAAGACACTCCGCCCAGCCCACATGCAGAGCCACTACAGGGTCGGCACTAGGTAATGATTAAAACCCATGCTCTTTCCCTCCCTTTTAAGTGCCATATGCCTGGGGAAGAAGAAAAGACTACAGAAAACTGGGTAGAACTAGAGCTGACCCTTAAACTGTGAGGCTCAGACAGCAGCAAAGCAGGAAGGCCATTCTGCGTGAAAAACATCAGATGTTCAAAGGCAAGTGTTCAAAGACCCAGGCGCGGAGTCACGTTTACCTTCCTGGCTCCGAGGCTATCAAAATGCGGGGCCTGAAGCAAGCCACTGGGCCTTGCTTCTGTAAGATGAGGTAGAGCTAGGTGAGCTTTAACATGTCCTCCAACGTCAGCATTGCAGCCATTCCAGAGTGAACCCCGCGGGCCTGCTGTTCCAATAGGTTTAATGGGGGACACAAACACCTTCCAGGCACAATGGTACTGTAAATCCATGCTTTAAGTGCCCCCCACCACTCCAAACACCTAGCAATAATACATAAGATATAAAAATTTTAAAAATGAAAGTCCAAGCCTTGCTCCGGAAGATCAGCATCTTGGCCGGGCGCAGTGGCTCACGCATGTAATCCCATCCCTTTGGGAGGCTGCTGCAGGTGGATCACCTAAGGTCAGGAGTTCGAGACCAGCCTAGGCAATATGGTGAAACCCTGTCTCTACTAAAAATATAAAAATTAGCTGGGCGTGGTGGCAAGTTCATGTACTGCCAGCTGCTCAGGAGGCTGAGGCATGAGAATCGCTTGAGCCCAGGAGGTTGCGGTGAGCCGAGATCACGCCATTGCATTCCAGGAAAAAAAAAAAAAAAAAAGATCAGCATCTCCAAGGATCAGAGAAACACAGAAATACAATTCTACAGCAGAAATGGTGCTATAGGTTCTCCAGGTCACCACTCAGGCAGAGGTGGCCAGGAGCTTTTCTCTTCTCTTGTGGTAAAAGGGGAACTATACATGGCCAGGGGTTCCCAGTCCAGAAACTGGGTGGGGCTTTCACACCCAAGAACCAGGAATATAAAATGCTGGGGCTGAGACTTATACAAAGCTTCTTATCCCAGTTGAAGAGGAACCTTGCCAAAGAGGTCCCCTGGCTCAGTGTTGGGATCAGCAACGTCCCCAAATCATGGCAGTATGGATACCTGAGCTGACAATTGAAAATCTGGTTCTGAATTGGGGGCTGCGAGGACCAAAAAGAAGCTACTGCAAAACCACTAGGTTGAAAGGGAATGAGCATAGAGAGAGACTAAAATTACTAATAATAACTCCCACAAGAGAAAGACTAAAAAGGCAGTCAAAAAATGTAATCTAAAAATGTAATGGTAGGAATTGAATTCACTTCAGAAGAAGTGAAAATGGTAGGGCAATGTGACACTGACTTTTTAAGGAATTGATTATTTATTTAGCAAATATTCTAAGCACCTACCATGTCCTAGACACTGTTTTAGGTGCTCAAGATACAATAATCAACAAAACAAGACTGCTGATATGGTTTGGTTCTGTGTCCCCACCCAAATCTCATCTTGAATTATAATCCTTTATAATCCCCACATGTCAAGGGAGGGACCAGGTGAGAGGTGCTTGGATCATGGGGGTGATTTTCCCATGCTGTTCTCATGATCGTGAGTGAGTTCTCACAAGATCTGATGGTTTTATAAGGCAGTTTTTCCTGCTCTTGCATGCTCTCTCTTCCCTGCCACCATGTAAGATGTGCCTCCTCCCCTTCCACCATGATTGTAAGTTTCCTGAGCCCTCCCCATCCATGCAGAACTGTGAGTCAATTGAACCTCTTTTCTTTATAAATCACCCAGTCTCAGGCAGTTCTTTATACCAGTGTGAAAACAGACTAATACAACTACCTTCTTGAAACTTACATTCTATGGAAGAGACAGAAAATTTTTTAAATTATGTAATATGTCAACTATTAAAAAGTGCTTGAAGAAATGTTTAGGATCCTCAAAGATATAAAGGAATGACTAACAACCATTTATAAAAACATAAACTATGAAACAATAAATAGGCAAACTAAAACAAAAGCAAGTTATAAAAGAGAACCAATTGAAATGAAAAATATAGGTATTAAAATACATAAACTCAGGCCAGCCACAGTGGCTCACTCCTATAATTCTAACATTTTGGGAAGCTGAGACAGGAGGATAGCTTGAGCCCAGGAGTTTGAGACCAGCCTGGGCAACATAGCAAGACCCCGTCTCTACAAATCATTTCAAAATTAGCCAGGCATAGTGGCGTGCACCTGTGGTCCCAGCTACTTGGGAGGCTGAGGTGGGAGAATTGCTTGAGCCTGGGCAATCAAGGCTGCAGTGAGCCATGATCACACCATTGCACTCCAGTCTGGGCAACAGAGTGATACTCAGTCTCAAAAAAAAAATACATAAACTCATAAGTATTGGATAAACTCTATGTTGTCATGGTAGAAGAGAGATCCACTAATTAGGAGGCAGTACTGTAGAAATCACCCATAATGCAACACAAAGAGGGAAAATGTATTTTTTTAAATATGAAAGGGCAGCTAAGAGATACAGAAGATACACTGACGGGCATCAACATACAGCTAATAGGAATTCCAGAAGAAAATAATAAAAGGAATGAGAGAGAAGTGATGTTCAAAGAGATAATATCTGAAGTTTTCCAGTATTAAAGTTAGAATTCACTAGATATGGATACATAGAAACTTGTATTTTCACTGTGATATAGCTAAGTGTCTATATATTACAGTGAAACTGTGAGACATCTCAGGATAAAGAAAAAAAATCTCATTGGGGGAAAAAAAAGATTATCTACAAAAAAAAAGAACACTGATGGGAGGAACATCATCAGAAACAGATGCCAGAAAACATGGGAGGAACTCACAAAGTGCCAAGAGAAAGTTACTATCAATATAGAATTTTATACCTAGCTAAACTGTTACTCATTCAAGAGTGAGAGGAAAATATATATACTTTTCTATAATAATTAAAAGAAATTATAGCCCATGTTCCAGGTAAAAAATTTATGTGGAATGACATCACATTGAAAATTACAAAAGTTTAGAACTAAACTACAAAAGCACTAAATATCTAAGCAATAATGACTATTGCTATGATGTATTGCTTCCAGCTGTGAGCCAGGCATTATATCATATTAGACATTTCCCAACTAGCATATCTCTTAGCCCTCAAAGTCATGTTATTAACTAGTTAGTGTTAACTCCTTTGTAAGAATTAAAAAAGCTTTTGGGAGAACAAGGTAACTATACTCTTATGAACTAAATGTTTGTGTCACTCAAAATTCATATGTTAAAATGCTAACTCCCAATGTGATGGTATTAGGAGGTAAAGCCTTTGGGAGGTAATTAGGCTTAAATGAAGTCATGAATGTTGGTCTTTCATAATGGGGTTAGTACCCTTATAAGAAGAGGAAGAGACTGTAGAGTTTCCTCTCTCTCTCTCTGTCATTTGAGGATACAGCAAGAAGGTGGCTGTCTGCAAGCCAGGAAGAGAGCCCTTACCAGACCTGAACATGTTGGTATCCTGATCTCAGACTTCCATCCTGAAAATTGTGAGAAACAAGTAAATGTCTGTTGCTTTAGCTGCCCAGTTTAGTATTCTCTTATAGCAATCTGAGCTAAGATGCATGCACAAAAATCTGGGTCTATATGAAGATAAGGAGCCAGTGAAGGTACAGATGGAATTTTATTGACACTTGAGAACAATAATAGGGGGCCTGAGCCAGGTACACACAGCTGTTTGACAGGGAGGAGGTGGACAGCATTCTAATTCAGAGGTATTTCATGCTAATGATTACTTTTCTCCTGCTTACCTTTCTCTAAGTCTAGCCCAAGCTTTCCTCATTTGAAATACAGTTGACCCTTAAACAACATGGGGTTGAACTGCTTGGGCCTACTTATATGCAGATTTTCTTCTGCCTCTGCCACTCCAAGACAAGACCAACCCCTTCTCTCCCACCTCCTCAGCCTACTTAATGTAAAGGCTATGAGGGTAAAGACTTTTATGATGATCTACGTCTACCTAATGAATAGTAAATGTATTCTCTCACTTACAACTTTCATAATAACATTTTCCTTTCTCTAGCTTACTTTATTGTATGAATATAGTTATAATACACATACAAATTATGGCCAGGTGTGGTGGCTCATGCCCATAATCCCAGCACTTTGGGAGACCAAGGCAAGTAGATTGTTTGAGCTCCAGAGTTCAAGACCAGCCTCGGCAACATAGTGAAACCCCATGTCCACAAAAAAATTAGCCAGGCATGGTGGCTCACACCTGTGATCCCAGCTACTCAGGAGACTGAGACAGGAGGATCACTTGAGCCCAGGAAGTTGAGGTTTCAGTGAACTGAGATCATGCCACTGTACTCCAGCCTGGGCAACAGAGCAAGATCCCATCTCTAAATAAATAAATAAAACAAATTATGTGTTAATTGACTGTGTTACTAGGGCCTCTGAACAGCCAGGCAAATACTTTAGCAAACCTCAGAGGTGCTGGTCTGATAGGTCCCGGAACTGGCTCCCCCTTCCTTGGAGGAAAATGTACCCCTTCTCTGAAATCAAAAAAGAGCACAGGGTGCTTTTCAGCATAACTAACAACCCCCAGGACTGGAAGAGGGGAGTCTTCTTGCTTCCTAACACTGACAGAATTAAGAGTAATGAGGAGACACTTCATTTCTCACTTGCACAGCCTCATGTGGAAATGAACTGAACAAAGTAAGTTTGCTGTTAAATCTTATTCTCTTGGATCTAGAATGCATTTCTCCTTATCCCCTCTCCTTCTCCCCCTGTCCCTTGCCCCCACTTCTCCACCCCCAGTGTCCTCTAAATCCTGGGCACACCTTCCCCACTCCCAGCCTGCAACCCCAGGCATCTGGCTGGTGATGCACCACACAGCCTCGTCCTTCCCAGCCCAGCTCGTCTGGTGTCCCAGCTGCTCATTTTCTCAGCCACTACCCAGGCTAGCACCCGAGTTTGCAGCAGACCTTGTGTAGACCATCCTGCCCGGGTGACAGCTCTCCCCAGGCCTCCTCACAGAAGATGCAGCTGTCTTCCTGAGTGGCCACGTGTGGACTGCATCATCTTCCGGTGCTCATGACTCCCAGTTGCTTATTACATAAAACCCAGCCTCCTTAGCAGAAGCTTGCGTCTTCTTTCAGCCTCACCTCACCCCTTCCTTCCCCCATCACTGTTTTTCCTGGGCTGTGCTCTCCACCCCACACATGATGCAAGGCCACCAGCGCCCTCCCTCCTCTGATAGCTGGCTTCAAACTCTGACCCCAACCCGCTCCCTGCCTCTCCTTTGCGACCCCCTCATGGCTCCTCTGATATCCCCTCCAGCGCCCCCTACACCCAACATCTAGGTCCTCGGAGCTCTCCAGAAGCATGGACCATCTGCCTCACTCTTCTCCATGCCCCTTAATTCCATTGTCAGTCCCTAATAGGAAACAGAAACTGAAAGAACCATGACTGTGCCCAGCTTGCCACAGGCCTCAGCCCACTGTGCCCAGTACCTCCCCGGTACCCAGGAGAGAAAGCTAGCAGATTCTGGCTAGCAGAAACTGCTTGTCCAATGCGGCCCAGAGCCCAGGCCCTGCTTCCCAATGACAGTCTGCTGCTCAAATATCCACCTGGAAATACTCGTGACAGTGAGCCACAAAGATCTGGGGACCCCTACAACCTTCTAGGGAAGTTCTTTCCTTCATTGCCAGACCACTTGCTAAATGCCAGGCCCTGCACAGAGCACAGAGGCGCAAAGCTAGAAAGACAGAGCCGGCCTTCACGGGACCCCCAAGGCAGCAGGGTGGACCAGCAGGTATACAGCTGTGACTGCATGGTGGGAGGAAAGTGGCCTTTGGGAAATTGGCTTTCAGGAGGCCAGAGGCCTGCTCCCCAGTGGGAGGTTGTGGGGGTCTGTCCCACAGACCCTGACCCAACGATGGATGAATAACGTACAGTGACACAGATATTCTGCTTGTCAGTCCAGTTAAGGGTCTGGGCCCCTCACAAACACCAAGGAAGGTGCTGTAAAGAGTAGCAGCCGTGGCCTCAACTAGCTGGTCCTGCCAGCATTTATCCAGCACACATTAAATGACAAAGGCTTTGAGTCAACACACCTATGGGTAATTAATCTGGTTGCCCTCCCCCAAAGACAGCCATCCTGCCCACGAATGGTCAAAGGTTAGTCTTAGGACCACATGTGTAAACATGCTATTTAGATAAACTCCCTTATATGCCTTTGTATCTGCGCCCTAAGCTCTTAGGCTCCTGAAAAGAGAATCTGGCTGCCTTCAGCCAAACTATCTGAAGCTATGCAGAACTCCCCAGCCTTCCAAGAAGATTTGTGTCTATATCCTATAACTCCATCTAAAATTTTTTCCACCAGCCTGACTGAACTCCCACATGAGGTGCCACAGAAAATGAGAACTGGGACGAGAGGAAAACAAGCCTGTTGCTCCCAACCCCTTTACACAGGGAGGCCCACTTATTCTCATAGTTCGGAGCCAAGCATCTCAGGGCACCCACTGGAAAAGGAAACTAGAAAGAGCTTCCACCTCGAGGGCTTACAGCCAAATTGACACGGAAGTCCTCAAAGGACCACACCTTCCCTCCAAGGAGCAAGGTCTCTGAGCCAAAGACCAGCCCCACCCATTCCTGCCTGACAGTCTTCGGAAGTCACCCAACCTCCTCAGCCTCCACTGATCTACAGCAGGAGGCTGCGGGACTGCATCTCAGGGTCTTAAGTGAGAGCAAAGTACGCATTTGGTAAACAGCAGCTAATGGCCCCTGTGGATGTGTGGTTGTGCGGGTGTTGTGGTTGCTGCTGTTGTGGCTTGTGTGGTTGCTGCAGTTCTGGTAGTTACTGCACTTGTGGTGTGTGGTCAAATGGCTGTGGTTGTTGCAGCTATGGTTGTTGTGTGGTTTGTGGCAGTTGTGGTTGTGAGTTTGCGTGGTTGTTGCAGGTATTCTGGTTCCTTCATCACAGATGGAGGAGGAGGCCAGCCACTGGGGAGGGGTGGCCTCTGAACACCTGGCACCAACTCATCACACAGCAGCGCCAGGCTGTGCCCAGACAAGCAAAGAAAGGGGAGGGCAGAGAAAGGAAATTCTCTTCAGATGAGTGTATGTCAGAAAGGAAGCCCCACAGCCCTCTCTGTGGCCATGGGTGACTCCCTCGCACTGCTGTGTAGGCCTCTTATCTGGAGCTGAAGCGAAGTCCAAGTGCTTGAAAACCTGAAGGTGCTCCTGCTTGCAGCACCTCTGTTCCCAGGAACATGCTCCTGTGCAGGAACCCATTATGGGCACCACCAAAAATAGACCCTGCCCCATCCCATCCCACTGTCCTGAGATGCCCAAGCAAGCCCAGCAGGTAAACTGATAGCCCCAGGGTGTGGGGACAATGGCCTTGGATCACACCAAAGGCCCAAGTGCAGGGTCCAGCCTGCTGACCACCTCCTTGACCCTGGACCCCAGAATCAGAATAAGACAAGGTGGGCTGGCACAGCCCTCCAGTAGGCAGGACCTGGGCATCTCCTGGCTCACCTTCACCCACCATTCATGCAAGAGCCCTATGAGTGGATCAGAGCCATGGTGAGGCCACACAGTGTAGCCAGCACAGCAGGCGGAGACCTTCTGCCCCTGGTACCCAGGCTGGAATTTTACAACTGCCTTAGGGAACTCAGGTCCTAAGCAACATATCCCCCTCCCCTGCACCCTGCTCCTAATCATACGTTTATTGAATTTTTAAAAAATATATAGATAATATTTCATGTGACCCAGTAGTCATATGCACAGAAGGAAATACAGTGAAATATCCCCTTCCCATAGTTTCTCTTAATCACCCAGAGATAGTTTATGAAAATACAAACAAATATGCCCAGGTATACATACAAAAGAACATGATGTAGTAATGAGAGTAAAAATTCTGAAGCCAGACTGCCTGAGTTCAAGACGTAGCACTGTCCCTCACCAGTTAGTATGTGACCTTGGACAGCTTCTCTGTGCCCCAGTTACCCTCATCCACAGAACAGGACATAATTGTGGTACCTACCTCACAAGGGAGGTTCAACACTATATATCAGCTCTCACTGTCACATATGTTCTTTCCCATTCTACAGAAATGATAGCACACTTTTGCACACACTGTTCTGCACCTTATTTTTTCACTGTGAAGTGTATCTGGGAGGTTATTCCCATATCAGTACATAAAGAACTTCCTTCGAGGGCCGGGCAAGGTGGCTCACGCCTGTAATCCCAATGCTTTGGGAGGCCGAGGTGGGTGGATCATGAGGTCAGGAGTTCGAGACCAGCCTGGCCAACATGGTGAAACCCCATCTCTACTAAAAAAATACAAAAATTAGCTACTCGGGAGGCTGAGGCAGGAGAATAGCTTGAATACAGGAGGTGGAGGTTGCAGTGAGCTAAGATCATGCCATTGCACTCCAGCCTGGGACAGAGTGAGACTCCATCTCAAAACAAAACAAAACAAAACTTCCTTTTTTTTTTTTTACTTGCATTAAAGATGAACTAATCTTAATTTTTTTAGAGCTGCATAGTATTACATTGCCTCAACATACAAGAACTGATTTAGTTGCTGCTTTTCTGATAGACATTTAAAAGGTTTCCAGTCTTTTACTCTTTCAAACAATGTTGCAGTGAATAACTTGGTACATACTTCATTTTGTCCAAAAGTGACTAGGATAAATTGCTAGGAGTAGAAAGCTAAACAACAGGTGTGTACATTTGTCATTTTTGTCACCTATATAGGCTGTATAGATTTAGTGTCCCGTCGGCAACGTATAAGAGTTTCTGTTCTTCATACCTTCACCAACAGTATATAAACAAATTTTTAATCTTTTGTCAATTTGTTAAGTAAAAAATGATAAATGCTATCTCTGTTGTTTTATTTTACTATTTCTCTTACTATGAGTAATGTGAAGCAGCTTTGTATATGTTCATAAAACACTTGTGTTCCTTTTTCTACGAACTCTCTGTTCATACCTTTTGCAAATGTTCTTACTGTATAGTATGTCATTTTTCTTGTTGATGAAGAGAAGGTCATTATGCATTAGGAATATTAGCATAATTTTTCTGGTTTGACATTACTCTTCTGAACTGACTTTTGTTCTTTTTCCCATGCATAATTTTAATGCAATAGAAGTTATTGTTTTTTTCTCTATGGCTTCTGTTTTTAGTGTCATACTTTGGAAGTTCTTCCCTGTTCCAACATGGTCATTAGATCCTTTTTTACTCTCCCAAACTTGTTTCTATCATTTTGAAACATTTAAATCACTGACTTCTCCTGGTATGTATCCTAATATAAGAAGTGAGATCTGAATCCAACTTAATTTTTTTCCAGATGGCTACCCAGTTGTCTCAACACCATTTATTGAATAATTCATTTCTTTTCCTGAATGATTTGAAATGCCATCATTATCAGAAGCTAAACTCCCAATAAGTTTTGGTTTATTTCTGGACGTCTTATCTCATTCCAACTCCAAGATGTCCTACACTATTTTATTTATTGTAGGTTTATAATATGCATTACAGTATATCTTGTAGGGCTCATTTCCCATTGATTTTCATTGCTTCTTTTTTCATATGAACTGTTAGGTTTCTTGGGATTTCTTTTAATTTATAGGTTAACTAAGGCAAAACTGATATTGACTATGATGTTGAGTCAGTTTTTGGCAAATTATATTTTCCCAGAAAAGTATCCAATATGTCAGGCTTTACAAAGTTGAAACTGACCACCCTCAGTTTCAATAATTTGCCAGGACTCACATAACTCACTAAAAGCTGTTACATTGTGGTTAATGGTTTATTATAGACAAAGGATACAGATTAAAATCAGGCAAGAGAAGAGGCACTTAGGGCAGACTCCAGGAAAGTTCCAAGCACAATGCTTCCAGTTGCCCTCGCCCTGCGAAGCCATGGAAAATGCTGCTTTCCCCGGCAGCAATGTGTGACAATACACACAGAGTATTGCCAAACAGAGAAGCTCACCTGAGCCTTTGTGTCCGGAGTTTTTACTGGGGCTCAAGAACACAGACATAATTGACTGTCCATGGGGCTGACCTTTCCTCTCTGGACCCACAGGAGGTAGAACAGATACCATGTGCCCCCAGCTCCCATCATAAATCACATGGGATTTGACTATCCAGGGTGGCCTAAGGCTCCCAGGTAGACAAAGATACTCTTATCAGGCAGGACATTCCAAGGGTCCAGAGCTTACCTTCCAGGAGCCAGGACAAAAGCCAAACCTCTCTTTGGGTAAGGTTAATTCTTAACTACATAAGTTTTTAAATTTTCTTACATGTAGTTCAGCAAAATAGTCCCTAAGGATTCTTTTAATTTCCTTTATCTGTAGTTATTGTCCCGTTGGTATTTCTTTTTTTCTTTTATTTTTTAAGAGCAGGGTCTTGCTCTGTCAACTAGGCAATAGCATGATCATAACTCACTGCAGCCTTGAACTCCTGGGCTCAAGTGATCCTTCTTCCTCTGCCTCCCAAGTAGCTGGAGCCACAGTCACACACCACCACACCTGGCTATTTTTTTTTTTAATTTTTTTAGAGACAGCATCTCGCTGTGTTGCTCAGACTGACCTTGAACTCCTGAGCTCAAGTGATTCTCCCACCTCAGCCTCTCGAGTACCCCTTAGCATTTCTTATTTGTGCTTCCTCTTTTCTTTTCTCTCAAGAGGATTAGCTGACAATTTAGAAATCTTACTGTTTTTTCAAAGAATTTTATTTTGAATATATTTATTATGTATCAGTTTATCAATTATAAAATATTTTTGTTTTTTAATTAATTGATTTCTGTTTTAACATTTATTAATTCCTTTCTGCTTTCTTGACATTTATTGCCTTTTTTCTAACTACTTCCATTGGATGCTTATTTCATTTTCTCATTCCTGTTTAATTTTTTATTAATTCATTATAAGACTATGCATATTAATCAGAGTTATCCAGAGAAACATAACTAATCGGATATCTATGTAGATATGTATTAAATTGTTATGAGGAATTGGCTCACACAATTATGGAGGATGAGAATTTGTAAGATCTGCAGTCAGCAACCTGGAGACCCAGGAGAACTGATGATGTCATTCCAGTCCAAGTCTGAGGGCCTGAGAACCACGATTGCTTATGATTTAAGTTCCAGTCCAAGTCTGAGTCTGAAGACAGGAGAAGATTGATGTTCCAGCTCAAAGATAGGTAGAGAGAGAGAGAGAAGATTCTCTTATTCTGCCTTTTTGATCCATTCAGGCCTTCAATGAATTGGAAGAGGCTCACCCACATCAGGAAGGGCAGTCTGCTTTACAATCTACCAATTCAAACACTAATCTCACATAGAAACACCCTCAGCCAGCATGGGGGCCCACACCTGTCATCCCAGCACTTTGAGAGGCTGAGGCAGGTGGATCACTTGAGCCCAAGAGTTCAAGACCAGCCTGGCCAATGTGGCAAAAACCTCATCTCTACTAAAAATAGAAAAATTAGCTGGATGTGGTGGTGCACACCTGTAATCCCAGCTACTCGGGAGGCTGAGGCATAAGAGTTGCTCAAACCTGGGAGGCAGAGGTTGCAGTGAGCCAAGATCATGCCACTGCACTCCAGCCTGGCTGACAGAGCAAGACTCCATCTCAAAAAATAATAATAATACAAAAATTAGCCAGGTATGGTGGCATGCCTGTGATCTCAGCTACTCAGGATGCTGAGGTGGGAGGATCGCTTGAGCCCAAGAGATGGAGGTTGCAGTAAGCCAAGATCACGCCACTGCACTCCAGCCTAGGTGACAGAGCAAGACCTTGTCTCAAAAAAATAATAATAATAATTTTAAAAAAGAAACACCCTCACAGACACACCCAGAATAATGTTTGACAAAATATCTGGGCACCCTGTGTCCCAGTCAAGTTGACACACAAAATGATCCATCACACTACGCATTTTCCTCTGGACACTGCTTTAACTGTACCTCCTAAGTTCTGGTAAGTGATGTTTTCATTATTGCTGTTTTACAGATAATCATTCCATCTTGAAAATGTCTTGTGGCTTACAGCAGGAATATTTTGCTACTAAATTTTGACCAAGAAGTAGGTACAACGACTTGCCTTTTCATATGAGGTTGACCTGATTCTTATGAGGCCAATATGAAGGTGAACCAGAACCTTCTCAGGGCCCAGAAGTTGCTTTGAAAAAATTCTCTCAACACTTGAAAAACTCATTTAAATATCAATGGAAACACACACCTACCTGCCTAGATGGGTTTCTTAACAACCAAGGTCAAAAGTTTCCCTATTGGATCTTGAATCTAAGAGGAAAAAAAGAAACCACCAACTCTTTCTCATTCAAATGTTCATAAATAATAATATTATTAACAATAATTATAATAGCTACCATAAGGCTGGGCACGGTGGCTCACACCTGTAATCCTAGCATGCCTGTAATCCTAGCATTTTGGGAGGCCGAGGCAGGTAGATCACCTGAGGTCAGGAGTTCGAGGCCAGCCTGGCCAACATGGTGAAATCCCGTCTCTACTAAAACTACAAAAATCAGCTGGGGGTGGTAGTCGGTGCCTGTAATCCCATCTACTTGAGAGGTAGAGGCAGGAGAATTGCTTGAACCCAGGAGGCAGAGGTTGCAGTGAGCCGAGATTGTGCCACTGTACTCCAGCCCGGGCAACAGAGTGAGACTCCATCTCAAAAACAAAACAAAACAAAACAAAAAAATAGCTACCATAATGCCATCTGATGTATGTTTTCAGTGCTTTACATATGTCATCTTATTTACATTTTACAACAGTTCTAAGATGGAAATATCACTCTACATTTTAAAGATGAGAAAACCAGGCTTCGAAGGGGTTACATAACTTACTTAGGATCACACTTCTTTCTAAGTGGAGAAGCTAGGATGTCACACCAGCTCCGATTTAAAACCTGTGTATTTTTTCAGGATAATACCTTGCCTCTTTTGCACACTCCTCTGCCCTGACTTACAGCAATAAGATGGTTCTGCCTCTCATGACAAAACTTATTTTCTAGGCAGAGCAAGTACGTCTGCTGTGGTCCACTCTCAATTAGGTAGAAGTCCAGCCTGGAATTGTGGCACTGCAATGCAGCAGGCCACCTGGCCACAGAAGGCCTTTGCCTGTAGAAGCCATATGGATGAAGAAGACTCTGAGCCAAGCACTAATGCAGAGAGGGGATGGAACAGGGGTGGGGGCTGGGGAAGGAGGGAGCTGGCACAGCTGCTTCCGAAGGGGACGTTACGATGGGCCATCAGTATTGACCACTAAGCCTGAATGTGCTGGACACACCAGTCACCCATGCCAAGCCCATTAAGTTCATCTCAGCTGTCTGGCAACTGCCCTCTAATGAAACAAGCCAACAACTTCCTATATTTGAGGTTTCAGTTAGTGTTGTTGGCCAAGTTTCAGTGGGAACCAGAGAAGACGACCACACGGGGGCTGTAGGCCCTGAGAGCAGCAGCCCAAGCCGACCTCAGAGCGCCTGCCAGCTGGGCAGATTATCAGCGTCCTGCTGCAGAGAGATAAGGAACGTTCTGATCCAGCCCCGAGAAGTGCAGGGCTTTATATAGCAGCTTGAGTAGGCTGCAAGGGAATGTCCTGGCCGAAGGCTTCTCCGTAGCCAAGAGAGAGGGGAGTGGGTGGAGAGGAAGGCGGGAGCTTTATAAATAACCCGATGTGTGCTGATCTGCTCAGCGGCCTTGTCTTAGCAAAGCCTGAGGCCTGGGGGAGGAGAGGGACATTTACAGATGACTTTTATTTTCTTTATCACTTCTCTATATTTTCTAAGTTTTCTACGATGAACTTGAACTCCTTTTATAATCAGCAAGTATGAATACAATTTTAAGAAAGCAAAAAAGAGAGGCATAAAAAGAATTCCTTTGGTTGGAGATTTTAGTGACCATCTTTACCCACTCAGAGGTTCCCAAACAAGCCCCAGTGCTCTCCTCCCTTCTCTGGTCTCTCCCATTGGGCCCCCTGGGGTGCCTGTACTCACCTATGATGCAGGATCTGACCAGTTTTCTTAGCTCCTCCCGGGTTCCCGCATTCCCCATACTCTCCCCCTGCTCCCACTAATCCAAATGTGGCTGTCCTTGGCCTTATTGTTTTTAAAAAAGGTGTCCAGGTCCCTCATCTCTGCTAGGGTACATAAGGGTTACTTGGGTATGTCCCCTGTGCCTGCTACACTAGCTTAATAATGGGTAAAAAGCCATGGAGTCCCTGTACAGAGTGTGGTTTATACTCTCTGTGCCTCAGGGTCCCTTTTCTATAAAATGGTGATAACAAGACCACCTACTTCATAGAGGTCACATTAAGATTAAAATAAGACAGTGGATGTAAACTGGCTGACACATTGGAAATGGCCAATTAAATATTAACTAATTATCACTCCACTGAGCATCCCTCCTCACACTCAGGCCCTGAATGACCACACCTACCAAATGTGACCAGACAGATTTTCACTGTTTCCAAAAATAACTCCTCCCAGGAGGTGTGAAGATTCACCACTGCAACTCTGGCACTGATTCAAAGCAGGAGTTCCAAAAATGTTTTGCGAGGTGACAGGCTCCCAGAATCACAGTCAGCCTTCACAGTGCCCCTTATACGGCTGCAATCCTCATTTGGATGTGTGAGTCATGGTAGGGCTACCACATAAACAGATAAATGAATAAACATGTTGTGACTTTGTAGTAACGACCTCATGTAAGCTAAGTTCAGCTCATGACTCTGGGGCAATTTTTAGGACACAAAAGTAGATAAAATATCAACCGATCCCTATTTTTTGAGCAAGCGCTATGTGCAAAAAGGCACGGCGCTAAAATGCAAAAATGGAACATTTTAAAAAGATGAAAGCTTCTGCTTGGAAAGAGATTACACCCTAATCGAGGAAGTAAAATGCAGATACAGGAATAGAAAGCACACTCAGCAAAGCAAGATATGATCCATGGAGGTGATAAGGTGGAGAGTTCAGAAGAGCACGCCCGCTGGGTTCTGGAGGTCAAAGCAGCCTCGTGGAGGAAATTAATACCCTTGATAAGTGGATGCCAGGCCTTGTAGAATTCTGATGCAATCAGGATAGAGTCTGAGAGAAAGGGTCTCACATGTCAATGTCAACAAAGCATGGTGCTAGGTACTCATATAAGTACATCATCTTTTTTTGATCTTGACAAGAATCTAGTGTGATGTTACCATTCCCATTTCACAGATAAGAAGACAGTGGCTCAGAGAAGCTCAGAGAGGTTAAGTTATATGCCCAAGGTCATTCACAGCAGAGGCAGGATTCAAACCAGGTTCTACCCGGCTCCACAGTCCATATTCTGGCTTCTACCATCTGGCACTGCTATGGCCTCCCTTAAATCTGGCTCCCAGAACAGACCTGGGCTGTCTGTGACCAGGAGCAGGGCTTTCATTCCATGGCTGTGGCCTTTTAGTAGAGAGGACACTGCCCAGTGTGGCTGACAAATTCTTTGGCAATATATTGACTTTACATTGCCTGCCAGTAACATGGGCTAAGGTGTAACAATTTCTAAGCCTAGATCAAAGTCACAATTTTGATCACAGGTTACAATTTTGTATATTTAATCCCCTGCTTCTACTTTGTAGTATTTTTGTCAGTTCAGCAATTCACCTCTTTTATCACCACTACAATCTATAATAAGCACATGGATTTTTCAGGAATGACATAGGAATAAGATAGAAATAAGCTTTCAGAGGTGACCTTTGCCCCCAATTTTCAGTCATGTGGACTTGGAGGATTTTTGTGATATAACAAATAGCACCTGTTGGTTAGCATTGGAAAAGTCCCCAGATGCATCTGGGAGCAGCCAACATCAGCACCAAGATATTGCCCATATCCACTGGTGTCTTGCCGAAAGCCCACCCAACACCAATATCACACAAGCCTAAGCTTCACATTCCCCAGGCCATCAACTAGTATTTATTGAGTACCAGGTTCATGGTTCTTAAAACCAGCTGGAAATCACAATCCAGTAACCCTAACTCAATCCCAGCTCAGACTGTATAACCATATTCTAATCATGAAGGGAATCTGGGAGGCTCTCTAAAAGAACAGAATTTGTCCCCTCTGAAACTCATGTTGAAACTTAATCTCTAATGTAACAGTATTAACAGGAGGGGCCTTTAAGAGGTGATGGGTCAGGAGGGCTCTGATTAATAATTAATAGTTAATGTGATTAATGGATTGATGGGCTAATGGATTAATGGGAAATCAGGGGAGTGGGTTTGTTATCACAAGAGCGAGTCTGTTATTAAAAGCCAGTTCAGGTCTCTCATGAGCCCTCCACCATGTGATACCCTGCACCACCTTGAGCCTCTATGGAGAATCCCCACCAGCAAGGCTCTTGCTCAATGTGGTTTCTTGACCTTGGACTTTCCAGCCTGCAGAACTACAATAATTCCATAAATTTCTTTTCTTTATAAATTACCTAGTCTGAGATATTCAGTTATAGCAACAGAAAATGGACTAAGACAAATGGGAACTGAAGCTGGGAGGGAGCCATAAAACCACTCCCCAGGGAACCAGGGCAGGGTCATTTCAGCCATGAAAAGCCCATTGCAGACATCTTTCCTTCAGCTGGGAGCCCAGTGTTGGGGAGAGATTGAAATAGATACCATCCCTCTTTCATGAACATATGAATAACAAAACCGATTCAGGAAATGTGACTTAGGGACACAGTAACCGTGTGCTTTCTAACACTGCATCCCAGGATCAGGCAGACTCGCCCTTCCACGCACTAGCACAGCTGCATCCCCGAGGCCTCCCACCGTGAGGCCTGCCTCACTAAGCACCTGGCTGAAAGCAATGATCATACTCTCTACAGGCAGGCAGATCCTAAGAGAGGGCCCGGAAGTGGCTGAGCCACATAACCTCAATTTCCTTTACAGGCTCACTAAGCAGTTCAACTACTAAAGAAAATAGAGTAAGAGACAGAGAGAAGCTAGGAATGTCACCCTAATCAAACTCCCTCATACGGAAATGTGAAAAGAGGAGAAAGTAAGTTCCTCCTCAACACTCATCCCAATTCCATTCTAAGTACACATAAGCCCCTTTTCAAGCCTCCCCAAAATAATATTATGAGTCAGGCTTTCAAATGATCAATAAAATTCACAACTTGCATAGAGCCACCGCTCATTACACACATACATGTACACATAAACATACACATACACATACACATACACATACACATACACATACACATACACACCTACTTAAGCAGGCCTGGGAAGCCTCCTACATGGAAGGTGAAAATGTCCAGTTGCTGAAGATAGGTGAGCTCCTCTGTGACCCCGTCTCAGAAGTGGACAATAAACATTTCTGAGCCTGGTCTGCTCTCTTGCAGCAGTCTAGGTCCAGTCACTGTCTCTTTTGCTTAAAGATGAGTCCATTCATTCGTTCATTCTTTATTCAATAGATATTTATGGAATGCTCACTATGTGCCAAGCACTCTGCGAGGCTGATTGTTCAGGAAACTGAAAAGCCAAAGGTGTTGGCAAACAGCAGCCCCAAACCAACCATTTGCCCAGGCCAGATACCTATTCATCATCCTTGACTCCTCCCCATCCTTCAAACCCCTTATCCAGTAGTCAGCCACCAAGTCCTGACATTCTAGGATTCAAGCATTTGAAAACCTTCCACTTCTTTCCATTCCTTCTGCTGTTCTTTGGTCCAGACCACCATGTTCTCTTCCTTGGATTGCTGCAGCAACTAGCAATTGATTTCCCTGCTTCTAAACTTGCTTTCATCCAGTCTAATTGCCACACCACGGTGTGAGTAAGGAATCTGGCCTCACCTAAGGAGAGATCTGGCATTCGTCCCAGCTCCTGGGAGGTAACCTCTAAATCCTTGCAATTTCCCAAGTGATAGGAGTATCTGTGTTATTCGTGGTGGGTCCCTTATTTAGTATGAGAGGACTCAGTGTATGGGTTGACCATGCCAGAAGGACCAACCATGTGGTTAGGGGGTTGGGGCTTTGGGCCTCATGATATCAGCCTGACCTCTGGGAAGGGGAGGAGGCCTGGAGATCGAGTCCACCCACAAGAGCAAAAATTCGATCAATCACAACTAGCTAATGAAGGCTCTGGACTTCATTATAGTCCAGTAAAAACTGTATGACAAAGCTTGAGTGGACTTCCTGCATAAATGTTGTCACATACAATGCTGGCAGGGCACTGTATCCTGAGGACACAGAAGCTTCATGTTTGAAACCCTCTCAGATTCTGCTGTATGTGTCCCTTTCTTTGACAGGTTCCAATTTGTATCTTTTTATTATAATAAAACTGTAATCATAAGTATAGCTCTTCCCGGATTTCCATGAGTTGTTCTAGTGAATCATCAAACCTGAAGGTAGTGTGGGAACCCCTGAATTTCTAGGCAACTTGTCAGAAGAGAAGGTGACCCTGAGGACCTCCAAACTTGGGGCTGATGTCTGAAGTGAGGGCAGTCTTGTGGAGACTGTGCCCTTAACCAGGAGTATGGCTAACTTGTTGTACACAGTCAGGGAGCTTTTCTAAAATGGGATCATGATCATATCACACGTCTACGGATCACACTTGAGGGATGTCTCGCTCTCCCTAGGACGAAGTCCAAATGCCTAAATACGGCTTCCAAGACCTCTGATGATCCAGGCCTGCTTAGCTCTCCATCTCACCCCCACCCCATTCCCCCTCAAACTTGACATTCCCACTTGCCACTGGCCAGGCGCTCCGTGCTCTCTCACTTTTCCAGACCTTGGGACATGTGGCCACTCATCCCGTAACATTCCCTCCACTCCCTTCTCTTGGCTGATTCCCATGAGTCCTTCAGGTGTCCACTTAGCGGTCACCTCCCTGGCACACCTTTCCACATACCTCCACCCAGTCAGAGCTAGATGCTCACGCCTCTCAATGCACATAGCTCACATGCTGAAGTGCCCTGGTCACTGTCTCCCACTCCAGACCATGAACTTTCTGACTATGAGGAATGTGTTTTCTTCCCTGTTATATCCTCCAGTGCTCAGCCAACTGACATACAATTCCAAAGAGATAAATAGCATTGTTACAAGGGAAAACACGGCAGACATCAAGGTGAATAGTGTTGAATGAATGAACTACTGCAGAGGAAGATTTTGGAAGGCTCTTCATTCTCCTTCATGGAGATGTGAAAGATGCCTGGAGTCAATTATAAGTCATCTTCCAAGACAGTTCCACCCACAGGTAGTTAATCTCATTTATTTGGGGCTGCTTTTTGTTGGCTTCAACCTCAGAGGATAAACAAGTTTGTTTTTGTTTTTGTTGCTGTTGTTGTTTTTGAGAAAGGGTCTCACTTTCTTGCCCAGGCTGGAGTGCAGTAGTGCAATCTCGGCTCACTGCAACCTCTGCTTCCTGAGCTCAAGAGGTTCTCCAGTCTTAGCCTCCTGAGTATCTGGGACTACAGGCATGAACCACTAATGCCCGGCTAATTTTTTTGTATTTTTGTAGAGATGGGGTTTTGCCGTGTTGGCCAGGCTGGTCTTGAACTCCTGAGCTCTAAGTGATCTGCCCACCTCAGCTTCCCAAAGTGCTGGGATTACAGGCATGAGCCACCGTGCCCACCAGGATAAGCTATTTTTAACTTTGTCTCCCAAATTTTGAGAAGTGTCCTGTTCTGAGGCCTGAATGCAACTCTGAATTGCCCTTTGGGCATTTCTTTGACTCCTGATCACATTTCTGATAATTTATATTTCCCACTCCACCCCATCTACAAGGTTTTAGGGTATTTGTGAAGAAAGGAGTATCAACAATGTACTACTTTTAAACATAAATAACTAGATTATGTATTAAAGTCATATTCATCACTGATTCGTACATGCATGAGTATATACTTTCTTATTGATATCTGTACTTTCTTATTGATCAATACTTGACAAAGCACTTGCTGGCATAGGCAAAATGGCATCTCCTTCTTCCTTTTGGCATTCAGTTAAAACAATCCACACAGGCTTCATCTTCCTTTCTTCTCTTTTTCCTTCCCCTCCCTTCCTGGCCTGGAAGAGTCACATAGGGCCCCTATGGGGTACTGACAGAGAGGGGGCTGCTGTGTGGAGTTCACTGATGATATGCCTGCTGGCACCTAAGGATACAGGGCACTAGAGGTGGGGACAGGGAGTAGAGGTGAAAGACACAGCTGCTGTCATTGGGAGATTGATTACGTTACAAAAATAAGTAAACTTATTGAGCAAATAAGTACATATCTTGAGGATAATGACAGTCCGGTTTCTTACTGTTGGAGAAGAGAATTACAAATATAGAAAAGAAGGAAACTATAAAGAACACTGAGGTGGATTGGAACTGGAGGTGTGAGTATCATCGACTTACTGTTTTCTGATATATAAACACAGGTAGATATGGAAATAGTTGTAGATGTGTGTATACACCTGTGAGTGTACATATGCACACATATATTTCCTAGATCTGTCCACTCAACAGGCCTAGAAGCAATGACACCTCAGTAACAAGAAGCACACTAAGGGCTCAGATTTTGGTTCCTAAACACCATCCTCCACTACAAGAAGGCAGGGCTCCTTGGAGAAAGAGCTAATTCCAGGCTGGAGAAGGAAAAGTACCATGATGAGCCTTGGTCATTTTGTAGTGCCAGAAAGTAAGACAGTGCTGAGAATGGTGGAGATGTGTCAGAAGGAGGCAGGAGCCAAGCTGAAGGGACTCCACTGGCCATATCTGGAGCAATGTGAACATCAAAATAAACAAGGACGGCAATGGAATACAATCCATTGAATAAAACAAGATTCCCTACTGAAATAAATATGCAAACGAACATAGAAAATGGGAAAGCTTTGTATTACAGTAGCCCACCAACTAATAAAATGAAAAGGAATGATGGAAATAGAAAACCATAATTTGGAAACTGTCATAGTTGTGGTTGATTCTGGCAGGAGACATCAATGGAGGCTAAGATTGGGAGATGCAAGTTTGATAAAGAACAGGATTACCTCCCCACAAAATGCCATCAATTTAAAGGGGGTAAATGGGGTCTTTATAGGAGAGAAACCTGGCAGACAAACGTTGGTACGTGACTGGTGATCAAAATAAACAGTTCCAGTTGTGGAATGGATTGACATCCTATGTCTCCTCCTTCCACCCCATGCAATTTGCTGAAATGAGAATAGCATCATTTCTGTGGTGTTCTTATCAAGGGAGCATGACCCAAGTCTGGACACCAGGACATTAGACAGACCCAGGGACGTCCTGCAGAATGAAAGGTTTGTACTCTTTAAAACAGTCGATGACATGAAAGACAGGGAAAGACTAAGAAACTGTTTCAAATTGGAGAAAACTAAAGAGGCACAAGAACCATGCAACTTGTATTCCTGGATATGATCTTGGACTAGAAAGGAAAAAGAGACATTGTTGGGACAGCTTGAAAATTTTGAATGGGGTCTGTGGATTGGATGGCAGATGTGTCCAAGTGCAAGCCCTGACTTGAAAGGTTCTATGGTGGCTATGTAGGAGATTATATAGTCCTAGTTCTGTAATAAATGATTTAACATGGCCAGGTGTGGTGGCTCATGCCTCTAATCCCAGCACTTTGGGAGGCCAAAGCAGGCAGATCACTTGAGGTCAGGAGTTCAAGACCAGCTTGGCCAACATGGTGAAATCCCCGTCTCTACTAAAAATACAAAAATGGCCCTGGCATCGTGGCGGGTGCCTGTAATCCCAGCCACTCAGGAGGCTGAGACAGGAGAATCGCTTGAACCCAGAAGGCAGAGGTTGCAGTGAGCCAAAATTGCGCCACTGCACTCCAGCCTGGGCAACAGAGTGAGACTCTATCTCAAATAAATAAATAAATACATAAATGATTTAACAGTTTGCCAAGGACCAAGGGAACAGCTTCCTCACTTCACGCAACAGAACATATAAAGATACATTTGAAACATCTTCATCCTTTGTTTATTTTCTAATATAATATGCTGAACTCCATCTAACATCATGGCATGGCCCCAACATCCTCTTTGGCCATTTGTCTTTCAGTCTATCGCTAAGAATTTATCTTCTTCCTGACCTGCTACTTCCTGGTTTTCTAACTTCAGGAGCTTTTTGTTCATTGAGGGTGCAAGCTTTTATTCTGCCTTGAAGCACTCTCCCCATTAGCTAGGAGATTTTTTGACAAGAAAGGTGTATCTAAGCCCATTTTCTGTAAAATCTGTCATTGCCTAAGTGGTACCCTGCTGCTTGAGTCCTCATTCGTCTCCATGGCAATGTTCTGAAACTAGTCTGCTTGTGTAAGTTCAAGGCCCATCAAATTATTTACCCTAACAGAGTCTTTGTATCCCACCAATGCACACACAGACACATTCAGTGCATCATAGCAGCAACCTTCAAAAACGTAGCCACAGTTTGGTTTATATTCATTTCAGAAACAACCTCATCTTTTGAACTGGATAGTCCACTCATCAGCTGAGCTTCGTTTACTCATCCATTCATTCATGTGTGTGGGCTTAGTGAGGGGTGACATAAAAACTTACCTCTTCCTTGGGGGCTGGAGTAGGAATCAGGGATGGCTTCATGGAGGAGTAGTTAGCTGACCACTGAAGGAGAAGGGCTTTCCTGACAAAAACAAAGCACAAAAGCATGGAGCTATGAATGAGATGACCAGGCTGGGGAATGGGGTGAAGGAGGGTGGTAATGAGAGGTACAGAGGAGAGGCAAGAGAGAAGGATGGGAACACTCTCCTAAGTATAAAATACTGAGGAATTGGCACTTTTCTTTAAGGCACTGAGGAAGATTTTAGGAGGAAATGCAGCATCCTCCGATTCATGTTTTCAAAAGCTCTCATTTGCTGCTGCACTGAGGTTTGATTAAAGGGTAAAGTCTCAGGGGCAGAAACACACTGACGAGGGCCTGAGCACACCACAGAGTGAGGGTGCACGGTGGAGATTCAGGCACCACTTCAGAGGCAGGCTGGGGAGGACCCAGTGACCATCAGATGGAGGAGAGAGGGACACTGCAGGGATTTCTGAGCCTGTTTAATGTCCAAGAAGGGAGAGTGTGGGAGAGAAGATAAAGAGTTTCATTTGGTACAGTTTGAGGAGTCTCTGAGACATTTAGTAATAAAATTAGATTTTGGCACACCCCCTGTCCTCCAATTTCCCCACACCCTTCATTCTCTATCACAGGGATGAAGCAACCTGATGAGCTAATCTCCACTGAGGTTGAATTAAGATTTAAAGGTTTAACCTGTGACTCCCCCACAGGAATTGCATTTTCATTTAACAGGAGTACCACTTAGCCAATCTTAATCAAAGGAAGGACTCTCTTTTAGCAAAATTCCAGGCAATGTGATGAGCAAGTTGGGGAGATGTTTTCAGGCAGGGAGATCTGCCAAACACCCCTCATATCACATGACAGAGGCTACAGCTACAAACTGTCTTAGTGAAGAGAATTCCCTGTTGAAGTTTCCCCTTCATTCCAAAAAACCCAGTTCATCCCATAAACAAAGGGATCTTCCTCCAGGCAGGACGATGATCTCTTATGGTGGGGTGGCGGGACAGCAGATGTCACAGAGGCCTGGGGTCACTGAGTTCAAGTCCTGGGTCTGCCATTTATTGCTGTATAATCTTGGGCAGTTATTTAATTTTTCTCTAAGACTCGACTTCACCATCCATTAAACAGGAGTTCAGAGCATTTGCCTCTGAGGCTGTTGTGAGCCCAGATTTAAATCACATGGTCACTGTAAACACTAGTTCCTTCTCCTCCCACCCCCAACCCTCACCTCCCCAACTTATTACTTCAGACTTGAAACACCATCAGTCATTCTCACTGCCTCCACCATTTATCTCAGTGTCTTTCAACACCCAATTCACTTAGAGAAGCCTAATTTTCTTCCTGTTCATGCGCTATTAGCTGCTCTGACAACTCTAGGTGATGAAAACCCATTTGTGTGGGACAGGCTGAGCCTCCACACCCAGCGGAGCGGGCTGTGTCTGCGAGCCGCCTGCAGGGGGCAGCATCGGGCAGCGTAAGGCAACGCCAGGGCTCCCTTGTAAAACGCTGGGGTCGGTCTGGGGAGGGCCGCAGAGAAGGCGTTTCAATTCAGACTCCAGCTGACAAAGGATCCATTTTACTCCATGCGGGTCTGACGCAGTCTGTCAGAGAGTCAGGTCTTTGGTAAACAAGAGTGCAGGGAGTGGCTATCCAAAAGCAACCCCGACCCGCGCAAGTCCAGCAGCGTTTTTCCCAAACCCACACCGGGACTAGGTTACCTTTTAATAAGCACGGGTGAGAGAAGCAGAAGACATCTCCTTATGAACTCACGGGGCCCTTGTTGCGGATGCGCCTTTCACCCCCAGTGAAGTAGTGGGAGAGAGCCCTTGACAAGGACAAGAAGGGGAGCTTAACCTCCCCCTCCCCATAAGCATTTTTAGATTTTCCCACACACTCAGCCCCTTCGAGGAGTCCTGGAGAAAACAAAAGAAACAGACACAGATGCTGATTCTAAAGAAGCTATTAATATTGTTGAAAAGACATGCAGATGTGAAGCTGGGATGCAAGGGTACACATGATCATGCTCTGTTTCTGAGAAAGCCTGGTGGCTCCGTGTCCCCAAAGCCCCAGGATGCACAGGCCAACCTGGGATGAATTTCTATGATTTGTGAATTTGTTGACGTGGAAAAACAAAGGGGCAGAACGTTTAAAATCAATCAAGCCTGCCCTGGAAGTCCAGAATATGGGATCGCCGAAGGGACAGATGATCAGAGCTGTAGGAATTTGAGGAAGGGAGCTATTGATGAATGTGGTGTTAAGTGGCCTGGACAAGCCAGTGGACTTGGTCATTCCTGAGAGCCTCGGGCCTCTGTGCCAATGAGAGACACTCATCACCCACTCTCCTATTGACTTTGGCTGGGGAGGGGAACTGCTATGTCACCATGACATCATCACCTTCCAGGAATCATCGAGTCAGCCTCAGCCCTCGAGGCCCCGGAAGTGGAGGCCCCAAGGCAGGACCCACTCACTTCCTCCTAGCCAAAGGCCAGGGGAGAAGGGGCTGCTCCCCACAGAGCTTTGGGCCTGTTTTTCACCACCCTCTCCCAGTACTCAAGGCAGCCAGGACCTGACCCAGGGTAGGTCAGCTTTGCAAAGAGACAGACATCAGCATGGTGCCAGCTGCACCACGCCCACCCACACTCTCACACTGTGGGAGAGAGGCCCCCAGTGGAGAATGGCAGTGGCTGAGAGTTGAAATGCAAGCATCCCTGGTAGAGGTCGGGCTTGTAGCTTTACCAGTCCTTCATACCTCCTTATGTACATGAGCTTCTAAGGGAAAAAATGTGATGGAGGAAGGAATTAGGAATGAAGTAAGAGGGAGTGGGGGCTGGCAGGAACAAGTGCAGAAAGCCGAGGTGGGGAGGGCTAAAAGGAAACCTGTGCCCACTTCATAGCTGAAGGTCACTGCAGATCTGGTGTCACCTGCAGATAGTCATGGGGGGAGGCAGATCGGTCCAGGCCCATTCCTTTCCGGAAAGACAGTGAGCACCACACAGCTCAACTCATCCCATGGCCAGAAGCCCAGGTACAGCACCAGAGGGTATCCACCTGTGGCCCTCAGGGGGTGACTTCCTCTTGCCCTTTCCTCCAGCATAGTCACAGGTGCCTCCCCCATCTTCCCCATATCAGAACTTTCCCTTCTCTGCTAAGAGGATTCAAACCAGTATCTGTCCACACCACATCAGCATCTGTTTCATCTTTTCATTAAACTCAGTGTTCCATTGCTCTGTAAGCTGGTCTTAGGAAAAAGAAAATTAACCAGTAGGCAATAATACGATTTTCTAGCATGGCAAACATCCTATACTCCTCCTACCCCCACTAACACACACACACACATACACACACACACGTGTGCACACACACAATTGGCCATGTTTACTACATTGATTCACTTAATGCCAACAACACCCTGCCAGGTAAATATCTCCATCTTCCAGCTGAGAACACTGCAATTCAGAAAGGGAAAGGAAGTTCTCCAGGGCACACAACTAGTGAGTGACAAAGCCAGTCTCAGAAGCCAGGTCCGTCTGTCTCCAAGGAGCTGGGATCTTTGCATTTGGGTACTCTGACTCAAAATAGGAGCCTCCTCTGCCTCTGAGTCAGAAACTTTAAAATTAGAATTTCATTCAGCGATTCACAAAATCTTAAGGTTGGAAGAAATGTTGAAGGTTGTCCAGGTCCATGACCCGGCAGACATCTGCCTCTCCTGCATAGCAGTGTTCTGGCTTCTGCTTGGATGCTCCATATCCAGGAAGTGTCCTGGTTCAGCCCATGCCGGTTTAGAATTATTAGATGGTTCTAGTGGTTTTGGAGCTGAACTCTCTCCCTATAACATCCATGCATTGGGTCTCCTCTTGGGAACATACAGAACCTAAGCAGTGTCACCCCTAAATTCTCTTTCACCAGACTGTGTGTTCTCAAGTCCTTGCAAGCTGCTCTTATGTGGAGGTTTCTCCCCACTCTCCTCTGTATGGGGGTCTGGTTTGTCTGTTCAGTCTCGAAGGGAGACCCAGCATGACTGTAATTCTCCGGAAGGGAGCTGACCAGCCCTGAGAAGAATGGGAGCAGGTTCCACTGAGGAGACTGTAACTTGTTCATTTATTTACAGATCTTAATACACTGGGGACTCATTTTGACCTTATTATGAATGAAAACCCTTAAATGCCTTTCCCATATGCTGTCCCTAAGCCACACCCTTTCCTGCCCCTGTGCGGCTGGGTTTGAGATGTTTATAACCTGTTCTCTCGGGTTAGGCAATGGCCTGAACATGCTCTTGTATGGTCTGACCAGCCCCCTGCTGCCCGGGCCTCTCCTCAGTGCTCCCTGGCACTGCTGACCCTCTAGGGCCCAGCCACATCCTCCCTCTGGCCCTGCTCTGGTTGTCCACTCTGAGGCTCAGCCATGGGGCCTCCTAGGCCCACCTCTGCAGCATGCTGGCTCTTAATTCCCAGCCTCCTTATGCCCCGCAGGAGGCACCTGGGAAGTCGCGGATACACCTTCATGCAGGTCGTGGAGAAGCAAGGGCCACTGTCTCAGCCCTTCCTCTGACAGGACACAATTTGCCAGCATTTCCACCATGCCGGGGCTGCCCTGCAGACACCTGCAAGGGACTCTCTTCCCAGATATCCAAATGGGAAGTAGGCGGCAGGCCCCTCTACTTTCTACCTCCTATCTACCTATGTAGGCTGTTTCTACCACCTTGCCCCTACCCTTAGTTCATGGGTGGTGGGTGGGGCACACAGCATGGTACCCTGCTCCCTCATTGTGTCAATCTCCCTCCAAGCCTCTCCCAGCACCAGCTGGGTTTTTCTTCCTTCCTGTGGGGCAGGCACTTCCTTTGTGTGGAATCCTCTGTTCTCTCCACTGTGGCTTCACACATCAAGCCATGCTCAGATCCCCCCAGCTCTGCTCTGGATTTACAGAAGGGATCTTCTTGGAAAGTAGAAAAAATATATCCCTCTTATTAACCAGGCTCTCAAAATTATTGACTATTAGCTTGCTATGGACTTTTTAAAATCTGGTTTGAAACACAAAACTGAGGAAGGCTTCTCTGTTCTAGGATGTCTGGGGCTTCCCTAAAGCCACTAAACCCGTTGATTCAGTGAATAGGAGCACTTGATTACTGAGAGTGAAAATCCATTGTTTTAATATCTCAGAGATAATACTTGACTTCTTTCTCACGGCCCTAGACAAACATCTAAAGAACTTGCTCTTTTTGCCTCTTATATTCATACGTTCCTCTCCCTTTACCACCAAGTCCTTCACGTGTCCTGAATCTGTTTCTCCCAGGACTCTACTTGACTCTTCATAAACATACCCCTAACTTATTTTAGGGGATTCTCTTTCACTCATTAGTCATCCCACCATGTGGCACAAAGGTCACACCTCCAAAGGTGTGCCGGCATCTGCTCACATCACCGTGTTTTCAACACAGGCATTAGCATATTTAAAACCAATTAAACTGTGATTATTTTCACCCCAGCCACATTACTCTCAACCCACTTAAGATGGGTGGGAAAGTGGGGTTTGTTTGTGTTTAAACCACATAGCCCAATTTATTACAAGCATAGATGCAGCCCTGGCAACATAGTGAGACCCCATCTCTACAAAAAAATTAAAAGTTAGCTGGGCATGGTTGTGCATGTACCTGTAGTCCCAGCTACTGAGGAGGCTGAGGAAGGAGGATCGCTTGAGCACAGGAGTTTGAGGCTGCAGTGAGCTATGATCATACCACTGTACTCCAGCCTGGGCAACAAAGTGAGACCCTGTCTCAAAAAAATAACAATAAATGAAAAATAAAATAAGCGTAGATGCAGCAAGGTCTCCACCAATGGCTATACCTCCCCTGTGATCCTCCTGGAAGCATCATCCCCAATGGCATGTCCATCCTGGACACTGACTCCAGGGATTGGGCTTCTAAAGCTCATCCTCACCAAACCCAGCAGGGCCCTCTAACCACTAAGGCCCTCACACAACTCTGCTTGTCCTCCACTTTGAGTCAGTCACCAACCAGCACGACTTGGCAGGTTCTATAGCATCCACCTCCCAAAATCCCTTCACGCCATAACGCTTCCCGACCATGGGAGCATTTTGTCATCAATCTCTTCAATGTGCTTCATTCAACAAACATTTATGAACAGCCTCACAGTCAAGCACTGTTCTGGACTCTGCAACTATAACTATTAACAGGCTTCCAAAATTACATTCTGGTGGAGGAGACACAATGTAAAAGGACACACATGAAAAAACAGAGCACTGTGGATTGTTTTTTTGTTCTCTGAAGGAACAAATGGGATCAGCCAAGAGAGTAGAGGGAGGCCACTTTAGGAAGGGACATCAAGAAAGATGTCTCTGAGGTGGAGGCCAAGATTTAAACTACACCTGACAGGTGCATCCTACAGTCTCAGGACAGCCACAGAAGGAGCCCAGAGCCAGGAAGGAGCTGGATGTCTTCAGGCAGCCCAGGGCAATGTGGTGGCAGAGAAAAGAGAAAGGAGGCGAGAAGCAGGAGGAGCAGAGGGACAGGGACAGGCTCAAAGCCGGGGGTTTCACTCTCAAGGCTGGGAAGCAGCATGGCCTGACAGACAGTTCAGCGCTCACTCCAGCTACCAAGAGGGGAATGGAACCTGGGGTCGGCGCAGGGGTGCCAGTGGGGAATCAAGAGTCCCATAGGCGGGTGGGGTGTGGTGGCTCACGCCTGTAATCCCAGCACTGTGGGAGGCCGAGGCGGTCAAGGGGTTCACGACCAGCCTGGCCAACATGGTGAAACCCTGACTCTACTAAAAATGCAAAAATGCAAAAATTAGCCAGGCGTGGTGCTGTGTGCCTGTAATCCCAGCTACTCAGGAGGCTGAGGCAGAGAATTGCTTGAACCCGGGAGGCAGAGGTTGCAGTGAGTTGAGATCACGCCACTGCACTCCAGCCTGGGTGACAGAACAAGACTTCATCTCAAAAACAAAGAGTCCCATAGGTGATCACCTTGTGTGGATGAGAAGCAATGACTCGGGGTTGGCGAAGAAGACGGAAGGCCCTAGAAGGATGGAAATACAATCTGAAGGGAGGTGTATTTTGGAGGCAGGACTAACCATTGGCATATTGTTGTTGTCAGACTTTAGGACAGTGTGTGAAGGAGCATCTCACCCTGGGAGTCAGAGACACTGGGGTGAGGGAAGTGGTCACGCATCCACAGAGGTGAGGAGCTGCTCAAGGCAGGCCCCGCTGTCTGTGTGCGTGCTCCGTGTCTCTGTGTGTGTGTGGTGTGTCTATGTGTCTGTGGTGTGTCTGTGTGTGATGTGTGTCTGTGTGTGTGGCGTATGTCTCTGTGTGTGGTGTGTCTATGTGTCTGTGGTGTGTCTGTGTGTGATGTGTGTCTGTGTGTGTGGCGTATGTCTGTGTGTGTGGTGTGTCTGTGTGTCTGTGGTGTGTCTGTGTGTGTGGTGTGTCTGTGTGTCTGTGGTGTGTCTGTGTGGTGTGTCTATCTGTGTGGTATGTGTGTGGTGTGTCTGTGTGTCTGTGGTGTGTCTGTGTGTGGAGTGTCTGTGTGTCTGTGGTGTGTCTTTGTGTGTGTGGTGTGTCTATGTGTGTAGTGTGTCTGTGTGTGTGTCTCTATGTATATGATATGTTTGTGTCTGTCTGTGGGGGGTATGTCCGTGTGTGTGTCTCTGTGTGTGTGTGCACACGTGCGCACAATTGAGGGAAGAGCTAAAAGCCTTCCAGAAAAATCCAGTAGGGGTTGGGGGTGGAAAGAGGCAGGCTTCGCCAAATACTAACAACCTGAATATTAAAAGAAGCTGTGCCTCTGGCCATGACATCATCGCTCCCTTCACAAAGTGTCCAATGGGGCATTTCCTGGTCATAGCAAAGGAATGGTGAAAATCAGCTGCACATCACAGCTGAATTGCTTTCTCCTATTGTTTTCTCATAAATATGAGGTTCTGAGCTATAGGTGGGCATTTCCAAGCTAGCTTCAGAACTGTGCCTCCATTCCCACAGTAATTCTGCAAGGCAAGGGGTTCTGCGTTCCTAACAAGCGGTCTAGAAATAAAGCCTTGGGAACAACTCAGAGGAAGTCACTCGGCCTTACACAAATTGCAGGCGGAGGACAGTTCCCTCTTTTGCAGATCACACTGTCACAAATCAGCTTTTTCTTATAAATCAGCATCTCTGCTGCTTACTCATGTTCAGCTTGTGGCCAACTATGACACTCCAGGAATTGTTTTCTTCTGTAATTTGACCCAGGAGGGTTTGAGCTGTAGTTTTTATGCCGGTTCGTAGTAGTATGGCCCAGAGGAGCCATCACAGGCAGCATTCTGAAGGAGTCTTTTAGAGAAAGCTGCACCTCCTTATGAACAAAGGCTAAAGAAAGTTTATTATCTTGGAATCCAGGGTGAAAACAATTCAGTTTTTTAAAGATCTATAAAAGTTACCCAAGGCTTCTTAGACCCTGCCAGTCTGAGACACAAAAACAATAGAAATCCATATTTGCCTGGCTCTGAACCACACCGCTGCAGCTCCCCCACCCCTAGAACCCCACCCAGCAGTTCCAGATGTCCCCACAAGGGCTCTCAAGTTCTCCAGAGAGGACAGTAGTCAGAGGCTCAGACAGGCAGGGACTCCAATGATGACTGGTGACGTGAGCCTCAGTTTCCTTATCTGTAAACTGCAAAATGTAAAATCTGAAAAGCGGAGATAAATCTCACTTCATGGTGTTGTTCTAAGGACTAAACGATCCAATATATGTAAAAGACCTAAGCCCAGTGCCAGGCATCTGGTAAGTAGTCAATAAATGCTACCCACCACTACTACCAGCCACCCCCATTACAGCCTCCTCATCAATACCCATCCCTGCTCCGGCTCGCCTCCCTCCCGACTCGGGCGTTCTCTCCATGCCTCAGATCCAGTCACCTCTCCCAAGGATCTCCTTGGTCTTCTCAGGAACCTGGCCAGCCTGCCCCAGCAGACATGCCCGGGCATGCCTCCCTCACCCTCAGCCTCATGCTGGGCTGCTGCCACGCAGATGCAGACACCCAGGGACACACAGGCAGAAACACCCCACTACAGTCTCGCTGCTCTCTGTCCTTGCCTGCCCCTCCCATGGGGCACACCCATCCCCAGGCTCCCAAGCTGGGGGACCAAGGCTCTGAAGAAACTAGCGCCTGGCAGGGATGGCACTGTGAAACCACAAGGCTGTTTAAGAGTCACGGTCACTGTCAGGGGGCCCACAGGAGAAGTCAGTAGTGAAAGCCAAACACAAAACACCCAGGATGAAATCAGGCAAATTGGAGAAAGTAGCTGGGGGCACAAGGACACTTGGGTGGAAGACAGAGGAAAGATGCGGGTCACATAGCAGCTTCCCCTAATTCCCACGCTCCTCCACCCCGCCTTGAAAATCTGGCATTGTCAACACAAAGCCGGAAAAACCCTGGAGGCAACAATCTCAAACCTGAGACTTAATAAATGCCAACTCTGTCATTTACAGAATGACCTTTGACAAGTCTCTCTTCTTCTGGGGGAACCACAATTTCCTCTTTTTTTTTTTTTTTTTTTTGAGACGGAGTTTCACTCTTGTCACCCAGGCTGGAGTGCAATGGCACGATCTCGGCTCACTGCAACCTCTGCCTCCTGGGTTCAAGCAATTCTCCTGCCTCAGCCTCCCAAGTAGCTGGGATTACAGGCATGCGCCACCACGCCAGCTAATTTTGTATTTTTAGTGGAGACGGGGTTTCTCCATGTTGGTCAGGCTGTTCTCGAACTCCCGACCTCAGGTGATCTGCCCGCCTTGGCCTCCCAAAGTGCTGAGATTACAGGCGTGAGCCACCACGCCCGGCCCACAATTTCCTCATTTCAAAACAGGAGAGCAGCCCAAATGGCATGAATATCTGCAGGCAGGCCCTGGCCGCTGCCCTTACCTCAGCTGCACTCATTAATTCACCTTCCCTGAGCGCCTGCTCTGTGCTGGGGGCCACTAGGCCTGGGAAGCAAAGGCTGAAGGCTGCTGGAGAAATCTGGTCTTAACCATTCCCACGCAGGCATGTGGGCAGGCAGTGCGGGCTGGGTGTGCAGAGAATGCACTGAATTCACCTACAGGGTCTGTCGCCTGAGCCTCTTGAAGGAACACAGGGAATTCAGGTAGAGAAGGCAGAGAGGACATTCCAGGAAGGGAAATGAAGGTGGGGAGGGAATGACAAGTGTGGGGTTTCTCAGGGTAGAAGAAGTTGTGAAGCGAGGGGTAGCAGGTGTGAGGCTGGAGGATTACGGCCATGTGCTCTCTCAGGAGCCTGTGGGAGGTGGGCGTATCCCATCCAGGCCAGGAGCCGCAGGAACCTGTCTGTGCCTTGGGTCAAGGTCATGCTGACTGCCTGAGCAGCAGGGGCCTGGTTGGGCGATCCCTGGAGAGGCAAGGGGCCAGCACAAGGTGGTGGCAGTGGGAACAAAGAGATGGAGAGGAGGGGAAATGGGGAGAAGCTGGCTCTCTGTAGAGAGTGCCACTGGCTCAGTCAGTTCAGGGATGCAAAGCAGACTCATTTTAAAGACCTGCTGTTCCCTTCTTCCCACTATACTCAGCAGCTTCAACCCCTCACTCCCTTGAATAAGACCAGCCTGTAATTAGCAAACCTCAGTAAACAAACCAGTGGTAGCGTCCTCAGCCCAGGCTGCAGGTTAGCCTCATATGGGGAGCTTGGGAACTTTTTAAATGCCAGTGTCCATGACCTTCCCCAGACCCAGGGAATCAGAACCTCTAGGGATGGGGGACTAGACTGCTGCATTTTTTTCAAGCTTCCAGGTAATTCTAATGTGCAGCCAGGGTTGAGACCTACTGGGCAGGCGTCTTTAGAATCGCTGGTTTCCTTAAGCTGATGATCTTCTAGTGCCTTAGTGAGGTGGGGATGCTGTCTCATCCAGGCCTTTGCTCCTGCTGTTCTCATTGCAGAGATCACTGTTGTCCCTTTCCCCCTGCCTGGGTCAGTTTCCTACCTACCTCAGGTCTCAGCTGAGGCAATATTTTCTCTGCAGAGGCACCCCCAAGCTCCCCAAATCTGGGTCATGGGCTGCTCCTATACTGTTCTTGCCTGTTTACGTGTCTGTACCTCCCAACTCTTACCTCTTCTGGGGTGGGGGGGATTTTAGCTTAGCTATCATTTATCCGACATGGAGTAGACACAATATACACACTTCTTGGGTGAGAAAATGAATGAATGAATCTTATTTACACTCCCATTTGCTTCTTCCTAGAATTGGAATTAATTCAAGTCCAAAATTTGAGTTCAAAAAGTTTTTCCCCTGTACCAGTAGAGTGTTTGAAAAGAGGAGGGAAGACCGGGTGTGGTGGCTCACACCTGTAATCCCAGCACTTTGGGAGGCCAAGGTTGGGTGGATCACCTGAGGTCAGGAGTTTGAGACCAGCCTGGCCCAACATGGTGAAACCCCGTCTCTACTAAAAATACAAAAATTAGGCTGGGCGCAGTGGCTCACACCTGTAATCCCAGCACTTTGGGAGGCCAAGGCAGGCAGATCACAAGGTCAGGAGATCGAGACCATCTGGCTAACACAGTGAAACCCCGTCTCTACTAAAAATACAAAAATTAGCCGGGCGTGGCAGCGTGTGCCTGTAGTCCCAGCTGCCGGGGAGGCTGAGGCAGGAGAATGGCGTGAACCCGGGAGGCGCAGCTTGCAGTGAGCCGAGCCACTGCACTCCAGCCTGGGCAACAGAGCAAGACTCTGTCTCAAAAAAAAAATACAAAAATTACCTGGGCGTGGTGGCAGGCGCCTGTAATCCCAGCTACTCGGGAGGCTGAGGCAGGAGAATGGTGTGAACCCAGGAGGCAGAGCTTGCAGTGAGTCGAGATTACGCCACTGCACTCCAGCCTGGGCAACAGAGTGAGACTCCATCTCAAAAAAAAAAAAAAGGAGGTGAACAGGTGGGTGGAGGGGACAGGATACTCACAGCCAGGACGGCCACTCCAGCAGCAGGAAGCTCCCTCCTCCATCTGCCAGGCAGTGCCTTTGCCATGGCCCCTTGAACCAAAATGTCTCCCCCTTCCCCTGCTGCCTCTGGATCCAGGCACGCTGTCACACCCACAAGGCCTGGAGCTTCGGAAGGATGGAAGAGGTTTTTCCGGGGAAACAGAGAGAAGGCCTTGCTGGGTCTGGGAGGGGGACTTACCCCCTCTAAGGAAATTCTTTATCAGCAACTTCCCTGAAGGTCTGAGGGACACCCCCACCCCTGGAGGCCTTGCACAGGGGAGCACCTGCAGACATGGCCTGCACAGTCGCAGTCTCTGACCCTCAGCACCAGCTGGTCACTGGGGCCCTGCAGCTCCCCGGGGCATCCAAGGTTCCAGTGCCACTGGGAGGTGCAGAATGTAAGGCCAAGAATCACAAAGGGTGAGCTCAGCACCTGGCGGGGTGGGAGGAGGGTGGGCAAGGAAGAAGCTGAACATGTTCCAGACAAGGTTTTAGGGTTGATTATCAGGGAGCCCCTGCTGTTCACTGTTGGCCCCCCCGAAGGTCCAGCAAACCACTGACAACCACCAGGTTCAAAATAAAAATCCACTCCCTCCTTCTTCTTCCCGTCCCCTCCCCGACTCAAAGGCACCTTCTCTCTGTGACTTCCCCATTTCTATAAATAACCCCTCCATCATCATTTCAGTCACTTTTGAATCCTCTCAGGCCCCGACTCTCACCCACTCATCCCCTGTCCCCACCCAGTGTCCCTGTAGATGCGGCCTCCTCACCACCCCTCCATCTTTGTGCCCCCACAGTGCTTTTCTGCCTCAGCCCTGCTGCTCTTTGTTCCCCTGCATTCCAACCCCTCAGGCCACTGCCAGGACAGGCCCACCCATGGGACTTCCCTCATCAAAACCATCATCAGACCCCACCCCTATAAAGAAAATACAGCCTCCCCGAGTGGCATTAAGACTTCATACAATGAACCAGGTGATGTGGCACAGGTCTGTAATCCCTGCTACTAGCAAGACTGAGGTGGGAGGATCACCGCATCCCAGGAGTTCAAGGCCAGCCTGGGCAACATAGTGAGACCTCATCTCAAATAAATAAATAAATAAATAAATAAATAAATAAATAAATAAATAAATGAATAAATGGAGAATGGAAAAAAAAAAAAGACTCCACAAATGGACAACATGCCTCCCTGGCCTGACTCTTCCAAACAGCACTCCACAATCTGCCCTTTTCTCAGATCCCAAAATAGGCCCTGTGCTTTGGTGCCTGCTATTTTCTCCATTTGGAAGAAATATCACCCTTCCAAGAGTCAATGTCCTGCTCATTCTTCAAGGCCTCCTCCATGCAACCCTCCCTGACACCCCCACCAGCTGTGCCCCTCCTCCACTGCACTCCTTCAGGCCCAGCCTTTGTTGACCCCTGGCCACAGTTTGGAGAGCAGTTTCGCCCCTTATTGGCTGTGTGATGGTGGGCAAGTCCCTTAGCCTCTCTGGGCCACGGCTTCTTCATCCTTCTCAAGGGTGCTGCAAGGACTGATTGGGACCACCTGCCGTGCAAAGCCCTGCACGTCGTAAGTGCTCGATACACAGCAGTTGCTGCAAGTCATCTCTAGCCCTTCTTCAGGTGGCTCAGCTGTGAGCCTGTCTGCAGATGCACACGAACAGACATCTCCCAAGATCTCTGCTTGCTGTCAGCTGTCCGCTGGCCACATCTGGTGACCTTGCTCAGGGATCTTCTGAGCCGCAGCCTGCCCTTCCTCAAGGTGAGCGTGCCCCGCTGGCAGCAATTGCTTCCCCCGTGGCCTGCCCTGCTCCCCATGGCTCCTCGGGGAGCATGTCTAAGGCACATTCTCCTCCAGAGCCCAGCAGGGCTGAACCACTGCAGGGACATTTTGAGGCAGGATGGAGCACCCCCACACCAGCACTGGAGCTGCAAAGTGCTTCCTAGAGCTGCCAGCCTGTGATCTTCAAGTGAACTTAATGGTGGAAGAAAAAAATCTTGACACTTGGTTGATGTTAAATGGACCTACATGCACTAAATCAGTCACACTCAACTTTCTCATGCCTAGTGTGCTCTCCCAGTGCCTCAGTCGTGCGTTCATTTGCAAAGATTTCCCACTTCAAGGACAGTACTTTCCAGATGGGACTGGAAGACAGACCCTGATAAGGCCTTATGCAGATGACTTGGCAGATTTTGGGCTAACCACACCTCAGGGCCAGAGTGTAGAGGGAGGGGGCCACTGCCTGGAAGAACTCAGCAGGGAGAGGAGCTCAACTCTGAGCGGGCTCCAGGAACAGAGCCAGGGAAAGGCAGGCATTCAACCCAAGTCCAGTCTGTATTGTCCTCAGCAGAGAAAATAGCCCATTCTCTGTGTCCTCTGTGACTACACCAAATGCAGACCGTGAGCCCAAATGAACATGGCACCAGAGAAGCACAAAGCCACATGCTTTTATTGTTATTCCTGTGTCTGCATCATTCATGCCACGCCATTGGGACCTGATGGAAGACACGGGATGTTCTGCCATCCGGCAGGGGACAGGTGCTTCAAAGCCTGTAAAATCCCAAACGTGACATTCTTTAAAGTCATGCCTCTAATGCCCTCAGTAATGCATTTTTACTCCCCAGGTGAACCCCATCAAAGGGGTATTAGTAGGAGACGTTTTCTTCCCACCCCTAGGGAGTCCGCAGTTGGTGCCTGCCATGACTGGGAACCAACCTGCATGGCCACTGGGCAGGGCCAGGCTGGGCCCCAGGCTGCTCTGCGGAAATTCACGCTGCAGGTCTCAGCCGCCCCTCCCTTTGACCCTCAGCCTGACCAGGGAAGGGCATCCGACCCACACACTCTCACTTCCTCTTTCCAAGAACAGAAATAAGGCACCAACTTAACACATTGTACTTGGAGAGAGTCTTGCACCCCTTTCAACTCCTGGACATCGTTCTTTCCTGAGTGCTTTTCTTCCCTCTTCTGCAGCACTCCCTTTCCTCTCCACACAGCATTCTGGTTCTGGCTTGCTCTCTCTGCTCTCTTCTCCCTTTGAGCTCTCGTACCCAGGATCCTAGAGCGTCCGTTCCTTCTGGGCTTTCTTTCTCCCCCCCATCTCTCATGTCTCCCTCCTCCTTTCCTCCTAAGTCCCAAGCCTAGAGTCCCCTCCACCTCTTTCCCAGGCCCTGCTCCCCTCTGTCTCAAACTCCTCCTTCTCCTCAATTCAGAAGAAAGCTGGCCAGAGAGATCTCCTGTCTCCTCCCCCTTCACTTCCCCTCCTCTCCCCGCAGGCACACAAAAGGGGACAGAGGCACCAGATGGCCCGGTGCTAAAAGAGGGGCTCAGGGAGGCTGCCGCCCACAGAGGCCCCTGCTGGGCCTTCAAGCTAGTCCAAGCTGCTGCCGGGCCCAGCCGCCCAGCTGGCAGAGGAGCAGGGCAGAGGACCAGCATCCCCAGTACGAGGCCAGCTCCCCCTGCCCGGCCTGCCCTGGGGCCAGCCTGGAGAGGGAGCACGCTTGCCAGCTGAAAAGCAGAGGGTGTCACCATGTGTCCAAGCCTCAAGCGCCAGGGGCAAGGGTCCGATGGCCCGTGGGGACACTGGGCTTCCTCAGGAAGAAGGAGAGGAGTGGCTGGCAGTCTGCTCTTTCTATGGAACAGGCTGTGCCAAGGAGGGGGCCTCAGCAATGGGTGAGCAGACCACAGGGGAGCCAACAATCCCCCAGTCCCCTCACAAAAAAGAAGATTTAATGACGCATTGGTTAATGTTAACAGCTACCATTCATTCAGTGGTTAGCTGGGCCAGGCATTATGCTAAGTCATTTCCTATAACATCCCTAATCCTTCAAGAGTTCTGCAGGGTAAACATTTTGATCCCTATTGTACAGACAAGAAAACTGAGGCTAAGAGAGGTTAAATGACTTCCCCAGGCATCATAGCTGGAAAGTCAGTTAACACAGTTTATTCCAGGGTTCAAGCGATCCTCCCACCTCAGCCCCACAAGTGATTAGGTCTATAGGCACGCACCACCCTGCCCATAGTGAGACAGGATCTTACTGTGTTGCCCAGGCTGAGCTCAAATGACCCCCCCAGCCCCACCACAACCACCACCTTGGCCTCTCAAAATGCTGGGATTACAGATATGAGTCACGGTGCCCGGCCTAGTTAATACAGTTTAAAGTTTCTTTTCCAGTTAAGATTCTGTAAGTCCTGCTAAGGTGGTGTTGCAAAAGCAGGCACCTAACAATGTCCCCACTAAGGCCTTCAATAAAGCCACAGGCAGGCCAGGCGCGGTGGCTCATGCCTGTAATCCCAGCACTTTGGGTGGCCAAGGCAGGCAAATCACATAAGTTCAGGAGTTTGAGACCAGCCTGGCCAACATGGTAAAACCCCGTCTCTACTAAAAATACAAAAAAATTAGCTGAGTGTGGTGGCACATGCCTGTAATCCCAGCTACGCAGGAGGCTAAGGAAGGAGAATTGCTTGATCCTGGGAGGCAGAGGTTGCAGTGAGCCAAGATTCCACCACTGCACTCCAGCCTAGGCGACAGAACAAGACTCCATCTCAAAAAAAAAAAAAAAAAAAAAAAAGCCACAGGCAGAAGCTTCCAATTCAGTTCTCCATTGCACATGCCTGTGTTGCTTTTTTAAACATCAAGCTCCCAAGTCCCCTCCTCTGGAGGTTCTGATGTACCCCAGCCTCTCCGGAGACACTTGTGCAGGAACAAGAGCTGTGAAGCAGGGCAGACTCGAGTTCCCAGTACCAGTCACGTGACATGGGAAAAGCTACTTCCAACCCTTGGAGCCTCAGTTTCCTACTATTAAAAAAAAAAATGGAGATAATAATGTTTGCTTTACCCATGTGTCATGAGGAGTCTAGGCTGCTTGGCACAGTGCCAGGTGCTCCATAGGTGCTCTGCTGACGTCAGCTCCCCTTTCCTGCCCTTCAGAAACCTGATGCTGCAGCATCCACACTTCAGAGAGCTAAAAAGAAAGGGGCATAGCCCATGGATACTACTCCAGTTAAGCTGACCTTTGGTTCTGGCCTTAATCTAAGTCCGTGCACCCTGCCCCAGGGTCAGGCAGCTCCCACAGGGCTGCAGGACAACAACAAGCCGGCGTAGGCTGGGGGATTTCCAGGGGCGGGACCTCTGCTTTCAGAACTTCCACGGAAAGGCCTCAAAACTGACCAGCTCCACCTGCAAAAGGTCACTATCCAGGCTGGCTGAGAGTCTCTGGAAACCTATCAGTCCATCAAACTGTTCCCCAGTCTTCCTTCCATCATCTGCCAGAGCCCGTATTTCCAGAGCCACCTCTACCAGCTGCCCCTCTGGATGCAACAGGCCCGCCCCCAGGTTCAAGCCCTCCTGCCTGGCCCAGCCGCCATGAGCCCCTCAGGCCATTCTCTCCTGCCAGCCCTAGGCATTTCCCAACCCTCACCTAAAACCCATGTCCCAATTTAAAAGGCAATGAGTGGCTTCCAAATACACCCTTACCTGTTTACTCAGAGTTGACTTTGAGTTACCTGGAAGATGCGCCCACTCCCAATAGCCTGGGTGACAATCTTTCCTTTCCACCTTTTTAACAGAGGACAAGTGAGTTCCAGGAAATGCCTGGAGTGCCTAGCTACCTCTCTGGAGTACACTCAAACCCACACTCATTCTCGCTAAGCAACTTGGCGGAGGCCCTGTTTCACAGGCACCATGCTGGGCACATCTGCCTTCCTCAGCTCCCCTTCTTGAGAAACTGGGAGGTAGGTGCCGGTATCTTTATTTTATACATGAGGGGACTGAAGCATTAGGCCATCTGTATAAGCTCCCACATCTGATGAGTGGTGAACTCAGGATTTAATCCCAGGACTTCTGGGTCCCAGACAAGAGCATTTTCTACTCCACTGTGTCTGCCTCTAAAATCTACCTCAGGCCAGGCGTGGTGGCTCATGCCTGTAATCCCAGCACTTTGGGAAGCCAAGGCAGGTGGATTACCAGCGATCAGGAGTTCAAGACCAGCCTGACCAACATGGCAAAACCCTGTCTTTACTAAAAATACAAAAATTAGGCCGCACAGTGGCTCACGCCTGTAATCCCAGCACTTTGGGAGGCCAAGGCAGGCGGATCACAAGGTCATGAGATCGAGACCATCCTGGCTAACATGGTGAAACCCCATCTTTACTAAAAAAAAAAAAAAATACAAAAAATTAGCCGGGCATGGTGGCAGGTGCCTGTAGTCCCAGCTACTCAGGAGGCTGAGGCAGGAGAATGGCATGAACCTAGGAGGCGGAGCTTGCAGTGAGCAGAGATCGCGCCACTGCACTCCAGCCTGGGCGACAGAGTGAGACTCCGTCTCAAAAAAAAAAAAAATACAAAAATTAGCCAGTGTGGTGGCGCCGCCTGTAATCCCAGCTACTCAGGAGGCTGAGAAAGGAGAATGGCTTGAACCCAGGAGGCAGAGGTTGCAGTGAGCAGAGATCGCGCCACTGTACTCCAGCTTGAGCAATAGAGTGAGACTCCATCTCAAAAAAATAAAATAAAATAAATCTACCTCAAATCTATTTCTCACCCTCTTTGTTGCCCCCATCCAAGGGGGCACCTTCCAAGCCACCACAGCCGAGGCCTGGGTGACTATAATGGCCTCCCAACTGGTCTCCCTGTTCTCACTCTTGGTCACAACCATCCATTTTCCACAACAGCCAGGATGGTCCTTCTCATGAAGTGATCATGTTGCTCCCCTGCTGCACAAAAAATAAAATCAAACTCCTCCCCATGGCATATAAGGCCTGTGTGATCTGTCCCTTCCCCCTCCCCGCTGTCCCTGATACCCCTTCCATTCTTGAAGTCTTTTCCTACTCTGGGATCTTGGCACTTGATGTTTCTTCTCCTTTCCTCTTGTTGCTCCGTATATTACTTTATTTTATTTTCTTCATAGCATTTATAACTATCTGAACCTTTTAAATTTATTTACATCTTGGGTGTTTGTCTGTCTCCATTGACCAATGTAAGCTTCACAAGACAATTTTATCATGCTTTCCATGGCACCCTTGTGCCTGGAACAGCACCTGGCCAATAGTAAGTGCTCAATAATTATCCACTGGATGAATGAATGAGGAGGTCTCCCTAAGGAGACCTCAGAGATGATGGGGCTGAAAGACATCAGAGGAGAAGAAAGCTGGGGCAGTTTCACCTGCAATATGTTCAACAGAAATGGCCCCACTGAGCCTCACAGTCAGCCATGCGACAGTGCACCTCGTGTCTGGGACAGAAGAAAGATGGTCAATGTGTGCCCCAAAAGAGGGAACTATTTGGAAACTGGGAGGGTAAAGAAATAATAAAAATGTTGGGTTTTGTAGTGGTGGCTGTTATTTTTTAAGCCCACTCAAGGGGGGTTTTCTGCAGTGGCTCAACATAAGCAAACACTAGAACTAAAAAAAAAAAAAAAAAAAAGAGGAATTAGAAAACTGGAAAGAACTAAATGCTGCAGCTAAAATGGAATAGGTTCCCCAGAGTCTGATCTCATGTGTGTGGGCTAACATGACTCTTAGGGAGGCCTCCTCCAGAAGAAAACAAAGCAGAAGGAGGAGGAGGAGGGAGGAAGAGGAAGGAGGAGGAGGAAGAGGAACGAGGAAGGAGGAGGAGGAACAACGAAGGAGGAGGGGGAGGAAGAGGAGGAGGAGGAGAAGGGGAGGAAGAGATGGGGGAGGAAGGAAAGGGGAAGCAGGGAAGGGGAGGAGGAGAAACAGCAGCCACCAACAAGGCAGCCCAGTGACCATAACATGGGAGTAGTCCATTGACAGAAGTCCTTCACACTGATGGTCACATGGGGAAGTCTCTGTCCATGTTCCTAGCATGCACTCTGACTTCAGAGAGACACTAGTATAAATAGGGTGAGAAGATGTAGGGTGGAAAGCAATCTAGCACCCATGTGAAAACTCAAGTCCCTTCTTCCCACCTCCTGCAGCCTGGTCTGAGCCCCTCCTGTTCTGAAAGCTGTGCTTGGCTGGGCTCTCCCTGCTGCAGACTGTCTGAGGATACTCAGTGCCTCAGAAGACATGGGCCACATCTCTCTGAAGCACCGATTCTACTTGATTATTTGGTGGAAGGTATTTTTATTAAACAGAGATTTTGTTTTGCCATAGATGCAAAACGTACATGACTTTTTTTTTTTTTTTTTTTTTTTTTTTTTGAGACAGGGCCTCACTCTGTGGCCCAGGCTGGAGTGCAGTGGCACCATCACAGCTCACTGCAGCCTCAACTTCTGGGCTCAGGTGATCCTCCACCTCAGCCTCCCAAGTAGCTGGGATTACAGGCATGCACCATCACGCCCAAATTTTTATATTTTTTTGTAGAGATGGGGTTTTGCCATGTTGCCCAGGCTGGTCTCGAATTCCTGGGCTCAAGCGATCCTCCTGCCTCAGCCTCCCAAAGTGCTGGGAATTACAGGTGTGAGCCACTGTGCCCGGTCACAATGAACGTGAGTTTTTAAGATAAGATGTGAGTTTTTCATACATTTTACACCTGTAGTACTTACTACAAATTGCCCAAAGGGCATTTACTCTCTCCTGTTTTTCAGCAGTATTAGGAAAAGCAGTATAGTGGTTAGGTGCATGGGCTCTGGGACTGCACTGCCTGAGTTTGAATCCAGGCTCTGCTTGTATGACCTTGGACAAGTTACTCCACCATTCTGTGCCTCAGTGTCTGCATCTGTAAAGTTGGGATGATAGTAATAGCACCATCCTCATAGAACTAGGTGAGTTCATGCATGTAAGGTGCTTGTTCAGAACAGTGCCTGACTCACGGTGAGCACTAAGTGTCAGTTATTTTATTACTCTGGTAGACAGGCTGAGAAGCTGTCAGAGCCCACAACAGCCAGTCCCTTGCCACCTTGAGCTACCTTCTCTCCCCAAAAAGAGTACTGGTAACAAGGGGGGTGGGGACAATGGTCTGGCTCTTGGGTGTGACTGATGAGGTACAGGCACTAACTAGCAGCTGTCCCAGACACACGGCGCCCCCTCCAGAGGGGTGGACATGAAGGAACCATGGGGCTCACTTCAGGCCTCTGCCACAAGCTGCTTCCCTTACCTGGAAGGCACTTCCCAGCTGTTCCCCATCACTGTCTTCCCCTTTCCCCCACCAACTCCAACCCATCCTCAGGACCAGAGCTGGGACTAAGGACACAAAGTGTAAGGGGGCACTCACTCCCAGGGTCATGCAAGTGCTCAGGCCTCGGCTCAGCTCTCATCTTCTCCAGGATGCCTTCCCTGAGTCCCATCCATCCAAGTCTTCCTGGTGTCCCTCACTGCACTCACCTCCAGTCAAATGCCATTGTAACCCATTGCCTTGTCAGGCTGCCCCCTGTGCATGAGCTCCTGGGGGTCAGGTGCATTTCCTCATTCTTTTTCTACCTATAGAGCCTCACACTTGGCAAGCACAGAGAAGGCACCCGATAAGTGTTTGGTGAATAAGTGTTGAATGGATCATTCTCTAGGGGATCCCAAAGCCAGCAAAAGTAAAATAATATGTTCATCTCCCAGGTAAGAGACTAGAAAAGGGGCCAAGGAAGGGAGAAGAGAAGGAGGGGAGCATGGAGAGAGCGCTAGGAATTGGATGATGGTAGAAATTCTCCTGACCTTAGGAAAGACACCCAAGAACAAGGGAGAGCACTCCCTTCTCCTCCTTCCTGAGAAGCATGGCATTCTGGAATGCACCCAATCATTCCTTCATTCATGCAATAGTCCTGTGCTGGGCACCAGCTGGCACCAAGCACACTGCTGAGCAAGGAGACAGGGAGGGGAGGGCCCTGCTCCAGGCTCCTGGGAAAACCCGGGGCCCAGCTCTGTTTCTGCTTCTCTCCATGCTGAAATGGGCCACGGGGGCATAGGCCCAATGTGCCTGGTCGTGGAGTCACAATGCTGTCAGCCTTCAGGCCACTTTGTGACAATCCTACCGTAGGAATTGTGCCTCTGGAGAGACACAGTAAGGTGTGATGAAAACGCACCACAAGACCAGGCACAGTAGCTCCTGTCTGTAATCCCAGCACTTTGGGAGGCCAAGGTGAGAGGATCATTTGAGGCCAGGAGTTCAAGACCAGCCTGGCCAACATGGTGAAACCCTGTCTCTACTAAAAATACAAATATTAGCTGGGCATGGTAGCACATGCCTGAGGTCCCAGCTACTCAGGAGGCTGAGGCAGGAAAATCGCTTGAACCCAGGAAGCAGAGGTTGCAGTGAACCGAGATCATACCACCGCACTCCAGCCTGGGAAACAGAGCGAAATTCTGTCTCAAAAAGAAAAAAGAAAACACATCGAGTTGTGGGGACTTGGGCATCACTGATCCTCTTGTCCTGGTCCCCTATCCCTTGTCTACTCCCTTGTCACAGTCCTGATAGGCCTCCAGATAGCTAAGAAAAGAATCCCCACACTGGATAGCCTGCCTGTAAATAGGAGAGGCCAGAGGAGGCAGGGAAGGAGCAGATAATTCGCCTGGACTTGATCCCTAGGTGTGGCCCATAACCGCGGAGTGACTGTGGGTCTGCCATCTAGGCTTTCTGTGCCTCAGTCCTAGCATTGTGGGTTAAGTGACATAACACATGTAAAGGGCCGGCATAGAGTGTAGTAGGCTTCAACAAATGCTAACTCTCTTCCTTTGAATAATGAACTACACAAGATATACATAGTTTTCTAAAATTTATTTTATGTTGCAGTGTCTCCTCGACTTAAAACACTATTTTCTAAGGCTGTTCATTTGTCAAACAATGACTACAGTTGCCAAGCATCCAAAACTCCAATTCTGGTCAGCAGAGCCCCACGGTCTGTTCTGGGGACAGGTAGCAGAAGCGAGGGGCAATACCTCCACCTGGGGCATCTGGAAATGCTAACACAAAGGGGTGAAACTGGGGCTAGGTTGGAAGACACAAATAGAAGTTGGGGGGATGAGCAGAGATGGGTGAGAACAAGGGAGGCCAGAGAGAAAGAACAGCTTGAGCAAAGCATGTGGCAGACAAGAGGTGTGGCACACTCGGGAAACCACACACAGGTCACCTGCCTGGGGGACAGTAATGTGCAGGAAGATTGGATAGGAGATGTGGCACTGCAAACAATCAGGGTCCAGTCCAGAAGGGCCCTTCAACGAACATAATGGGTTTGCATTTATCTTGACAGAGAGGTACCTGCAGCAGCAATGTGGATGGGAGAGGGTGGGGAGGCTCCAGGCAGGGAGCCCAGGCTAGAGGCCATTCTGATAACCAGGCTGATACATGATTCAAGCCTGGATTAGGACAGTGGCCCAGGAGGGGAAAAGAGATGTTTAAGTGGTAAGAGAAACAGACCTAGAGAGTAGGAGCAAGAGAAAGGGAAGTATCTAGGAAAACATCCACATTCCAGGCAGCTGCACTGAGACTATTTACTGAGACAAGGGAACCCTGGAGGAGTCAAGAGCAGTGAACTTGGTTTTAGATAAAATGAATTTGAAATACTTAAAGGAGGCCGGGCGTGGTGGTTCACACCTGTAATCCCAGCACTTTGGAAGGCCGAGGCGGGTGGATCACCTGAGGCTCACCCCGTCTCCACAAAAATACACACACACAAAAATTAGCCGAGCATGATTGCGGGTACCTGTAATCCCAGCTACTCAGGAGGCTGAGGTGGGAGAATCGCTTGAACCCGGGAGGCAGAGATTGTAGGGAGCCAAGATCACGCCACTGCACCCCAGCCTGGGTGACAGAGCAAGACTCCATCTCAATAAATAAATAAATAAATAAATAAATAAATAAATACTTAAAGGACATCTAGGTGGTGTCCCATAGAACCTGCCAGCAGGATGAGTTCAAACCCAAATCTGGTGAGTATTCACTGTGTACTCTTAGGCCTCCACAGTTCTGTTTTCTTATCTGTAAAATGAGGCTGCTACCTACTTCATAGAATTATTATTTTTGAGCCAGAGTCTCACTCTGTCATCCAGGCTAGAGTGCAATGGCACAATCTCGGTTCACTGCAACCTCCGCCTCCCAGGTTCAAGCGATTCTTGTGCCTCTGCCTCCTGAGTAGCTGGAAGTGCAGTCATGTGCCACCACACCTGACTAATTTTTGTAATTTTGGTACAGATGGATGGGGTTTCACCACATTGGCCAAGCTGGTCTCGAACTCCTGACCTCAAGTGATCTGCCTGCCTCGCCCTCCCAAAGTGCTGGGATTACAGGAGTGAGCCACCTACTTCATAGAATTATTGAGAGAATGTGGGCTAAAGAAGATAGCTGTGGAAAAGCACCAAGCCTCTTAGCTGGCACACGGTGGGAACTCCATGAATATTGGTTGAATCTGAAGATGACTGTGATCATGGATATTTCTGTGTTAAAGTGCTGTCACCACGAGTGTGTGGGCAGCTTGGTTCTTTTCATCACACGCCGTTCCAGCTAGGTGGAGAGGACTGTGGTCAGGGTTGCTGGGTGGCCAGCTGCTCCTACTCTCTCGTTCTGTTTTTCTTACCACCCAAACATCTCTTTTCCCCTCCTGGGCCACTGTCCTAATCCAGGGAGTTCTTCATGTCCACCTCCTCAGCCCCCACCCCTGGGACAGGCCTTACCTCTTCCAGATCCCCTGCAGCCACCCTGCCCAACAGGATTCCAAAGACTAGAAGAACCTCCCCAGCCTGACTCAGGCAAACTGAATGCCCTGTCTCAAACAAGCAGGGGCCCTGAGGCAAGTCTTGCTCTGGGAAAACAAACAGGTTTTTATTACCTCCACCTTAAGACAAAGCCTCAACCTCTGGCTGCTGTGAGACACTCATTCCCAGGAAGAAAAATGACCTCTAATTGCAGTAGTACATGTGACACCTCCCTGGTAGACTGTGAGCTCCCTGAGGGCAGGAACTGGGTCCTACAGGTCCTGATTTTCCTCCTAGCCCCTAGCACCTGCCAATCTGAGTACATGGTCAAGGAAGGTTTGTTGGGTTTTCATGCCTGTGTGTTTGGTTTCTGCTTCTGAGCTAGAGTCTCTTGCCAGGTAAGCAGAGTAGATGCACTCCTCAAAACTCAATAGGAAAACGTCATGCTGGGTCATGGTGAACAGGATCCAGGACCAAAGTCCCTGCTGCTTCCTTCTCCTCCTTCCCAACTCCACACCTGCCCGAACTTATGACAAAGAGACCGAGTGTCTTGGGAGTAGATTCCCAAGTCATGCCTAAAACAATGCATTAGGTCCTTGAATAGATACGATTTGGGTTACTAACCTCCAAGTCACATCCCCTTCATCAATAAATCAAGGCAACTCCAAGAACTTTCTCCTCCCCTGTGGTCTCACACACTGGTCCATGGAGCTCTGGAGTGGAGCAGAAGACACTAGGGCCTGTTCCCTAACACACTCACGGCACTTTCCACTAAAAACAAGCCAGCTTGGCTGGGCACGGTGGCTCACGCCTGTAATCCCAGCACTTTGGGAGGCCAAGGTGGGCGGATCACCTGAGGTCAGGAGTTCAAGACCAGCCTGACCAAGACGGTGAAACCCCGTCTCTACTAAAAATAAAAAACAGGGTGTGGTGGTGCATGCCTGTAATCCCAGCCAGCAACTTGGGAGGCTGAGACAGGAGAATTGCTTGAACCTGGGAGGCAGAGGTTGCAGTGAGCCGAGATCGCGCCATTGCATTCCAGCCTGGGCAACAAGAACAAAACTCCATCTCAAAAAAAAAAAAAACCAAGCCAAATAACACAAGTTCACCTTCCAGCCCTCTGAGTCTTCTCTTCTTCTGGGTCACCTCTTAGGCTTCTCTGGTCAGTACAAGGTGGACACCTGTAAGCTGCTTCTCATCCCAGCCAGCTAAGCCACAGTACACAGGAACCAGCCCCGTTCCCTAAACAAGTCATGGGATTCAGCAAAAGGCTTTCTCCCAGACCAGCCTCTCCTCCCCATGTGCCCTGGGCTGGCTGGGTCCCTCATTCAGTTACCAGACGGACTGCCTTTGCATCTGGACGGGCCTCTGACCTTCCCAGGTGAGAGGTCAGTCATTCAAGGCCTCCACTTGGAGAACAATCAATTTCGAGTTCAGAGATTTGGGGGACCTAGGGAGATTTTCCTAAATGAGATCCCCTGCTTCCAGCACAGACTCCTAGTTGCCTAGCAACTGTAGAAAGAGATCTGGGAAATCTGGAGCTTACTCCACAGCCCCCTGTGCTGTGATGAGCTCGTGTGGCCCACCTAGGGAGGAAGGCACTGCAGCTGATAATTATCAGGAGTAACAGCCATAATCCCAGACCTGCTATTACTGTGTTTACAGAGGAGCAATTACTGCAGAAGCTCACACCACTGGCCTTTCCCAGGCCCTCACCCTTCCCGCCCTGTGCTGACTAAGGGAGTAGAAATAGCCTCCAGCCTTTCCCAGGAGTAGAAGCTACAGCCTCACAGAGCCCCGGGGTGCTCTGATACCGGTTCTGCCACTTAAGCTGCTCTCCAAAGCTGTGAGTGGCCCTTAAGGAGGAAGGACGTGAGTGAGGCTCAGGGCACACACCCTTGGCCTGGCTAAGGGTAGAGGTGTCCAGTGGCAGGAGAGCCAGAGATAGTGCTTGGGGAGGCAGGAATGCTGGTCTTCTAAGAGCATGCTGGGCTTTTTCTCTTTCCTTCCTAAAGCCAGTGGCCTGCTCACCGCCCTTCTTTCTGAGCAGCTCTCTCAAGGCCAGGCTAAGGACAAGGCATAGATGTGGAGCTGAAAGGTTAAGCTCCCTACCCTCCACCCCTGCTGGTCTCCAGAAGGGGACAATTGGAATTCAAATATCCAGTGTCATGAAGCCAAGGAGAGAGGTGGCATAGGAGTCTATAAAGCCAGCCCACTAGCTTCTCTCTCCTGGGAACTCCCTGGTTTATGAGCTGCCAACCCGAGCTTCATGGGTGAAAAAAGCACCCAGACTTCCAGAAAATTGTCTGAGAATGACAGCCTTCCAGCTCTGCCTTCAGTCTCCATCCCCCATGTCCTGCATCCTGGATCTAGCAACAATATTCTGATGCACACCATCTCTTTTCTTTGGCTTCTCTCCCTCCATGACACAAAGGCCAGAGTATGATAGCCTGCCTAGAAATCAAGACCATGATAACTAATTAAAGTCATAGACTTCCAGACTGTTAAATCTTAGTGTGGCATTAGACATGATCTAATCTAACATCCCCATTTTATAGACGGGGAAACTAAGGCCCAGAGAGAAAGGCAGTTGATGTACAATCACACTGCTAGTTAGTGGCAAAACTGAAATCAGAGCTCAGACATCCTGTCCTTGCTCAACTGTTATTTCCAACATATGAACCTGCCCTTTGACTCTGATTGCCCTTTGGGTTCAGGCCACAGAGAAGATTATTTTTAAAAAATCGGTGGGGCATGTTGGCTCCACAGTTTGGGAGGCTGAGGTGGGCATATCCCTTGAGCACAGGAGTTCAGGACCAGCCTAGCCAACATGTCGACACCCCATCTCTACAAAAAATACCAAAAAAATTAGCTGGGCATGGTGGCATGACCTGTAGTCCCAGCTATAGGGGGCTGAGGTGGGAGGATCACTTGAGCTCAGGAGGTCAAGCCCAGTGCAGTGAGCTGTGAGCATACCACTGCATTCTAGCCTGGGTGACAGATCAAGACCCTGTCAAAAAAAAAAAAAAAAAAAAAAAAAAAACGCCTGGGTGCAGTGGCTCATGCCTGTAATCCCAGCACTTGGGAGGCTGAGACAGGCGGATCGCTTGAGCCCAGGAGTTCAAGACCAGCCTGAGCAACATAATGAGACACTGTCGCTATAAAAAGATTTTGGTTTTTTTGTTTTTCAGGATGAAGTCTCACTCTATTGCCCAGGCTGGAGTGCAGTGGTGTGATCTCAATTCACTGCATCCTCCTTCCACCTCCCGGGTTCAAGCGATTCTTGTGCCTCAGCCTCCTGAGTAGCTAGGATTACAGGCACCAGCCACCACGCCCAGCTAACTTTTGTATATTCAGTAGACACAGGCTTTTGCTATTGTCTAGGCTGGTCTCAAATTCCTGACCTCAAGTGAACCGCCCATCTCAGCCTCCCCAAGTGCTGGTATTACAGGCGTGAGCCACCACGCCCAGCCTCTATGAAAAGTTTTAAAGTTAGCCAGGCATATTGGCGTGTGCCTGTAGTCCCAGCTACTTGGGAGGCTGAGGTGGGAGGATTGCTTGAGTCTGGGAGATCGAGTCTGCAGTGAGCTATGGTCACGTCACTGCACTCTGGCCTGGGAAACAGATGGAGACCCTGTCTCAAAAAAAGAAACAACAACAACAAAAACTAGTATTGTAGGACTAGATACTAAACACTTTTAACTTTCCCAAAAGTTTTTACAACAGGGTTCTTATCCTATCCTCAAAGCATTGTTTTCAGGTAAATGGAGTTAATAATATTACTCTAGCTGCACAGGTTGGGAAACTGGCCAGAAAAAGTCCCATTAAGTTGAGAAAGATATGTTAAAAGTGGGTAGAAGAGTTCATGTTTGCTGACTCCTTATCCAATGCTCCTTCTACTATACTCCTTGCCTCCAAAAATTCAGCCTTGTTACTCAGAAAAACCTAGCTAACCAAATAATACTGTCACAGAGGCCCCTTCAGAGAAAAGATGTGGACACCAAGTCAGAACCAACACTGCATTTTAATGCTGAGCTAACATGTTTCCTCTTGCAAGTCACTGGTTCCTGGCTGGTCTTGAACTCCTGACCTCAAGTGATCGGCCTGCCTTGGCCTCCCAAAGTGCTGTGATTACAGGCGTGAGCCACCATGCCCAGCTTTTCCCGTATTCTTTCCTTATTTCTCTTTCTCTTTTCACTGCCCCTTTCTTCCCCAGCTTCACCACATTTTTGGGGAAGAGCGTTTCTACCTCTGTTGAATCCCACTCCCAGTTAGGAGAGATGTCGGTGAGAACTGTCCGCTCAGCATTTCTGGATGCCTCTGTTGTAGTTGTTAGTGAGTGGGACCCTCTAGCACCTGTTGCAAGCTGTAGGGTGTTCACCAGGAAGTCTGGCTTGTTAGAGCAATTACCCACTGCTAGCCTTGGCCTCTCTGCCCTGGACAAAGTATTCTTTGCTCAGATTCTTGCAAACATCATGAGAAAGAGTGGTTCTCACACCTTAGAGAGCATCAGAATCACTTGGAGGGCTTGATGAGCAGATTGCTGAGCCCTATTCTCAAAGTTTCTGACTCAGCAGGTCTGGGATGGGCCGGTAATTTGCATTTCAAGTCCTCAAGAGATACTGATGCTGCTGGTCCAGGAACCACACTTTGAAAACCACTGTGATAAAGGACACAATTCATACACTCGGTGGACCGTGGGCCTGGAGTATGGGAGGATCAGATAGCTGGAAAGGAGGGTTGGGGCTGAGGATGAGTGTGACCAAATTTGGCCAGCCAGCTACAGCAGCTCCTCCTGGCTTTCTCCGTGTACTCTGGTGTCCTCCCACATCCCAAAGATGCACGTGTTGGGTGAATTGGCATGTCTCCATGATCCGAGTCTGAGCGAGTGGGGATGTGAGTGTGCCCTGCAATGGAATGGCGGCCTCTCCAGGGTCAGTTCCTACTTTGTGCCCTGAGCTGCTGGGATAGGCTTCAACCCTAAACTGGAAAGCAGGTTAATAATTATCTTATTTTTATTAATCTTTCTTAAATGTATGCATAGCTCACATTTATTTCAGTGTTTAATATTAGAAATGTTTTGAGTCTTTATTAAGAAGTTTAGTGATGGCCAGGCACAGTGGCTTATGCCTGTAATCCCAGCACTTTGGGAGGCCAAGGCAGGTGGATCCCTTGAGCCCAGGAGTTCGAGACCAGCCTGGGCAACATGGTGAAACTCATCTCTACAAAACATACCAAAAAAATTAGCTGGTCAGGGTGGCATGCCCCTGTGGTCCCAGCTACTTGGGAGGCTGAGGTGGGAGGATCACCTGAGCCCAGGAGACAGAGGCTGCAGTGAGCAATGATCCTGCCACTGCACTCCAGCCTGGAAGACAGAGTGAGACCCTGTCTCAAAAAAAGAAAAAAGAAAAGAAAAAGTTTCGTGATATTTTTGTGACCAGAAATATTCCATAGGAACTTAACTCTTGTTTATATCAATTAGTCTGTGGTAAAATTGATTTCAATATGTCATTTTGCTTAAAGTCACAGTTTCCAAGAACCCATCGATCACGTTAGCTGAGGACTTACTGCACACTGAATGTCTGCATATGCAAGCAATATATACGTGTGACTATTTCAATGCTCATCCCCAGATGAATGTAACAAATTGGGAATTGGGCGCCTAGAGATGATTGGTCCTGGCAATTTAGGCCACAATTCTCTCACTGCCGGTCTCCCTTTCAGTTTTCACTCTCTCTCCCCACCCCTCTCAGCCACTTCCCTCCAGAGAAAGTTCCCAGCTCTTCAGATTGCTCTGCTTGTGCCTGCACAGCCAGTAGCTGGCTAGGGGGCAGGGAAGGGAGGTCCGCGGGGGGCTGCAGTGAGAGGAGCCTCAGGTCTCTAAATGCAACTGACCACAAGGCACAGAGACCTGACGGTGGGCATGTAAGGAGTTCAGGGACTTGCTAGCCAGGTGGGAGCAGGCCTTGGGCTGCCACCAAAAGGAAGGAGCAGGGCAGGGACAGGGAGGTGGAGGGGCTGTGGATACAAAGGCACAGCACCAGCTGCGGCTATCATCTGCTGACAATTGCCTCTTTCCCCTCCCGGGCTACTTCAGAAGGCCCAGTCAAAGCCAGATGTCTGCCAGATTTCCAACAGGGCAGGAATCTAGTCCATCGGGAGGTGCAGGAGGGTGGTTCTGGGAGATGGACCACCTCTGTGGAGGGGGAGGCACCCAACCATTCACCCTGGCACCAACCTCCCCTTCCCGTGCTCATCTTGGGGTGGTGGAGGCTGCAGAGAGAAAGAGAATCCCTCTGCAAATCAGCGAGCATGACTGTCCCCAGCTGGCTGCCGAGGCTGCCAGGGAGGGTGGGAAGCAGAGGTCTCACTGCTCAAAGATAAAACACCATGAAAGCTGACCCAGCCCTTCTGAGTCATTTCCCAAGGATCTTCCCAGGAGCCAATGGGCTTAATGTGCCTAGAACCAGCCTTACCTGTGGGCTGAGGAGGTATATCATATATAAATAAAGGGGGAGCCAGGCAGCTCCCCTTCCCCCAAATCCCTCTCTCATCTCCCATAGGAAGGCCAGAAATTGTACTCTCACTTTTCATGGCTATGGGCTGTAAGCTACTTTGGACATGGGGTGCATGAAGATTTTTTCTCTGCAGCAACAAGACGCCACCCGGGAAAGGCCATGGGGTTGACAGGAAAGAAGCAGGGGACAGAAATAGAACTTGAGAAGTCACCACCCCATCCTCTCCCCCATTGAAAACATTTCCTACCAGCATGCTGCAGGAGCATCTTAAACATGCTGCCCTCGGCCCCTGTGAGCAACATGTTTGGCCTCCTCCCTGCCTCCACATCCTCCACACCCTTGCTCCTGCCCGCCTCCCACCTGTCAGGCATGTTGCAAGATTCCATTGACCAATGTTTACAGAATGCTCTGAAGAGAATGATCCAGTTGCCAAACCCCTGAGTCATCTGGCCTAGTCACCCTTTGCTCCTCTGGCTTGGCTTTCCCACCAGAGCAGATATCATGTTCAGCAGCATTTGTTCACAAGGCCTCACCAGCCAGGAGGCCAACAGGCCAAGCAGGCTTCCCAGACCTGCCTTTTTAGAGCAATGCGAGGGAAGAAAAGAAAGAAACCTTTAGTGAATGCCTGCTATATGCAGGGACTGAATCGGACATTCTCACATATATTGAATTATCAAATATTACAAAAAACCTTGTGTGGTAGGCAATGATATTCATTTTTCAGCTGAAGAAACAGAAGCAGACAGGTGAAATGGTTTTACCCAAAAATAGAACTAGTTAGTAGCAGAGCCAAGAGTGGAACCTGATTGTCTTCACCTGAGTTCCCCCGAAAAGCAGAACCTGAGACAAAGGCTTACGTGCAAGTAGTGCGTTTGGGAATATAATCCCAGGAGGCAGAAACAGGGGACAGAGAGTCAATAGGATTCATTATGAAGCTGTCTATGGCTAAGGATCAACTGGTAACCAACCCTGCAACCCTGCAAGACCGTCTGAGGAAACTGAAACTCATCTTAAGATGATCCACCGGGAAAAGAATGGGGGGAAGCATTCATCCACAAGGTACGAACTCCTCCATACTTCTGAGTTGTACATGCACAAAGCTGGGAATCCTGCACAGAACTGGCCACAGGAGCAGAGGCTGGAAGATTTCAGACAGAGAAGACTTGAAGTGGTCCATAAGGCTGTGCACTAAACACAGGTCCCACCACAACTCCCCACACACACGCACACCATCCTAAGTATACTGAGGAACTTACACGAGGTCACTGGGGCACTCAGGGGAGGATCCAAATGTGAATCACAGCTCATGACTTCCATGCATTCATTCAACAAATATTTATGGCAGGCCCACTATGTGCTAGACATTGGGGTTTAGCAGTGAATGAAGAAGACAAGATCTTTGCTCTCATGGAGCTTAAATTCTAGTGGGGGTGGGGAGGACACGGACAACTGGCAACTAAACAAATAAACAAGTGATGATTCTGTATCAGGCACAGTGCTAAGCACTGAGAAACCCCAGAAGAAATTGTTTGTTTCTTAGGAAGACAAAGGAGCTTGGCCAGGCACAGTGGCTCACACCTGTAATACCGACACTTTGGGAGGCTGAGGCGGGTGGATCACCTGAGGTCAGCTCAAGACCAGCTTGACCAACATGGCAAAACCCCATCTCTACTAAAAATACAAAAATTAGCTTGGCATGATGGCACATGCCTGTAATCCCAGCTACTTGGGAGGCTGAGGCAGGAGAATCGCTTGAACCTGGGAGGCAGAGCTTGCAGTGAGCCAAGATCACGCCACTGCACTCCAATCTCGGCAACAAGAGTGAAACTCCATCCCCCCAACCCCCGAAAAAAAGGAAGACAAAGGAGCAAATGATCACAATCTAATAGATAACTGCCGTGACTGGGTTGACTGGGAGAACAGAGAAGGGACCTCTTACCCCAGAATGGGGAGACATGGGGCATCGGGAAAGTAACTCTGGAAAAGACGAGCCACAAGTTCTTTCAAAGGCCTCATAGGAAGAGCCAGGCATCTCTGGATTGGGAGAAGGGAAGGATATGCTCCAGGGAGAGTGAACAGCATGGGCAAAGACACAGCAGAATGACAGTAGACCATCCTCTGGAAAACTACAAACACCTCCATGTGTTTGGACTAGAAGGTGCCATGCATGTGGGATGGTGTCAAAAGATGAGGCAGTAAAAGTAGGCAGGGAATGGACCACAAAGGCTTGAATATCTAGTACTGGAGAATTTGAATTTAATCCTGAAAGTGAAGGTGAGCCTCTTTTCACCCTCTAAGCTCAATTAGCTCTTGAACGTGTCAGCTAAGGATGCAGATAAAACCAAACAGTCCAACACAGAGGTTGACAGGTGGAGATGGGAAATGCAGGGAACCTCAGGAGGAAGGCTCAGTGGCCTTGGAGTAACCAAAAATGGCCAGATCTGAGTTGCCAGAGTTACACGTTAATCACTCAGCTCTCAGAACTTGATTATGCACGCGGGCATGGGGGCTCCCTCTTGGTCACTCTGACTAGTGCAACAGGCTTAAGACCAGTTCCTCTGGGGCTGAAGAGTCCATCCTCTGCCCCATCTCTTTCAGCTTCCAGCTCAGCCCCTCCCCTCCACTGCCTTACCCTTTGCAGGGGAACTCCCAGGTGTCTGGCATTGAGGACCCTGGGTTCAGGCCAGGTGCCTCTGGCCCTCATTTGGTTTGCATATGATACCTGCCAGGGCTTTCTAGCTGAACCCCACCAGTGAGAGCTAACACCAGAAAAGCAACTGGCATCTGGCTGCCTCTCTTGCAGAGGGTTGTCACATCCATCATCTGGGCAGGAGAAGGGCTCCCTGCAGCTCACAACCACATCCCACAATTCCCCCGCAGAGCCCTTATCAAATGGAGCCCCTGGCTTCTGTTCATTCTTCAAAGCAAAGAAAGCTGAGGTGATCTGAATGCAGACAGGAGCAAAACTCCCAGAAGTAGCCTTCCTATTCTCATATTCAAGGTAGAATAAAATCTCACTCCAGCCCCCATCTACCTCACGGAGGTTCCCAGATATCCCAGGCCACAGAGTCAGGTCCACAGGCCCTATGGTTCAGAGATGGCTGAGCACCTCTATCCTGCAAGCCAGGACCCGGGGGCAGCTCCAGAGTCCTTCAAGCTCACCAGAGATGAAGCGCAGACAGCAAAGAAGGCTTCTAACCCTAACCCCCATGTTTATTTGTTTTTTTCCTCCCTGGACCTGTCCCCATCCCCATCATTCCCTGGTCCCAGATCCCATTCCTTCAGGCTCTTGGTCTGTGCTGGGTGGCCCTTTTCTGTGCCTGCTGCTCTGCAACTTACAGCACACAGTCATCAGGAGTGCAGAGGCAGCATTTGCATTTCAATGGGTACCCAAAATCATGCCTCAAAACTAGACCAATGTCCCCAAAGAAGCTACAGGCTAGTAGGAGACATGGTTAGGGGCATGTGAGTGCCTGCCCCTCCTCCTGAGACCCTTCAAATCACACCCAGGTCCTTCCCAAGCTACAAGAAATGATCCCCTGAAGGACATTCTGGGCATAGGATTCTGAGAGTGTCCACAGCTGTGGTAGAGGGAGGTTATTCCAGGACACACACAGACATAAACCAACAAAGCAGAGGTTTGCATCCCTGAAGATGCTAAGGAGTCTAATGAAACTGATTCCTGAGTTGCTCCCCTGAACAACTGAGCCAATCAGAATCCTTGAAAGGGACACATTCATTTCCCCAGACATTCACCATTCTGCAGTGGTCACCTCCACCCCCTCCCCACAGCTCTCTCTGGCTTACAAGTCCTGAGAGTCCCTACAGATACCTGGACTCTTCCCAGGGGGCTGCTGATGGGGATGGGGGCACTGAGCACTGGCCAGGGAAGGAGTTCTTGGGGTTCAGCAGGACTCCTTTTGCCAAAGATGGTAAACGAGAGATGGGCCCCAGGGCCAATTCCAGGCTGCCCAAGTATGGGGATCTTACCATTTTGCACAGCAGCTACAGCAAGCTCCCACCCGCTCCATCCCTGGCGCCTGGTAGATCTGTCTTCATGAGTCCAGGTTCTCAAATTGACACATCTCATCTTTAAAAGGACCAAGAGAGAGTAAACCTCCCAGTCGCTTCCTGGATCTCAGTGACAGATTTTTCTGATTCACCTCATTACCTCCTCCTACAGGGGCCCATTCATTTCCACCTCATTTTCTTCCCGGTTCTCATGCCTGCCCCATCCTGGCACATCCTGACAGGAGGGACTCTATCCTCACTCAGCGTTCACCCTTAGAGACACAACCCCACACGCTCTGCCTTTCTCTCTGGATTAACACGGTTTCTCTCTTCTGCCCCCATCCTGCAGATCAAAGTCCCTGGAAATCTTTGAAACCAGCATCTCAGGAAGAAACAAATCACAGGGCACTGGTGTTAAGAGAATGCTGACTGTCTGGTTTTGATGGGGTGGTAATGTGGGGCAGGACCACTCATTCTGGCCTGGAACCCCCTTCCTGCCTCACTGTATTCCAAGTGTTAGCGGCCTCTGCAAAGATCTTAAACCCTATTGTTCATACCTCTGAATCTCCTACAGCGTCTAGCAGAGCTGCAGTACAAAGTACACACTCAATAAATATTTGATGAATGGAATCCCTAGTAAAGCTCAAGCTATTCATCACATGCTGCCTAGGATCATTAGTATATTTCAAAATTGCAGAATCTTGAAGTCAGACGGGACCATGTGGGCCATCAGTTCACCCCTACCCAGCACAGAAACACAACGCTGCAGAATTTCTGACAGGCTAACTTCCAGCCCAGGCTCCTCGACCATCTCCATAACTAGGAATGCCTAAGGAAGCCCAGCTCCCCCTCATAGTTGAGACCTCTGTTTATGAGAAAATCCTGTCTTCTATTTACGGGGAATCTGCCCTACCTCTGCATCCCACACCTGCTCCACACAATGACCAGAGAACTGTTTGCAGGGCTTGTGTTTTCTGGGAGAGTATAAGCTCCCTGAGGTGCCCCAAACTCAGTGCCCTAAGTGCCCAGGCAAACTGGCTTGCAGGTCCGTTTGCTGATTGAAAGGGATAGCAAATTCCCTCTAGACCACTATCTTCCCCTCCCCGGGGAAATGAGCCAGTAGGAAAGGAAGCCAAGCCCCACAGCTCTGCTCATACTTGTCCCAACTCCAACAGCCAGGTGTCCACCCTTTCATATCTTCCCATCACCAAGACAGCAACTTAAAACAGAAAACAAAAGAAAGCCTTCTAAAGTTGTTGGCCCCCTTCCTGACCCCCACCCCATCCCACACCATGGAAGTGTTGATAACACTCTCTCCCCAGAGCACACACTTGCAGAGCACAAGGATGAGCTTCCCCAGGATGAGAAAAACAAAACCCCACTCCCTCTGGCCTCTGCTCAGTGTTCAGGACACAGTTAACTAATCCAGAAGGTTGGATGACCTTGTCTGAAACCTAGTGTAGGTTTCAGACAAAGTCTTCCAAAGCATAGCTAATTTTTTTGTCCTTCTAGGGCTTTCAAGGAACAAGACACTGACAATGAACCAAAGCCTGGCTGGCAGTTTTCTAGGTATTCGGGTATTAAGTGAATGGAGATGCAAAGATACACTATGCAAAAGAATAGTCATACCACAAACTTCTCTTCGTTCATAACTAAGCATCTTTGGTACTGGATCACATGCCTAGAAAGGACAAAAGCACTTCCTTGCCTGTGTTCTTGGGGCTTGCATTTGGCCCTAAGCCTAGGCTACAAAAAAGGTGGGGAAATATTGGAGAGCAGTATTCATGAGTATTTAGTTTTAAAGAGCTCCCATTTCCACTACTTCATCTCAACCCTTATCGCAACCCTACTTGGTTCCTTTTACCCACTAACTTTAAAACTCAGCCTTTCCCTTTAAAACTCAGGGAAAAAAGCCCTATGCAAATGTAAAGTATTACAGAACATAAGAGCAGATTCACAGGTAGAAGGTCCTCAGGAAATGGTAGATACATTTTCCTTACCTGAGGCATAATTCTACCCTGGAGTTTTTCTTTTTTTTTTTCCCCCTGGAGAAAAGGGAAGATAAAAGCTGACTTTGTTGGACAGAAAAGAAACAGAAGATGGATACATTAAAAATGTAAGTGCTTACAATTTGCAGCATACATGAAACTCTGCCCACTTCACTTAAATATGTCCACCAAAACCTCAGCCCCCTCCAGCCTCTGGCAAGGGAGTCCTAGCTGGGGTTCTGGGAGATGGCAGCAGAACCTTGGTGAGATGGCCTTGGGCTTGACTTTGCAGAGCTAAAAAGGAAAGACGTTCAAACAATGAAAAGTCCTCCCACCGGATTCCACCTTCTGTTGGCCACTTCCTTCCTTCCCTCCTTTTTCCTTCCCTTCCTGCGGGAGCTACTCTGCCCCACCTTCCTTCCTGGAGAGGAGGACCTACCCTTTCCTCTCTAGGGCTGGTGCCAAAGGGATGAACAATGTGATTGCTGGGGGGGCGGGTAGGGGTGCAGGGAGTCAAGAAGTGGGAAGAAGCAGCCGGTGTTCGAAACAAACCAGAGTAACCAAGCAGAGATGGAGGGAGAGAGATGTTTAGTCCTCAAGGTGCATTTCAGGAGTCTTTGACCAGTTCCCAGAAATTTCCTTCATTTAAGCTTCCAAGCAAAGAGACTGCTAATGGCAGCAACGGCAGTAGAATCCCCAAAGCCTCATCAAGGTGCCCAAATAATGTGACCTCAAGGTGACAGAAAAAAGGATGGCGTCAGTGAGGTAAAAGGGGCACTCAATCTAGGTAGCCATTTGCAATCTCCCTTCTGCTGTCCCACAGCCCAGAGAGAAAAGAAAAAGTGGAAAGGAAACCGTGAAAAGAGGCAGAGACATCAAGAGAGTTTCTGGAAGAGTCTTGAAAAGGGCAAGGACAGAAAGAAGATGCCAATAGGAAGGGGAGAGGACAATACAAAAGGTAATGTGGAGCTGAAAATAGGAGAGGGGAGAGTCGCCCTTCCATCAAATGTAATGATAAAGCTACCAAAGGAGACCAGAGAGTGGCGGAGGGGGAAGGTCAAATGGAGGCGTTCGTGAAGGCAGAGCTTTGGAGAGAGGGCCAAACGTGAGATGGCGAGCACACAAAAAAGGCGCTCCAGGAGGCAGTTGAGGGGGCTGGAACGAAGTGAGAGAGAAGAAGGAAGAAATCAAAGGGTTCATCGAGGGAAGGGGGCGCCTAGGAAACACGCCCGGGAGGGCCCCGCTTTGTCTGGCGTGGGCGGCGGCGGGGGCAGCACGTGCAGCCGGGAGCGCGCTGAGCCGCCAGGCTCCGAGCCGAAGAGCGCCGAGAGGAGACACGACGCGCGGGGGCGGCCCCAGCCCCTCAGACCAGCGAGACCTCTCGCCGGCGGGCCCAGCGCTGCAGAAGGGGCGCATTGTTATGTCCCAGGTCGCAGCAGATTGCCGCTGTCCTGCAATACTCTCGCATCCTGGCACCGCGCCACTGGCACGGCCCGGGGGCTGGAAATAACTGCGCCGTTCCCATGACGACGAGGAAGCTCCCCCCGCCCCCGCCCCGCCCCGCCCCGCCCGCTGAGCTCCGCCCACCGGTACCCGCCGCGGCCGCCTCCCCACAACGGAGCTCCCCCGGTCACCCTGGCAACGGCGGCCGCGGCGCGCGGGAGGTGACTCTAAAAGCGGCGGGCCCCGCCCCCGCCCTCCAGCCCGCAGCGCCGCGCCGCGCGCCCAGCCCCCGCCTGGGCCTGCTCTCGGGCGGGACCTCACTGGGGCAGCCGCGGGCGCCGGCGCAGGAAGCCTCCCTTCCCCCTCGGCCCGCCGGGCCCGGAAAGGCGGGAGCTGGGAGGAAGCTTCGCGGCGGCCGAGGCTGCGGGAGAGGACGAGCGCGCCCCATTTTCTCCGCGGAGCCGCCCCCAGCCCTCCTGACCTCCGCGCCCCTTTAAATCCTCCGCGGGTCTCCCCGCCCTTCCTGCTGGGATGGGAGGAGACCTTAGCGGACGGTGCTCTGCCTGTGCGGCCAGATGAAAGGGGGACTGGGAAAATGAAGCCAGCTCTTGCCGGTGGGCTGGGGGCGGCAGGAATCCGGAGCTCTGGCCGCTGGCGGCACTGGGCTTGAGGGAAGCGGCGGCACGGGAGGCGTCCTCGGGAGCCGGGGTCTCACGGTCCAGGGAACGCCCCCGCCGCCGGCTTGCTAGCGAGGCATCCCGTGAACAAAGAGGCCTGCTTCACCCTACTGGGGCGATCGCCCCCCGGAGGGAAGGGTTTCCACCTTGCACGGCACTCGCGCGTTTTGTCTGTTGGTTGTGGTGAGGAGGGTGTATTGCAGATCCAAAAGGAGCCTCTCGGCCTCCCAGGGTGTCTGGGTCAGAATTGAGACGTTCTGGGCGAGGAGGTGTTGGGAGGGGAGTAGGAGGTCGGAAGGAGAGAGGCCGACCCAGTTAGCTCTGTTCACACCGTCCCTCTCTAGGAGCGGAGCCTACACCTGACTTGTTTGGAATGTGAGCTTTTGCAGGGGACAGAGGCCCTGGCACGTAGAAAGTTCTAAACTGTCTGGTGAATTGCTGCAATTAAAACCAGAGCGGCTCCTTCAGTTGTCCTGGGTGGGCAGGGCATCCCAAAGAAACACAGAAAGTATGCAGGGTCCTTTGAAAATAGTGCCCATATCAAACAAAATATTAATACTTCGCATTTGTAAAGTCCTTTCCTCTAAGAATGTTGTCTCGTTCCATATATATTTTCCACTCCATAAAATTCTAGAGCACAAAGAAAGGATTCATATGGGAGCGAATAGAACAAGTAAAGACGGTCAGCTGTGGTCACAGTGGAGGAACTGAAGAGTTTAGACTTCACCAGCTCTTAGAGCCCTGTTTTCTTTGAAGTGGTTACAACCGAGTACTTTGGTGTGGCCTAAAGAGTTTGAAGGTATACAGTTAAAGGACCTGGAAATAAGATTGGGCTGGCCATTGGGGCCTTGCTTTTCTCATCTGTGAGATGATAGTTGTGAAAATGAGATTAGACTGTATGAAATATTCTTCGTAAGCCATAGGATATGTTATACAAATGCTTTAGTTATTGAAACATCTATAAATTGGTATACAAGTCATGATTACTGTAGTTGCAATACGGAGTTGGTGGGGTGCTTCAGATTTGCAAGCTGTAGGAGGTGGGAACAGGACTGAAGGGCTATGTGCTGATGAATCTCCTTCAGCATTGCTGTGGAATGGATATGCTTCCCCAAAATTCATATGTGTTGAAGCTCTAACCCCTAATGTGACTATATCTGGAAATAGGGTCTTTAGGAGCTCGCTCTCTCCTCTGCCATGTGAGGGTACAGCAAGAAGGCGGCCATCTGCAAGCCAGAAACAAAGCCCTCAACAGAACCTGACCATGCTGGCACCCTGATCTCAGATTTCCAGGCTCCGGAACTATGAGAAATACATTTTTTTGCTTAAACCACTCTGTGATATTTTGTTATGGCAGCCAGAGCAGACTAAGACAAATATGTCTTCGCTTGGAGCTAAGCGCCCCTCCTACCACCTCCACCACCTGGCGTTTTGTTCAGCACTTCCACAGTTGTCTCATTTTTAATTTGTAACCGTGTAAGTTGGAATTGGCAAGATTTATTTTAAAATGAAGAAGCTAAGAAACAAAAAGATTAAAAGGCCTGCTGAAAGTCACACAGATTGTGAATGACTGAACTAGAACTAGAGTCTCCCCAGACAACATCTAGTCCCTAGCATCTGCCAGGTTCTGGGCTAGATTCGAGGGATAAGGAGATGAATATGATTTAGAGGTGGAGAGGGTACAGTCTGGTCAAGCAAAGAAACGTGAACAAATCATTACATCAAGTAGAAAAGTCTGCAAGGATTCATTGGCCCAGCAGGTAAATGGGAAGGGTGGCCCAGGCAGGGGAAGACTGGGAAAACATGGCTTTGGGGGAGCCACAAGTGCTGCTGAGGATAGGGTACAGTACAGAGAAGGAAGGGGCAGAGATGTCCCAGATGCCATTGGAGATTCAGCTTTGCTTTCACTTTCCCAAGGACTCATGGCCTCCCTAGGGCCCTGGCCAAAGGGGAGACCTGAACTTAGAGATCAAGGCTAAGAGTCCTTAAGGACCTAATGTGCCTAAGGAAAAGCAATAGTAAACTCTTCCATTAGTTTTATGTTGACCCTTCTATAGAAAATTATCTTTGTTTTTGGACCTAGCTAGGGTCTCCTAAGGGGTTAGTTTATTAAAGCCCTAACCATTTGTAAGTAAGTGATAATGTGCTTTAATTAGAAGATATGAATTGCACACCTATGACTTTTTCTAGCAAGGTCCTACCCCTAATCAATGTTTTCGCAGAATCTCTGTCTCCAGAGGCACAGAGTCATACTTAAATGAATACATGATCATCCCTCACCATAGAAATGCAGATAAGGACCTTAACTAATGAAGGGGCTAATATCTGTCTCCTTTTGGGAACATTTGTACAAGCTCTTACCAGTTATAGTCAGATAGGAGGATTTATTTGTCTACTGTTTTCTTTATGGGTACAATATGCGTATTTGTGTATATCATATATCCTTACTCTGACTTTTATTATTTATTAAATCACAGCACTCAGATGCTCTCTTGGGGAGGGACTGTAGGTTAGGGACAAAATAGGCCCAGTAGGGCCCTTGCACTTAGAGCCCCTCTCCCAGAAACCAGGTTCCAGAAGCTTGCCCACCTCCCAGGGGTACTCATTCTGAGTACCAGGCCAACAGCCAATTTAAGGGCTGGTTCTGGGATTTCAGCATCTCTCTGCCTGGTACCAAATGAAGACTATCATCTCTGCCTCACTGGAGACCTCATTAGGACTTGAACTCTGGTCTTTGTTCCTTCCCAGTAGGTTCTATACAGTGGAGAAGGTGTGGGGAGGAGGGGGGTCAGGTAAGCCCACAACTCCCAGAACAGCAGGAGTCCAACAGCCTCTGAGAACCAGGAAGTGAGTAAACAAGCAATTACCAGAAAGACAGGGAAGAGCCCGGTAACCCGAGAAGTGGTTCAAATTATTTGATTCCACTCCCTGCCTTCCCTCAAGCCCTCCTCCCCACACCTCCCACCCAGCTTCTCAAGGCTAATTTCACCCCCCTCTGCCTACTCTCCAAGCGAAATTCCACCCCAGTGGAAGCCGGGTCCCAGGGATGAGAGGTGGACGTTACATTCTGGCTAGGGTCTTCAGGGCTTGGCCATTGTCAGTATCGCTGCCGTTTGTCTGTATGGCAAGAAGGGGATAGAATCAGATGGTGCTGCCTGCTATCCTTCCTACTCAGTACCCCTCCAGCCTTCCAATCCCTTTGGGGAAGAGGGGAGTTTAGGAAGAAAGAGGTGACTCAGACCTTGCTTCTCAGAAACTAGAGCGGGAACCCAGCTGGGCTGCAGGAAGTGTGGGGTCGGAGTGAAAAGAAACCTCACATTCCTTTCTCTCTTTTGGCTGGGGAGCTCCCTCTTGCCTACTGCTTCTAGGCTAGTCCCCATTTTTTCACTGTCTCTGGTTCTGCTGATACCAGAGCAGATCCTGGCAGAAAAGGTTTTGACATAGAAAAGATTAAGGTCTAGCACTTATCTTCAAAGAGTTTACAACTTGGTGAGAATAAGAGAGGTAAGACATTTCAGGAAATTTTAAAATATGTACACAAATAACAAGGCAATGTACGATAGATGCCTCAGGAGAAGTGCCACTGTTGCTATTGGCCCCAATCATTTCTCACCTGCATTATTGAACAGCCCTCTAACTGGACCATGCTCCCCTGCCCCACTTAAAAGCCTTCCTTGGCTCCCTCACATCTTTTAAGGTGAAACCAAACCCCCTTCCATGGCATGCCCAGTGTTTTGCAATCTGACCCCTCTTAATCCTCAGGGCCATTCTTCACACCCGTGCTCCAAACAGAAGGAAGGAAGCATTTGTGATGTTCAGCTCCTACCAGCTCTCAAGGCCTCAGGGCCTTTGCACATGCAGCTCTATCTGCCTGGAATGATTTCCCCCTTATTCCCTACTTGGCTAAGTCCAATTTGCCATTTGCGACTCAGCGCAGAAATAACCTCCTCTTCGCAGGAACCCTTCCCTCACACTCTGTCTGGGTTAAGTATTCCTCATCAGTATTCCTATATCACAGTAGTATTAACCCTGGATTGTAATGATCCATTTTTCATCCCTCTTCCCTCTAGATATCAACTTCCTTACTCATCTTTGTACCCAGTGCCTGACACAAAGTAGACAATAAATGATGGCTAAATGAAAGGCTGACTGGCAGGCAGAGGAGTTCATAGAGAATATGGGAAGTTATTAGAGGCTTTTGAGTCAGAGACTGATAACATCACCAAAACTGTACTGTCAGATGAGTAATCCATTAGTTATAAGGTAGGGCTGGGGTGGGGGTGAGGGGGGCTTTGACGCGAAATGGAGAACAGACTAAGAAGTGTTTGAAGAACGAAGATGGTATCAGTGGGAACTAGAAAGCAGGAATAGAAGTGAACTACATTGTGAAGATAATGCTGTGAGCTTAACGAGTGTTTAGATGTGTTGGTAAGAGGTATGGGGGATGGGGGGTGGAGGTAGGGGGTAAGGCCAAGATTTGCAACCCTGGTACCTGAGAAGAAATGCGAGTGGAAGAATCAGACAAGTCAGGAGAAGGCACTAAATGCAGATAGCAGTGGGGCGAGGGAATCTGTGAGACGAGATATCTGTTTGTTTTTAGAAATAGCTTCACTAATTAGGACAGAGAGCAAACAGACTGGAGGAATTTTGAGCCCTGGGTTGAGTTTTGTCTCTGGGTGGTCTAGGCATGCAAAGACTAACAAGTTAGAGCCTCACCTTATCTTTTCAGCAAACTGTGACAAAGGTCCAGTAATGATGCCGGTTTGTAAATCACTTTCACACCTTTAGCATGAAAGGATCCCACTACCAAGTGGAGCTATTAATTCTTTTGCATTCCCCCCACCCCCACGTTCCAGAGGAGTTTGCTGGGGGATGATGCTGTTTTTCCATCTGAACGGGGCTATGTTTTATCAAATACACTGCAGTTCTCAGTCCATTACCTTTTTCTCCTCACATTCTTCCTGTTTTCTGACTCTGAATTTATTTTAATCTCGTGTTTCTCGTTAAATCATCACAGACATCTGTCTCTCTTGCCTTCCCTATCCGTCCACTCCACTCTCCTCTCTTACTCTTAACATTCTTCTCTTGATCTTCTTGTCAGTTGCCTTAAGAGACCTCAAACTGCTTGGCTTCTCTCCCTCCTCTCTCGGTATCCGGAGCCTCTTTTTTGGACATGTCTCAACCTGTTTTCAGTCTCAGACTAATCCTCCATAACACTGAAAATGACAGATGAGGTCAGACTTGGTGGGGAGGGAAGGAAGAGAAAATTTTTACCCAGGAAACCATGCTCATTCATAACTGGCTTTCCAAATGAGAACAGACTACAAGTGCGCGTGTGCACGTGTGTGCATGTGTGTTTTCTGCTGGCAAGAATGACAAATCCTGCTTTCCTCATAGCACATGTTTCCATTCCAATATGTTTTAAACTCCTAATCTATAAAGGGGATGAAGCATCAGAAATCTCTATCTTTAGATTAGTAGCTGGCAGCACTAGGGTTTCAGGAGTGATCCTTTTATTCTCCAGGATCCCTTAGCAGTTTGTTACCTTGCCAACTGGTATGCTGGAGTTTCAGCTGCAAGGTTCTTCGTGAGCTGGGATTGAGGAGGGGAATGCAGACTGCTGATACTAACAAGGTCCCTGGAGTGATTTATTAGTGTCTCTTGTCTCCTTTTATTTGACCGGAGAAGAAAAAGAAAGGGTTTATTCCTCCTGATAAGAGACTCATATTTAGGAGTTTATGTATTCAAATCCCATTCACCGTCACTCTAGCTGTTTTCTGCACCCAATGGTTCTGCCTTAAGACATGTGCAGGCCCTTTCAATTGACCCCAGATCCTTTCTAGCTGCCACCTGGTTCTTTTTTGCCTTTATGCCAAATTTCTTGGGGAAGGAGCTACAGCCAGGGCCCCCACATCTTTCCACTCACTTATAATCTAGTTTTCTCTACCATCTTCTACAGAACCTCTGTCAAAATTCACTAGTTAAAACTTAGCTGAGCATAGAGGCGTGTGCATGTAGTGCCAGCTACTCGGGAGGCTGAGGCAGGAGGATCACTTTGTCCAAGGAGTTCAAGGCTGCAGTAAGCTATGATTGCACCACTGCACTCCAGCCTGGGCAACAAAGACCCTGTCTCTAAAAGAAAAAAAATGTGGCTGGGCACAGTGGCTCACACCTGTAATCCCAGTAGTTTGAAAGTCTGAGGGCAGGAAGATCTTTTGAGGTCAGGAGTTCAAGACCAACCTGGGCAACATGGCGACACTTCATCTCTACAAAAAATATAAACATTAGTTGGCATGGTGGTGCGCTCCTGTAGTCCCAACTACTTTGGGAGGCTGAGGCTGCAGTGAGCTGTGATCGTTCCACTGCACTGTAGCCTGGGAGACACAGCAAGACCCTGTCTCAAATAATAATAATAATTCACTAATGGCAGTCTTAGTTCAAGGACATTTTCTTTGCCCCATCTCCCTTCACAGCAGCCAGACTCTACTCCTACCTCTCTGCAAACTGTTCCTTTTAACAGAGCCCTCTTCCTATTCTAGCCCCTACCTCTAGGCTTCCTCATCACTAGGTCTTAGCTTTCTGCTCTTTTTCCTTCCCTGTAGTTTCTTTATTCTCACAGTTAAGCTGTAAACTTGACCATGCCTCTCTAGGAAGCAGCACGTGAAGAGGCCCAGAAGCCTGCAAATAAGTTACCTAAACTGCAGATAGTTCGTATGGCTGGAGGCAGCATGTGAGAGAAGAAATAACAAGACACAGCTGGACCTTGAGTGACCTAAAGCTGAGAAATTCATGCTTGATTCTGAGATCAGTGGAAATATCTGCTCTTTAAACTTTAATGTGCATATTGATCACCTGGGGATCTTGTTAAACTGTAGATTCAGTAGGTCTGAAGTGGGGCCTGAGATACTCTCCATTTTTCATAAGCTCCCAGATGATACCCATGGTCCCTGGACCATACTTTAAGAAGCAAGCGACTAGCCGACACTTAACATACTATCAAGTTTTGGGGGGGTTCTATGTTGTTTTGCGTCTTAACTGGAATGTAATGGTCGTGAGGGCCAGGGTCCTGTTGTCTGCATCTTTGTATTCCCTATTCATGAGTTTCTTCTGGGTGTTCCTGTCAATGCTTAATTGATGGGATCCAGGAGTGAGTTGTTTATATCTTTTAGCTTTGCTTTACAAACACTAATTTATCTTCTAATCACAATTGTGAGGCAAGTGGATACTTTATTTTAAAACTGTAAATAGAAACCAACAAAGATGAATGACTTTTCAAATCGTGAGTCACATGTTCAGAGTCAAGACCACAGCCCTTTGCCCAGAGAGGTCTCAAGGAATCAGTCCAGGGCTGATTCTAACACTGCCTCTGCTTGGGTCCTCACTTGACCATTCATGATGACCTGCTGCTCACTCTCTGGACCTCATTTAGTCTTTTCTGCCTGGTAAAGTAAGAGACTCCCCGCTTCATCTCCTGAGGGCATTCAGGAGCCTTAGCAAGCTGCCAGCTCCATGTTAGGCAGCCAGATGCCTGATGCTGAGGTGACTGAAAGGTTGGGAAGCAGACAGCTGGGCCAGCCCACGCACCAGAATCGCCCCCACACCGCATCTTTACAGCTGCTCTCTGCAGTGCAGGCTAGGAGCGCCTTTCAAAATGCATTCTGAAGAGGCAGGGGGGTGCGGGGAGAAACCGGCAGGAGCTGTAGAACATAATCACCCAAGCAGAGCATCCCATATACCTCAACTTCAGTTTCTGACACTGAATCTTTGCTTTTAGGGATTTCTCCCATGGCCCTAAAAAGAAAAGTCACTACACAGTCTCTTAAGTAGGTCACACAGAGTGCTAGCTGATAAATGCAGATGCCAAGGCACTTTCACCCTTTTCCAAACCAAAAATAAAACTTGGAAATTGTCTGAAGAAAACAGGAGGTTGTGATGCAGTTTAAGAAAAGCCAAGGAGAAAAAAGTGGGTGGGGTGCTCCTGCCCTAAATTCACTCGGCCCATAGCAGACCTTCTTGAGCAGAACTTGACTGAGTGGCAGTTCCTCCTCCACCTCCCCACATCACTTCACAATCCTGTAGCTCACTTCCCGCTGGTCACCTCTGCTGCACGACCCCAGGGGGTTATGAGGACTCCCCACTCCCACTTTAGTGACTCTGTAAAAAGTCTCTATTAATCAATCAAAGCCTAGAAGGGGGAGATAAGGCAAAGAGGCACTTTTGGATTTCTCCATCTGAGCAGCTCTGTGATTCATTATCTGTTCTAGAAAGCAGCACACGCAGTTCCAGCAAAAAAAAAAAAAAAAAAAAAAAAAAAAAAAAAAAAGTTGGGGTGGGGAGCGGAAATGCCTTGTAGCCCACGTTCGGGCTCCCCTGGCTTTGCCTCTCCTTTCCTGCATCTGGCCACAAGCCAAGTTGGGTTTCAGCTGCTGCTCCTGTTTCTAGGATGTATACTCCCCTACCCACCCCCTGCTATTATGATGGAATTGGCGGTCTGGTGAGACACAGTGAGAGGATGATTTCCAGCTAACACAGCTGTGGCTTGATCTCCAGGGCCCAGAGTCTCTGGAGATTCTTTGCAAGTCTCGTGGTCAGGAAATCCAAATCTCTGCTCCTTCTTAGCAGGCTGTAGCATTCCCACTCACAGTTCTCTCCTTAGCAGTCAGATTCTTCCCGAGGAAAATAATGAACATGAGAGTCCTCAAGAGAGGGTGGAGGGAGGGGAGACAGAGAAAGACCCAGACAGACAGAAATGGAAAGACAAAACAGCTACAGCGCTGAAGGAAGTATCTGTGCCACAGAAGACAGGCAGATCCTGTGACTGGCTAGAAAGAACGAACCAGATGTGGATCAACATAGAGAAAAACTCATGGATGGTATCTTGGATTCTGGAAGAGGATCAAGTGTAGAGAGTACCAAAGGAAATCCTACACTTCAGAGACAACATCAGTGTTTGCACAGAGGGAACAAAATGGTTTTTCTTTTACCTCACAGCATGCAAGTTTCCAACAGCTGCTCTGCCCCGACTTGAGAGGTGGAATGGGTTGAAGAACAAGCAGGTGGGAACACATGGCTTTCCGCACATCCCTGAATTCTAGAAAAACTGAAAGGAGCCTTGTCTTGGCATCTGATAGAACGATTGGGCTGGGGCAACCTTGCAGAGGCCCCATTCATAGGGAAAAAGCAGAGGGCTGGGACCAGGACTGCCTTGGTGCTAAATGGATGGAAAAGGGGCAGCTGTCTCACCATCCTGTAAGTTAGGGATATGGCTTACCACACAGGCCTAGAGGCTTCTTGTGACCAGGTCCCAGAAAACTTTATTACATAAAAAGTAGATTTACTGCAAATATCCCAGATGATAACGGTTTGCCTCTATGTCCCCACCCAAATCTCAAGTTGTAATCCCCAGTGTCAGGGGAGAGAAGTAATTGGATTATGGGGTGGTTCCCCCATGCTGTTCCCATGATAGTTTTATAAATGGTAGTTTTTCCCGCGCTTACACGTGCCCTCACCTGCTGCCATGTAAGACGTGCCCGCTTCCCCTTCCACCATGATTGTAAGTTTCCTGAGGCTTCCCCAGACATGCGAACTGTGAGCCAATTAAATCTCTTTTGTCAGTTACCCAGTCTTGGGTATTTCTTTATAGTGGTGTGAAAACGGACTAATATAATACACCAGGCCAGCTCTATGCCAGTCCCCTAAAAGAATCACCTGCTAGAGATGCTCAGTAGCAGTGCTGGGTACCAGCCCTTCTTCCTGCAGCTTCCAAAAGCTGATAGCCAATACTCTATTTCACCTGCCCATAAGTGGGCAGCATCCGGTGATAGAGGCTGCTGCTGGTCTGGAGAGGAAAGAGGAGAGGCCCTTTCAGGAATGCAGTCCCTGGAGGTTTCTCCTTCCCTGCCTGAAGGATTCCAGAGGTCTGAGATAAACCCCAGGCTGTAGTCCAGCAAAGAGCTTTGGGCTGTATTCCTCTGGGAGACAGCAATTGCTAGAGAGAGATTTTATTTTAAAACCCCCATTCCCACTGCGGGAGGGAGCAGTGGTAGCAGGCATTGGGAAAAACTGTGTTTGAATCAGGAAGGAGGCATTCAGCTAGATGTGCGTATCCTTTCACACTTTCTGCTCTTCCACATTTGTTCCCTATCGTACCCTTAAGAATTATTACTGAAAAACTCCAAGGGCATGTGTTAAGATCACAGTGATTCCTAACATCAACTCTCCTTCTATGTTTTTTCCTCCCAAGGCTTTCCACTGGGTTGAATTTTAAATTTGAACAATGGTTCAAAGGCTGAGAGACAAACTGCTCATTACTGGAAAGAGTGCCAGGAATCCTGGGAAGCAGGCCTCCCTCCCCACCGGAGCACTGCACCTCATAGTAATGGCCTCTTTCATAGTCACGGAAAGGTTGGATCAGCGTTTCTTTTCATTCCTGTCTTTTTTCAGGGACTGCTGGGATAAAAGGAAGTCTAGAAGAATAAAAAATTCACAAACAGGAGAAGAATAAAATATTTAGGGCAAGAGATCAGAAATCCTTTGGTTATTCAGTGAACTGAACTAACTCTACTTTTTTTTAAAAAAGTACAAGGAAATAAATGTCCATCAAATGCCATATCACAGTGGGATTAGCCTGTCGACCCCATCACACAGGATCTGAGGCTAGGTTATCATGCCTAGTAAGTTGCAGTAAGAGAGACTCAGACTAACCCAGTGATAAGATGGAACAGTTTTATAATTATTAATTTCATTCCCAATATTTCTGACATCTTTATTCTGAGAAGCTTTCCACCAAAGTTGTCAAATGACCCATTTCCTCTCACTTCACACTCCCAAATCCAATCAGTGATGAGTAGAAGGAATGGAAAGGTTATTTGGTGCCATAAAGAAAACCCAGTCACCTTGGAGGAGCAATTCAGGCTTTCCATCATTAGTTCCCATCGCCAAGAACAAATGATGGTTTCTAAAAGGGAAGACAGGGTTAAAACAACATGGTTGAGAAGTACATACTAGGCCGGGGGCAGTGGCTCACGCCTGTAATCCCAGCACTTTGGGAGGCCAAGGCAGGTGGATCACCGGAGGTCAGGAGTTTGAGACCAGCCTGGTCAACATGGTGAAACCCCGTCTCTACTAAAAATACAAAAGTTAGCCAGACGTGGTGGTGCATGCCTGTAATCCCAGCACTTTGGGAGGCTGAAGCAGGACAATCGCTTGAACTAGGGAGGCAGAGGTTACAGTGAGCTGAGATCACACCACTGCACTCTAGCCTGGGTGACAGAGCAAGACTCTGTCTCAAAAAAAAAAATACATTACTAACATTTATCCCTTTATTCTCTTTTTTCCCACCACCACACCTGGCTAATTTTTATATTTTTAGTAGAGACAGGGTTTCACCATGTTGGCCAGGCTGGTCTTGAACTCCTGACCTCAGGTGATCCACCTGCCTCGGCCTCCCAAAGTGCTGGGATTACAGGTGTGAGCCACCGCGCCCAGACTTTATTCCCTATTAATGTGATCTTCTTGGAGTACTTGTTGGAAAGCACTTTAAACATCTGGCTTTTACGCAGCAGTCAGAAGGTTTTTTTACACCCCAGAGCTAAGGTTAATTTGATCAAGAGACTAGGTCCCTCCCAGAGTGGTGAAGAAGTGGTTAGGTACTAAAACCATGGCATCGTTTCTAGTCACACTGCATCTGATTTGGTTGTGTGATAGCCCTAGGTTGGCATTGGGAAGGCTCTTGTCCAGAACCTATCAATAAGCATGTTTTAAACATTCCATGCGCAATAATTCAAGCAAAAATAACTTTATGGGCTACTTTTTTCTTTACTCATCCACAGAAAGCATTTGTATGTCAACAAGAACTTTGCTCCTTGCCTGTTTTCACTTCAGCTTACTCCTCCCTGAAAATAGAGTTGTTTGATACAATTGGAAAAATCATCCGGTTGGTGTGAGACATTCACAGCAACAAAACTATGTTGGTAGAACAAAGCTTCCTGACTGCCAAGTGTCCAGAGAAAAAGAGGAATAAAAGAACCCAGCATTCACACATAGGACCACTTAAAAATAGATTCTCCATTCTCCTCTTTTCTTACAAATACACACAAATCTTTGACCACAGTGTATCTGATTTATACACAGAATTAACTTCTACATTAACAATAATTAACAGTTGCGTGCTTATTACATATGAGGTACTCTTCTAAGAGCATTAACTCATTAATTTTCACAACCCTATGAGACAGATCCAATTATCCCAATTTTACATTTGAAAAACCTGAGGCACAGAGAGATGAAGTAACTTGTCCAAGGACCCACAGCTAGGTGGCAGAGCCAAGATAGAAAAACCCAAGCAGGCCAGGTTGTGGTGGCTCATGCCTGTAATCCCAGCACTTTGGGAGGCTGAGGCAGGAGGATTGCTTGAGGCCAGGAGTTCAAGACGAACCTGGTCAACATAGCTCACTTTATATTTACTTTTTATAATTAAATAAATAAATAAATAAAGGAAGACACCAAGCAGCCTGGCTCCAGGGCCCATGCTCTAACTACTATACTATACTGCTTCTGCAACAAAAAAGAGAATGATCTTTTCTAATTCCTACAAAGCTTTATCCTCCTATCAAGTATGCCAATTTACATTCTTTAAGCAGACACATGGACCCAGGTTCATCTTAATGTAAAACCAAGGATCAACTTTAGTCTCATCCAAAACACATCAGCTCTCTTAAACACACCAAACGTTACCCCCTTTAAAACATAAAATACACTGAGATCGCTGTTCAAGCATCATACTTTCTAACAACAGGAAATGTTTGCAGAATTAAGGCCCTGGACACCTTCTTCAGTTTAAGCAGTCAGCACTTGATGGATCTTTTGTAGCTGTAACAGAATTTAAGTAGCTACTTTCTGAAAGAAAAAGTCAGTTTAACAAGACCCTAATTTGAGAATGTTTAATTCTATAAATACATTATTATGGCGACAGAGCATAAAGTACAAAGTTCCCTATGCTTAAGGAACCACTAATAGATTTGCCGAAATATCAAGGCACGAGGCACTGGCCTATTCAGCTAAAACAGAAGTTCGTATAATTGGGAGTTAAGGCCAAGACACCATTCATATGCCTCTTATGCTCGAAGGCTATGACCTTTAAACCTTTGTCTTTCTTCAATCTCTCCCATCTTTTAAATACCCTATATACTCGTAAGTTGTTAGAAACCAGTACCATCTTTTAAAGTCCTGGCAACTGTACCGTATTTTAATAAACACCATTCCCTAATTGATTTGCTTCTGAAATAGATTACTGAATACCTTTCAAACATTGAACATGAAGAGACAAAAAACTCTCTTAATGGCAGTGATTTTAGTAAAATCGATGGATGTTTTGGCTATCATCACCTAAGTGTCTACCATGACCAAACACTGATGTCACCATTTAAGTAACAAAACAAATCAGGAAGTTTTGCTAAATGAGAACTAAATTTGCCTAGCCCTCCTTCCTTATCTGGTTTGATGCAAACAATTTCCCTCTCAGCAATATATTTACTTTCTAGATGTAAGAGAAAAACTGAAAATTTACATCCTGACATCCACTGTGATGCAGAGGTGGACCTGACAATTTGGACAAGTCAGTCTCTTTCATCTTCCTATGTCAGTTCGAATGGGCTTTTAAGGTAAACTACTATCTAAACTTTTTTTTTTTCAATTACAAAGCTAAAAGATGACCCGTATTAATAGCTTAACAGGAAACAAAGTTTTGCTGAAAAACATTTTTGTGGATAAGCGGGGCTTCAAAAGTTGGTTAAATTACTTAGTATTAGACACCCACATATTGGGTGACAAATTGGTCTAAACTGACCTTAGAAAAGGCAGTTGTAGTGGCAGGTTTCTAGAACCTGACAGGTCGCCGATATTAGTATCTAATAGCAGTCCTCTGATCTAGGAGGAAAAATTAAACGTGTCTCTCTTGATACTTAGTGGAGTCAGTAAACAATGTCCTCAGTCTGCGAATGACTGATACTAAGAACCACACCTTCAATTTTCTAGCTCAGGCCCTGGTTTCCCTCCTCCCACTTCCCTCCCAACCCAGGCAGGTTATTACAGACAAGCAGGCAGTTACGTTGCTTCAAAATATTTAATACGTGTTAGACACGTAGAAGTTACATTTTTATACAAAAATCAATACAACGAAGGAGAAAATACTGTACAAAAACCTTATCAGCTCCCCCAACCTTTATACAACAAAGACTGGAGTCACCATATCTACAAAACCATAAGGTCTTTCCACTTCGGGCTTCTGTCTGTAAACTCTCATTAAACACTTTTTAAAAGCACTGTGTAGTACTTCTGACCTAGAGCTTTTAAAAATATATCTTTTCTCTATAAACTCCATTATTTCCAAGCTTGAACTCTTCTGTGAAGTTCGTCAAGCTTTTTCTCCCCTGCGGGGAAGCAAAGGACCGTTAATACGCCCCTTTCCTAGAGTAATCACAGGATATAAACGTTTCTTCATTGGGAGAGAAAGGTGGGGAGGGACAGAAGGAATCCAAGTCTGTGCTCTTGGCTAAATCCCTCTCGTCTTAGGAAATCCTGTGCGGAAACGCCACTCCTGGCCCTGAAGCGGGTCTAGCTTTCCGGTGAGGGGTAGGTGTAAAGTCCCTCCCTCCCCGGAGAACGAATGGGGAACTCCCCGGCCCAAACCTTTTAGCCGCTTCCTTCTCCACGCAGCCGGCAGAGGAAAGTCCCTGTCTGCCCCCAATCTCTTAAACCCTGGGGAAGGAGTGGTGCATTCCAGAAGAGCAAAATAGTCTTAATGCCACAAGACAAACTTACATACACAGACATACACAAACACAAAAGTTAACGATCGTCCTCTTCCAATGAGCCTCAAGCTCCCAGGTCTCCAGATAAGCCAGATGCGCCCGGGGGCAGTTTGCGATGCCCAGAGGCAACCAGTCTGCCCAACGCGCTCAGCGCCCGCGGTCTCTGGGCGTCCTCGCAGCCGGGAAGGGCCTGGCCCTCACTTCGGGGACGCCCGCTGCTCCACCTCCTCCCCGCAGGGGGGCCAAGGGCTCAGAAGGCCACGATGGCTGTGCTCCAGGGGTTCATGTCTCTCAGCACCGGCTTATCGCAGCAGATCTGCCCGGGCTCGGCGGCTTCCGGACCGCTCTCCTCTCCCTCCTCTTCCTCTCTGCCGCCCCCGGGGCTTTTCCGTAGGAGTCCCGAGAAACTGGAACCGAAGATGCTGATGAGGTTAGCCACGTTCCCGGTCTCCATCTCCTCCGCGTCGTCGTCCTCTCCTCCACTCGGCGGCTGCTCTAAGTTCCGGCGGGGCTTCTTGAGCGGGGTCGAGCCGGGCGCCGGGCAGCCCGCTGGGCCGCCGCCCACCCCCGCCGCGCAGCGCTTCCTGGGGCACACCGCGGGCGGCGCGGGGGGCTCGTCCTCCGCTGGTTGCGGCGCGCAGCAGCAGGCAGCGCGGGGGGTCGCGGCCGGTGTACCCGGCGGGTCCTCCCCGCCTAGGGGGCAGCCGCAGGGGCGGCGCGCGGCACGAGATACCTCGGGGAAGACGCCCCAGCCTCCGGCGGTACCCTCGGCTTCTCTGGCCGCCGCCTGGCGCGGCCCCTCCACGCGGCTCCAGGCAGCTTCCGTCGCGTCCGCCTCTCCGCCCTGAAAAACGTCCCCGACTCCAGTCACCGTGGCCACCGGCACCTCGTCCCCTACCCGCGGCGCGTCTGAGACGGAGGAGCGCTCCGGCTGCGGCTCGGTCTCCGGCCAAGAGGCACGAGCGGCGGGCGGGGGCGGCTCTCCCCAGCCGGCGGGTGGCCCGGCCGCCGGCTCCCCGGGCTGCTGCTGCGGTGGCGGCGCCGGGGTCCCAGCGGGACCGGCCAGGTAGAGGCCGGGGCACGGGTCGCTCAGGTAGACTTGGCGGGCGCTGCGCAGCACCAGCGAGACCAGGAGGTTCTTATGCAGCTTGATGCCGCCGCGCTGGACCCGCGAGTTGTAGATCTTGCCCAGAGAGATGCTGACGATGCGATGAGCCTCCAGCTTGAACTCCATCTGCTTCCCCTGCACAGGGCCGTCGGCGCCGGGGTGACACGTTTGGAAATTGGGAGGGAACGGGAGGCGCAAACAAGTCCGCCCCCTGGGCACACCCTCGATCACCTAAGACTCCGAAGAGAAACGACTCTGGTGACGCGCGCGCTGCTCTACTAACCTCTCCAAACAAGACAACTTCCCCGTTTCGGGTCCGGTCGCTAAACAGGGCAGCCTGGCTGCCCCGCGCCTTATATAGGCTTCTCGACCGCCAATCACGAAGGGCCGCCAACCGTTCCGGGGCTGGCCGGCGCGCCCTCGTGCGCCGCGCACGGCCAATCGGAGCCCGAGGAGGGGCGCCAGGGCCCGTTCGAACGTTAGTCCCGCGGAGCAGGCTCTTAAAGGGGGCGACGGCTTGCGGCCGCAGACCAGGCCCGTGGGGAGTGAATGTTCGGGACGGTGCTCGAGAGCGCTACTGTTTGGAGTTACAGATTCTGGCTTGTGCGATGGCTTGCCGGAACCAAAGCGAACAAAATATTCGAACTTTCTTCCGAACACGGTGGTGGACTCTGTTCTGCCATAAAGTCCTGATCCTTCCCTGATCGACTCCGCCCTCACCAGCCACACCACCGTTTCCAGGCCGGCCACACCTGTAAGCGACCCCCCTCAACCCTGGCAAAAATAGAGATGGTGGCCATACGCGGCGGAGGACACCCCTGGATAACAAATAGTATTACTGCAAAGTATTTGGCAATCATTATTTTTGGATGAGCCGCTTTCCCCGCTAGAGTCACATACACTCTTAGCAGCTGTCAGTTCTAACCCCAAAGAAAAGGGGGATTCTAAAAGTTTTTGCCTAGGTTTTTGGCTTCTTTTCAAGGAATCGTGTCTAGATACAAAGTTATTGGTTGTCCTCTAAAGCTGGCATCTTTCACTTTGTTCTCTAGATTCTAGAACAAACCCAGTTATCAAATAAGTTAAATGGAAGATGTTACAGGTTCTCCACAATGATTTTTTTTTCCTTTTTTTTTTCCATTTCCATTTTTCCATTACAAGGACTGACCAGTCCACCCTTGGAAAAATCGAGCAAGTTCTGAAAATAAAAAGAAAGAAGTCCTGTGTTCCCATGATGATGTCATAATTTCATTTCGTGTCAAGGTAAAAATATAGTGCTAGGGAGTTCCAGAATTTTCTGGTCAGTCAACAACTTAGTCCATCTACTGGTCCTTATAAGTATATCAGGACACAATTACCACGGGGTTGCCCAGGGTCCTGGACTGGAAACATGGAGTCACTTCCAGTTAGTTCCACCGAAGCTCCACCACAGACCTGCCTGAGGACTCTGGGTAAATAACCTCAGGCCGCTTCAGTGTCTCCACTGCTGAAAAGGGGGAAGTCACATACACATCTGCGTTATTGTACAGACGATAAATGACAACTTCTCAGCCACAATCTGAATGAGAAAACTAAGCACTGCTTTCTTGGAGTCCATGTGGAACCCTGGGCCTGATCCTGCCCCGGGGTTGGTCAAGCAATGAATTTATTTAGGAAAAATACCAGTGAAGAGTGGGCTTGATCATGACCAATTCACAATCTCCAGAGGATGTGATGGCTCAATAGCATTACCTGTGCCCACAACTGATGGTAACTGAGACAGCAGGCTCTGAGACCCAGAGTTCCTCCCCTCTAGGAATTTTCAGCCCACGTAGAGGAAGATATAAAATAATGACACGAATAATTACAAAACCAAATAGCATATATTGAGTAATGACACAAGAATTTTTCTCTTCTCTTTTTCTTTGCAAGTTATTAGTCACTATAAAGCAATGGCTAAGAGCACAGGCTGAGGAGGCTGGCTTCCTAGGTTGGAATCCCAGCTTCACCTTTCACTTGCTGCATGGCCTCTGGAAAATTACTTCACTTCTCTGTGCTGCCGTCTTTTTTATTACAAAATAATCAGCCGGGTGTGGTGGCTCACGCCTGTAATCCTATCACTTTGGAAGGACAAGGTGGGCGGATCACTTGAGATCAGGAGTTCAAGACCAGCCTGGCTAATATGGTGAAACCCTGTCTCTACTAAAAAAAAAAATACAGTAATTAGCCTGGCATGGCGGCAGGTGCCTGTAATCCCAGCTACTCGGAAGGCTGAGGCAGGAGAATTGCTTGAACACAGGAGGCAGAGGTTGCAGTGAGCCGAGATCACACCATTGTACTCCAGCCTGGGCAACAGAGTGAGACTCTGTCTCAAAAAATACAATAAAATAAATATAAATATAATAATAATAATGCCTACCTCTTAGAGTTTTTGTGAGGGTAGAACAAGGTAGCACATGCAAAGCTCATAGAACAGCACCTGGCATATAATAAGCTATCAATGTAGGCTAGTTCTCAGAACACACTACCCCACATACTACCCTGGGGTGGGAGAAGAGGCTGGGAGAAGAAAGGAACATAGATGGGAGAAAGTTTCACCAAAGAAGTTGTATCTGAAGAGGGTGCTGAAAACCTCTGAGGTAGGATCCACAAGTTCCAAGCAGCAGGAGCAACAGAGTCCAGTGTAGGGAACATCTTACTTTGCAGTTGTGCTGGGCACATGCCCAAAAGCAAGTGGGAAAGGCTAGAAACAGAGGCCGAGGCTGCATGATAGTGGGTTGTGGGTGCCTTGATGAGGAGATAGGACCACAGGGACCTTACTAAAGGTTGTTCAGTAAGGGAAGCACAGAATAGATTCTAGAACAGTTGGTGCATAGAAGAGCACACATAAAGCTCTTGTGGAAATTTAGGCAAAGGGTTGTGAAGACCTGAACTAGGTGGAGGCAACAAGAATGAAGAAACTGGCAGGGCATGGTGGCTCATGCCTGTAATCCCAGCACTTTGGGAGGCCGAGGTGGGCGGATCACGAGGTTAGGAGTTCAAGACCAGCCCGGCCAGCATGGTGAAACCCCGTCTTTACTAAAAATACAAAAAATTAGCCGGGCATGGTGGCACGTGCCTGTAATCCCAGCTACTTGGGAGGCTGAGGCAGGGGAATTGCTGAAACTCAGCAGGCAGAGGTTACAATGAGCGGAGGTCGCACCACTGCACTCCAGCCTGGGTGACAGAGCAAGACTCCATCTCAAAAAAAAAAAAAAAAAAAAAAAATGAGGAAACTGAGAGACAAAAGAACTTTAGTGATGATCTGGGATGCTCCCACTCACCCATCCAGGCAGGTTATTGCTAGTGTCAAGCCTCTTGCCTTCCATGAAGGCTTTCTGACCTGCCTGAGCTGAGCTTTTCCATCATCCACCACTGTACTCAGCACACTCCTTCATCATTGCCCTCATCACTTTCTCCTGTCATGCCCAGTGTCCCTCCCAGACTATGCCCTCATTGAAGGCAGGAGCCCAGCTCATATTTGTAGCCAGGATATGGTGAAAATACATAACAGCTGGTGCAGTACAGGCACTAACCATCAGAACAGGGTCCTGGAGGCCCTTACAATGCTAGGGGTTTGGAGGGCTCCTGCAAGAGGGGCTGCATGGCCAGTAAGGGGGCTACTCACGGGCTTAGGGCAGAGGTTCTATCAACTGACATGGAAACATTTCAATACTTTAACAACTGGGTTGGCTGTACCAGTGCATACTGAGTGATTATACACTTGGATTAATGAATTCCTAATAATAATAATGTTTACCAAGCACTGTGCTAGACATAGTACATGCATTATTTAGCACATTTATAAAGTTCTGAAAGTAGATATCATTATCTTCATTTACATTTAACCTACTTAAAGCTCCAATGTGGGGTCATGGGGCTAGATTGCCTGGCTCCTCTTCTCACTGCTGTGTGACCTTTGGAAAGTCATCTCACCTCTAGGTGAAATGGGAAATCCATATTTTAGTTTGCTTATATAGGCAAGTTATTTAACCTCTTTGTGCCTCAGTCTCCTGTGAAAAATGGGAATAATAAAAATAACTAAATTGCTTAGTACAGTTCCTAGCACCATATAAACACTTATAATTCTTAGTTATTGTTGTTATTATGGTTATTGTTATCACACCAGTGCCTAGCACAGTTCTGAACACATAGTAGGTACACTCTTAGTACTTGTTGAATTTTTAATGCTTTTTCTGCTGTACCACATAATAGGTGCTTAATAAATGTCTGATGACTTGCAAGTTGCACATTATCACTGTCATTATCAGGATTTTCTTTGATCCTGAGCCAACGAAATGGAACCTTTAGAACTCATGTCTGGAGGGCCCGAGTTCGTATGATCAGGAAACTTCACCTCCACCTACCAAAAAAAGCAGGACGATAGCATATTCTTTTAAGATTTAGCAAGCAGGAACTGAGTTAGAATTTGCCATCATCCATCTCTGAGATTTTGTCAGTTGAAAAGAGAAGTTCGCAGCATGATCAGAAACAGTAGGGTTGTCAGAAGAACAGAGGAACCAACTGCTCTGGAAGAAAAGGCCAGAGCACCTCCCACAGGTCTGTTCTGTCTTTTCACCCCTCTGCTGGGCACAGGCAGATTAGTACAAGGAGCTTTGGGCTCTGCTGTTTCCACAGCTGTCTGAGGTCACTCAGGCGCTATCTGGGCTCAAGCCTGTGGATTCCTGTCGCACAGGCTGCTCTGCCCACTGCTGTTGACACTATTTACGCCCTTGTTTACACAACTAATTGAAGGCTAAGTATTATTATCAGATGATTAAAGATCTTAACTTGCCTTAAATTACGTCTAGTCTGTGCAAACCCACTACAGATTATGCACACGGTAGCTATGTGAGAAGTAACAATTAGTAAGAAGGGAGTTGGTGAAAGAAAAATAAGTTATTTGCACTGTCCCTACCTTTCAATATTAGGACATTTTCAATTGGTGGGGGGTGAGGGGCAGTGTCAAAATTGCTTATGCAATCAAATAGTCATTTGTATGACATACTAAATATTTAGGGGGAAAAGATCTATAAAAATACATTATTAGCACTTTATGTAAGTGATACTCCTTTTTTTCTTCTGAGAACAGACAAATCCACTTTTTTTTTTTTTTTTTTTTTTTTTGAGACAGAATCTCACTCTGTTGCCCAGGCTGGAGTGCAGTGGTGTGATCATGGCTCACTGAAACTTCCGCCTCTCAGTCTTCCAAGTAGCTGGGACAACAGGCGCATGCCACCACAATGGCTAATTTTTGTATTTTTAGTAGAGATGGGGTTTCACCATGTTTGCTACGCTGGTCTCAAACTCCTGACCTCAATTGATCCACCTGCCTCGGCCTTCCAAAGTGCTGGGATTACAGGTATGAGCCACTGCACCTGGCCCAAATCCACTTTTTAATTTGTTCCTTTTTTCTCTCACTATTCTGGATATTGTACATCTTTTTTTTTTTTTCTCTTGGCTGCTTGATTTTCTTTTTCATTTTTCTTTTTTTTAATTTTAATTTTAATTTTTTTTTTTTGAGACAGAGCCCTGCTCCATCGCCCAGGCTGGAGTGCAGTGGCACAATCTCGGCTCACTGCAGCCTCCACCTCCCGGGTTCAAGCAATTCTCCTGCCTCAGCCTCCCGAGTAGCTGGGACTACAGGCGTGCGCCACCATGCCTGGCTAATTTTTGTATTTTTAGTAGAGACAGGGTTTCACCATGTTGGCCAGGATGGTCTTGATCTCTTGACCTTGTGATCCGCCCGCCTCAGCCTCCCAAAGTGCTGGGATTACAGGCGTGAGCCACCTTGCCTGGCCCTGGCTGCTTGATTTTCTATATAATTTTTAAATTTTCAAATGGTGTTTGACTAGGAATGCACATCAAAACCTGTCTTTTTCCCTTCTCTCCATTTTCATTCCTAAACTGCTTACAACCCTGCCCACCTTCTTGTACTAAATTTTGAATCTTTGTTCAGATAACCTTAAATTGTTTTTTGTTTTTTCTGTTTTTTGGTTTTTGTTTTGTTTTTGTTTTTGTTTTTTAGACAGAGTCTTGCTCTGTCACCCAGGCTGGAGTACAGTGGTGGGATCTCAGCTTACTGCAACCTCTGCGTCCTGGGTTCAAGAGATTCTTGTGTCTTAGCCTCCCTGGGATTACAGGCGTGCGCCACCACACCTGGTTAATTTTTTTGTATTTTTAGTAGAGATAGGGTTTCACCATGTTGGCCAAGCTGGTCTTGAATTCCCGACCTCAAGTGATCTGCCTGCCTTAGCCTCCCAAAATGCTAGGATTACAGGCGTGAGCCACTGCACCGGCCACTAGAGAACCTTAAATTGTTTTTATGATCAACTTTTTCAGATTCTGTCTCCTTTAAGACTCCTAAGGAAAACAGATTCTTCAATAAGGGTAGAGCAATCAAACTCATTAAAATGAGCCTAGGATCCTATCAAGCTGCAGAATGAGAAAACACCACCATATAAAACCCTAGACCTGTGCTGTTCACTACATTGGCTACTAGCCACATGTGGCTAGTGAGCACATGAAATGTGTTAAGTACAACTGAGGAACTGCATTTTACGTTTTATGTAATTTTAATCCATTTAAATTTAAAAATTGAAGCAGAATACGTGTTCCCTGAAACCCAATCTTATTGTGTCATGTTTTTGAATTTTGAAAATCTAGCATCTCAGTTGATATGTGCTGTAACCGTAAAATACACAGCAGGTTTCAAAGACATAGGATGAAAAAGAGAATGTAAAATATCTCATTTGTATTTTTATAATGGCTATATGTTGAAATTATATAATTTAGATATATTGGGTTAAATAAAATAGATTATTAATATTAATTTAATCTGTTTATAAAATTTTACATATGTGGCTCAAATTATATTTCTATTGGACAATACTGCCCTGGGGACAATAAGGGGAGAGGGAGGTGTAGACATATAAATATGCATGAGCATATTGTGGGCAATTAACAAATGTCCTTGATTGGGGAAGAGGGAAAGGACAGAAAAGATAAATTTTAAAAGAAATGAAACATAAAACACTTAGATAGTTGTAGAGTTAAGGAGAAAATCAAAGAAAAATGTAAACAACAGAACTAATTGGCCAGAAGAAAGTTCTTTCTAAACAGACAACCACAAGTTCGAGGAGCACAGTTCTCCTTATTTGAATGCCATGACATAGAAATTATCACAATATTAGTTTTTAATTCAAAATATAAACATGAAAACTTAAATTTCAGAGGAGTATTTACATGGATAACATCAATCCCCTGGGTTGTTAGGGTGCATTTATTCCTTTCAATTCTGATGTCTTTCTAGAAGTTGCAGGACCATTTGTTTTTAATGTGCCATTTTCCTGCACAAAAACCCTCAGTGGCTTCCCATGACCTTTTATGGCAAAAATCCAATTCTCTGGCGTGGTCTCCAGAGTACTACACAATACATTGTCAAAGACAAACAACCGAGAGTGGTGCATAGAGCTGGGGCTCATTGGGTGTCCTGGCAGCTCTTACCAGCTGTGTGTCAGCAAATTTGAAGGTGGTCCTTTTCTCATAAAACTGGGGAGTTGGACTAAATCAGTAGACCTCAAACTAAGGCTGTACGTTAGAATCACCTGGGGAACTTTTAAACTTCCAGACACCCAGGCCTCACCCAGATCAGTTAAATCAGTCTCTGGGGTGAAACCCAGCACTGAAATTTTTAAAAGCTCCGTGAGTAATTACAACGTGCATCCACATTTGAGAACTGGTGTCCTAGCTGATTGTTTTAGAATCATTTTAGGTCCAAAATTCTATGATTCTATGAACCTAGGCTAATCTTTCCAACCTTTCTACTATCCTGAACAACATAAATGCCCTCTTTCTCAGCTAGACAGATCTAATCAAAAGTATATATCTTGGCCGAGTGCGGTGGCTCAGACCTGTAATCCCAGCACTTTGGGAGGCTGAGGCGGGTGGATCACCTGAGCTCAGGAGTTCGAGACCAGCCTGACCAACATGGTGAAACCCTGTCTCTACTAAAAATACAAAAATTAGCTAGGCGTGGTGGTGCGTGCCTGTAATCCCAGCTGCTCCAGAAGCAAATCGCTTGAACCCAGGAGGCAGAGGTTGCAGTAAGCCCAGATCACGCCATTGCACTCCAGCTTGGGCAACAAGAGCGACACTCTGTCTCAAAAAAAGAAAAAAAAAAGTATATATCTCATCTAGTTTCTTAAAGAAGAAATCATCTTCCCTCCCGCCCAAATTCTGCACATCACTTCCTCCAGGAAGTCTTCTGTGCCCATTGATGCTTATTGTGTGCTCACACACACACTCTCTCTCTCATAATCCAACAGTTGTTTGTTACTTAAAACCACAGTAGCACTCACTATCTTGTGGTATCCCTTATATTTCTGTTTTGTATTATATTTTGTTTACTCATATTACTTAACTTTTATGTGGATATAGTTCTCATTTCCAAATAGCATTAAGTGCTCGGAGACAGCACTTTGGGAGGCCAAGGCGGGCAGATCACCTGAGGTCAGGAGTTCAAGGCCAGCCTGGCCAACGTGGTGAAACCCCGTCTCTACTAAAATTACAAAAATTAGCCGGGTGTGGTGACACATGCTGGTAATCCCAGCTACTCACTCGGGAGGCTGAGGCACAAGAATCGTTTGAACTGGAGAGGTGGGGTCAAGATCACACCACTGCACTCCAGCCTGGGCTACAGAGCAAGACTCTGTCTCGAAAAATAAATAAAAAAAGTGCTGGGAGATGCTCCATTACACTTTTTTGCATCCTGCGCTCCCTGTAACCAGCACCCTGAATATTGCTATGTTTGTATCAGGGGATGAATGACTATTGAATAAATGGATTAATTAATGGGTTCCTAAAATTTGAGGCCAGAATATTTAAACGCAGCCAACTAGAGGATAAAAAAGGTACTTGACATAAATTATTCTAGTGGTAGATTAACCAAATATTACTGCAAATACATTTTATCTTAGCCTAGCTCGTAATTTTTCATGATTCTACATTATACCATTTCCCTATAAAAGCTATTTTTCACAAAAAATAAGTTGATTTTAAACAGTTTCCTTTTCCTGCCATGGTGTTTACAAATGTGTGATTTTTATCACTGAGCTAATTGCTTGCCCACTCTGTTCTGATTAAACGTTTATTGTGGATTACTGATGCACTGAAAACCTTGCAGGGTATCAGCAGCTCATTTAGGGACCACCTATATATTTCTTTCAGCCAATAAGAAAATCTTGCCCCCTTCCCCCTCCTCCTATTCTAACTGTAGTGGCTAATAGAACATATTCTAATTCATTAGTCAAGTTCACTTTAGATCAACACAGCTGATCTAAATTCTAACATGAATGTTCATTCAATTCAAAAACCCTAAATCACTAACCCATCGTATGCTCATTTTGACTAAGCAAATTCTGAGTAAGTATTTATACAAACACATCCTCCAGTGCAAAAGGAAGTTTCAGATCTGCTGGCTAACCAGGAGCTAGTGTGTGGCGGATTAGTAGATTTGTGTTTATAAGGCAGTCTGAGCTCTTTTGAGGAAAAATGTAAAATAGGCATTCTCTCATATCCTTCCCTTTATCATTATCACTTACATAGTTCTCTGAGCCCAACTCCTCTATTAATAAGAGATCATTCCATTTGGAGTTTCCTGAAAATGCTGAAAGATCATTGTATTAAAAAAAAATGTAGCTGGGCACAGTGGCTCATACCTGTATTCCCAGCTATTTGGGAGGCTGAGGCAGGAGAATTGCTTGAACCTGGAAGGCAGAGGTTGCAGTGAGCGGAGATCGCACCACTGTACTCCAGCCTGGGCAACAAGGGTGAAATTCCGTCTCAAAAAAAAAAAATGTCAAGTAGGATTAGCCATGCTTCCACATGAGCATTGGTCTAGGAAGAAAACCAAGTAGTTATAAAGTGATTGGTGGTGTTGCCCTATTAAGAAGCATAAGATTTTGGCCTGTGCGGTGGCTTACACCTATAATCCCAGCACTTTGGGAGGCCAAGGCAGGCACATCACTTGAGCCCAGGAGTTTGAGATCAGCCTGGCCAACATGGTGAAACCCCGTCTCTACTAAAAATACAAAACTTAGCCGGGTGTGGTGGCGCATGCCTGTAATCCCAGTTACTCTGGAGGCTGAGTCACAAGAATTGCTTGAACCTGGGAGGCAGAGGTTTCAGTGAGCCCAGATCACATCACTACACTCCAGCCTGGGCAACAGAGCGAGACCCTGTCTCAAAAAAAAAGAAGCATAAGATTTGGGTTCCCGGTCTTTGCCCCTTCCCACCCATTTCCTTCAGGGGCTCACCTAACTCTTGGAAAGTCTTAGAATCACATGGGGGCCTCTGAGGTCACAGTCCCGAGTAGCTTTTTCTTAGTCTGGGACTTTTTCTGTTTGATTTTGAACTTGTCTGTGCTGTGATGGGGTGAGTGTGTGTCATGGTGAATTATCCCGTTAGTGTGCCTGGCTAGAATTGTTTTCATGTGTGTCAGTGGGGTGTTGGCGGGGCTTGGGGATCTGCTTAGTCAGTTTGGCTGCGGTGGTTTGATCAGAATGGACGGCAAAACCCCTGGTGTTTCATTTCTGTTATGAAGGGTTTTTGCTTGGCTGTTTTTGTTTTGTTTTTGAGGTTATAAATGATTTTTAAACTATTTTGATTGGCTTCTTGGACAATATTATGTTTGTTTATGTCTTTCCATTGGATAGAAGAATGAATTTTGTTTTTTTTTTAATTAGTTTGGGTGCCTGTGCCTGAAAAGGACAAGGAGTCCTCTTTTCCCCTCCCTTCTCACAGATGCAAGAGTGAAATAGAGTGAAGGCAAGGGCACTGCTCTGCTCTTTTTCTTGCCCCCCCATGGAAGGGTTTGACAAACAATTAACAACCCTCCCAACTCTGCTGCTGTTTCCCAAAATAGCAGCTCCTTTGCTGCCATGGTAGATGGAGGCCTTCAGGGGAGGAAGACACAAAAGTGCCCTCTTTATGAAGCCTGAACGTCTGTGAGATCTTGAAGGCAGAGGGGGAAGCCCAGGGGATTAAATTAGCAGGCAGCCCAACCTCCACCTGGAAGGGAAATAGATAATAGGCTTTAAAGACAGGAAACAGCTTGTGCTCCAAAATAATAATTTCCAAAAGCAACACATGATGGATCCTGAGAGAGTTTTCTTTCCCCTGACTTCATAATTTTGAAGCGAAATCGTCCTTTAAGATGTCGCTCAGCAAGTGAGTCAGATCTTCGGTATTCCTGCAATTCTGCTTCACCTTGCCCCCATATTTGGAAGGACTGTTGCAGCCAGCCCTTCTATAAGCCTGATTCTCAGTTACAGAAATTGCTCAGCATCAGGTCTTGAAGAGATCTGGTTAGAACCAAGACTGCTGCTGCAGCCGCCTCTCCTTCATTGTCGGCTTTGTCCTTCCTCCCTGTTTCCTTCTCTCCTTTTTCTGCTCTCCTCGCCTGCCACTTTTACTTCTTCCTCTTCATTGTCTATGAAAGACTCCCTCTCACACTCCTCCTTGTCAACTGGTACTGCCAGCCCAGGCTCTGTGGGTCCTGAAATGTCTCCTATCATGACTGGGGATGTGGATGGGAAGGGAAAGCACACAATGAGCTGAACGAGGGGAACAGACCCACAGCACGCCTTTGAGAAGGTCCAGAGCCGCAGGTGAAGAAGGACCATGGAGAAATGGAAGGACCAAACCGTGCCCCCAAAGTATCAACAGATTATACATATCAAATTGGAATCTGGATTTTGCTGTTTCTAAATTTCCTTGCAATATACCTAAAGGGAATTAAAGCAGCCATCAACAACAACAACAAAAAGAAATCTGTTTTATGAATGAATCCACAATCAGCCTCAGCTGCTCAAAACTACGATCTTGATTCCTTAGCATTGTGTGCATACCTCTACTCTAGCAATGACATTCTAGTTCCTACGTGAATCATACAACTGTGTCTTGATCATACAACTGTGTCCCTCTGGACTGGGACTTCCCTGGGGGCAGAGGGCAGGTCTTGCCCTGTGTGTATCCTCAGTGCCTAGCATAGTACTTGGTCCAAAGGAAGCACTGAAGTTGGAAGGGCCCTTTAAAGTGTTGGGGTGAGTGGATGGATGAACGGATGGAGAAATTAGATAGAGGAGGAAGACATTTGGAATACTCATAAATCATCTCCTTTTCACCCAATAGCCAGAAAAGGAAGTATAAAATTGGCAAGCTTTCTTCTGACAGGTAGGCAAAATGGAGAAATCCTGTTAACTTTGATGTTCCAACAGGACTTGCTCCTCGTATCTCCTCTTCAGCACCTAGCGCAATAGATGGCATGCACAGGGTTACTCTCAGTGCACATTTGTTGAATTAATGATTTAGAGAAGAAAACCAGCTATTGTCCCTTCAGAAGGAGGTTTCCAGAAAAGGGAATGGAGGAGCTCTGTATAGTGATGCAAATATAAAACGTTTTACGACATTGTCTTTCCCAGTCTTGACTCTGAAACATCTTAAAGAAGAAAAAAACCTCATGAAGAGAAGAGATATTTTTGGAGACCTTGGAAGGGCTCTTAAAATAAGGAGAGAGGAATAGAAATATATATGTGGTGTGATATTTCCAAAAGATCCTCCTTTAAAAGTGTCTGTGGCTGACTCAACTGTTAGACGTTTGGATCCAGAGATGCTTACCTTCTTTTTACTTTGGCAAGGACTCTGCATGATACATGGATATTAAGTAGGGAGGAAGGTCAGCAACGAACAGTTGGCAAAATAGAAGCCCAGCGAACATGGCTTCTGCTCTGACCCAGAGCAGGGTCAGGGAAAGGCTGTGTGAATCCACGAAGGAATGAGGTGATGCTAAGGAAATGCATGATTGTGCAGGTATATAACCAACATTCAGTGTAATGACACAAGAACTCAATCTGGGATGTGCCACTCAGCTAGCTTTAAGATTATTCATTTACCCAACCTGCCCCCTACACAAGTCAAGCCCAGAAAAAAAAAAAAAAAAATGTGTATGGGAGCTGAGATTTACATAGGCCAGGAGCCGTACCAAGTTTTGAACGCAGAAATTTGCCTGGGAGGTATTAGAAAGGACAGTTAATTGGTTGGCTCCTGAATGTGTTAATCCTGAGCAAAGCTGTGTCAGTACCTCATTAGCACATTAATTCTACAGACTATTCTTTGTAGTTCTGTGTCACTTAATATCCTGAGCATTTCTGGAGGTTTTTGTTTTTTGTTTTTTGTTTACAAAATCAGGTTGTATTGCAAACTGAGAGTCTTGGTTCAAAAGTCCTTCTTCAGGAACATTTTAGATTAAGAAAAGATAAGGTTGTAAATATATGTCTGAAATACTGAGCTTGGTTCTTTCTTTTCTGTTCAGAAAACCTGTGGCTGGTCTGGGTATTGTCATGGTTCCTCATCTCTTCTGGAAGCACACAATGAGAGGTGAGCAGCATTCCAACCCTGCCAGCTGTGCCAGAAATGGCATCCAGGGACGCTGAAGGATGCCGTGTCCTCATCTCCACACACCCATACCCTCTCTCTCAAAGGAGAAGGGGGTGCTCACAGTTCTCTTTTCTTTTCTTTTTTGAGACAGTGTCTTACTCTGTTGCCCAGTTGGAGTGCAGTGGCACGATCATAGCTCACTGCAGCCTCGACCTCTCTGGCTCAAATGATCCTCTGCCTCAGCCTCCTGGGTAGCTGAGACACAGGCATGTGCTACCATGCCTGGCTAATTAAAAAAAAAAATTCTGGAGGCAGGAGTCTGTGTTCCCTATGCTGGTCTTGAAATCCTGGGCTCAAGGGATCCTCCTGCTTCAGCCTCCCAATGTGCTGGGATTACAGGTGTGAGCAACTGGGCTGGTCTGCTCACTGTTAAGATACCGTCTTTACTCCAAAGTGATCTGCCAGTTCTTCAGTTGGAGCTCATTACCTCCATGGATTTTTCCATGTACCTTATTGTATTAGTCCATTCTCGCATTGCTATAAAGAACTACCTGAGACTTGGTAATTTATAAAGAAAAGAGGTTTAATTGACTCATTTCCACAGGCTGTACAGGAAGCATGGCTGGGGAGTCCTCAGGAAACTTATAATCATGGCGGAAGGTGAAGGGGAAGCAGGCATGTCTTACATGGCTAGAGAAGGAGGAAGAAAGAGCAGAGGGAGGAGCTACACACTTTTAAACAACCAGATCTTTTTTTCTTTTGAGACAGAGTCTGGCTCTGTCGCCCAGGCTGGAGTGCAGTGATGCCATTTTGGCTCACTGCAACCTCTGCCTCCTGGGTTCAAGTGATTCTCATGCCTCAGCCTCCTGAGTAGCTGGGACTACAGGCATGTGCCACCATGGCCGGCTAATTTTTATATTTTTGGTAGAGATGGGGTTTCACCATGTTGGCCAGGCTGGTCTTGAACTCCTGGCCTTAAGCGATCCACCTGCCTCAACTTCCCAAAGTGCTAGGATTACAGGCATTAGCCACCACGCTTGTCCTAAACAACCAGATCTTGTGAGTTGAGAACTCACTATCATGAGAACAGTAAGGGGGAAATCATCCGCCATGATCCAGTCACCTCCCACCAGGCCCCTCCTCCAACATTGGGGATTATAATTCGACATAAGGTTTGGGCGGGGATACAAATCCAAGCCATATCAGTTGTTTTTTACATATGCGATATTTTCTACCATTTTCTGCCTGCATGTCTTTCTTGATCATTAGATTAAAACTGATTCAAGGTAGGAATCTTCTCTCTTTTTTTTTTTTTTTGAGATGGAGTCTCACTCTGTCGCCCAAGCTGGAATGCAGTGGTGTGATCTCGGCTCACTGCAACTTCCGCCTCCCGGGTTCAAGCGATTCTCCTGCCTCAGCCTCCCGAGTAGCTGGGGTTACAGGCACCCGCCACTACGTTCGGTTAATTTTTGTGTTTTCAGTAGAGATGGGGTTTCGCCATGTTAGTCAGGCTGGTCTTGAACTCCTGACCTCAGGTGATCCGCTTGCCTCGGCCTCCCAAAGTGCTGGGAGTACAGGCGTGAGCCGTGGCGCCCGGCTGGGAATCTTTTTCTCAACCTGTATCTCTCCAGTAGAATCCAGCCTACTGTCTTGTATCTAATAGGCACCCCATAAATATTTGTGGCTTTGAATGTTTGCCAGATGGCAGAGGATAGTGGAAAAAGCATTGAATGAACAATGAGATTCGCATATGGAATTCTACCACTCGTTAGGCATGTGACCCTGTGCAAACCATAGCACTACACAGTCATCGGCTTCCTAATCTGATAAAAGAAAGGGGTTATCTAAGGTTCTTTCCACTGCTAACACGCTAGAAAAAGGGGAATGAAAAAGACTTTGAGTAGCCCAACTTTATTTGCCAAATTACTGGCAGTAGAAGAATATCTAAAGGAAATAGGAGATCAGGCACAGCGGCTCATGCTTATAATCCCAGTGCTTTCGGAGGCCAAGGTGAGAGGATTGCTTGAGCCTAGGAGTTTGAGGTTACAGTGAGCCATTGCACTCCAGCCAGGGTAACAGCGTGAGACCCTGTCTCTAAAAAAATAAAAATAAAAAATAAAGGAAAAAGAAATTAAGATGTTTCCTGTATGTTTCCATTGCCTATTAAAATCCCTGCAGTTCAAGTTCTAAACCAACACAATATAAGAGAACAGAAAGAACCATCATAATATTCCAGATGGTTAATTTAAAAAATAATTAATTCTCAACTTCAACCACCCAATAAAGATTCACTGATTGTCTACCATGTGCCAAGCACTATACCAGGACCTAGGAATACTAAGACAAGTAAGCCCTCATCCACTGGTGCCTTCATGAAGCTCATCTCCTTGTAGGGGAAATGGACAGGTGAGATTATAATAGAAATACATTTTAATCAGTCCTACAATATGACTATGTACAAGGACAAGGGTGAGATCAAAGAAGGCAAAGGTAACTCTTCTATGATGCAGGGCATGGGGACAAGGGGAGAGCTGGGGGCCAAGGCTTATGGTATCTGAGAAGGCAGCTTGAGCTGTTTTTTCTTCTATTAGTTGCAGAAGAGAATAATGTATAGAAAGATGGGAGTGGGTAGAGAGAGTGCCAGTCACCATTCAATCCTTAATGAAGTAGCATCTGCCCCCAAAACATGCTCAGGGCACCACATTTGTTATGTTGCTCACTGTGGTACCTCTGGCACCTATGACAGTAGCTGGCACATAGCAGGGGTAAAAAAATATTTGTTGAATGTATGAATAAAAATAGTACATTAAGGTATGGCATGGTGGCTCACGCCTGTAATCCCAGCACTTTGGGAGGGTGAGGTGAGTGGATCACTGGAGGTCAGACATTCAAGACCAGCCTGGCCAACATGGTGAAACCCCGTCTCTACTAAAAATACAAAAATTAGCCAGGCATGGTGGTGCATGTCTCTAATCCAAGCTACTCGGGAGGCTGAGGCTGGAAAATCGCTTGAAACTGAGGTGGAGGTTGCAGTAAGCTGAGATCATGCCACTGCACTCCAGCTTGGGTGACAGAATGAGACTACATCTCAAAAAAAAAAAAAAATTGGTTGCACCACAGTGTGAATGTACTTTACTGAACTGCACACTTAAAAATGGTTAAGACCTTAACAGTGAATTTTATATTATATGTATTTTACCACAGTGTAAAAGAACTTGCTTAAGATCACACAGCTAAGTAGGCTGGGTGTGGTGGCTCACGCCTGTAATCCCAGCACTTTGGGAGGCTGAGGCGGGCAGATCACCTGAGGTCAGGAGTTCGAGACCAGCCTGGCCAACGTGGTGAAACCCTGTCTCTACTAAAAATACACACACACACAAAAATTAGCCAGGAGTGGTTGTGCGTGCCTGTAGTCCCAGCTACTTGGGAGGCTGGGGCAGGAGAATTGCTCGAACCCGGGAGGTGGAGGTTGCCGTGAGCCGAGATTGCAGCATTGCACTCCAGCCTGCATGACAGAGCAAGACTCCATCTAAAAAAAAAAAAAATCACACAGCTAGTAAATAGAGGGGGAATCCTTGGCTGGCTGGCTGTGAAATCTCTGCTCCTTTCTTTTGGTATTGTTTTTCATTTTGTTTTGTTTTGTTTTTTGACCTTAGATAATGAAATGTTATTTCAAGGATACATGGAAATGTGAAGAGATACAGTGTGTCAATTGTATTATAAAGGATATCCCTGGCTGCAAGTAATAAATAATAGTGACTTGGGCAGTAACAAAGACATTTATTAGGCTGGGCTCAGTGGCTCATGCCTGTAATCCCAGCACTTTGGGAGGCCAAGGCGAGCAGATCACGAGGTCAAGAGATCGAGACCATCCTGGCCAACATGGTGAAACCCTGTCTCTACTAAAAACACAAAAATTAGCCGGGAGTGGTGGCTCGTGCCTGTAGTCCCAGCTGCTTGGGAGGCTGAGGCAGGAGAATCGCTTGAACCCGGGAAGTGGAGCTTGCAGTGAGCCGAGATCGCACCACTGCACTCCAGCCTGGCAACAGAGCAAGACTCTGTTTCAAAAAACAAAACAAAACAAAACAAAACAAAAAAACAAAGACATTTATGTGGCTGGTCGTCGTGGCTCATGCCTGTGGTCCCAGCACTTTGGGAGGCCAAAGTGGGCAGATCACCTGAGGTCCTGAGGTCAGGAGTCTGAGACCAGTCCAGCCAACGTGGTGAAACCCTGTCTCTACTAAAAACACAAAAATTAGCCGGGCGTGGTGCTGTGCGCCTGTAATCCCAGCTACTGGGGAGGCTGAGGCAGGAGAATTGCTTGAACCTGGGAGGAGGAGGTTGCAGTGAGCCAAGATCACGCCACTGCACTCCAGCCTGGGCGACAGAGTGAGACTCTGTCTCCAAAAAAAAAAAAAAAAAGACATTTATTCATCTTTTATAATAAGGAGTCTGAAGGTAACTACAATGATGTAATCAAAGACAAAAATCCTGTAATCTTTCAACTCTGCCATCCTCAGAGTATCTTCACTAATGGTTACAAGATGGCTATTGCAACTCTGAACATCACATCTTCACATGAAAATGTGAAAACATAGGAAGGGAAGGTGGAGGTACAAGGAATTCTCTCCTCACACAGTTCTTCCTCATCATGGAAGAAAATGTTTCCCAGAAACCCCTAAAAGATTTTCCTTTATGTCTCATTGGCTAGAATTTGGTCACATGTCTATCCCTAGACCAATCACTGGCAAAGGGGAATGGGAAGATACCAACATTTGGCTTTGACCAGTGATGATCCATCTCCTGTGGCTGGGCACCTTGCCACTCAAAGGAAATATCTGTTGTTAAAGGTAATCTGCTATGGCAGCCCTAAGACACTGATACTAGGGTCATTCAAACTGGCTGTGATCTCTACTTTTTTCTGTTCATACGTATGGTAGTCTATGAGGCTGAACTACAGCAGAGAGAGAGGAATAATTGGGAAAGATCTTGGGAGGGTCAGTAAAAAATGGGACCTAGAGTTTTAGGTGGAGGCTAAGGCCCCAGCCCAGGACAAAAATAGAACACCTCTACTGAGATTGTGATTGAATGGAAGAAGATAAAGGGAAATGGGATACAGGTCCATTTGTGGATGGAGGAGCTAAGGGACTTCTGAGAGCCTCAATTATCTTTGTAAAGTTGGAGGTAAGTGGGGTACTTTGTAAAGTAAGCAGGGAGCTTGAAGGGAGTGAAGAAACTTTGGAATAGCTGTTGTGGACAAAACTGACCAGGGTTAGACCTATTAAAATGCATGCCAAGAAAATTGAGATTCTGGCCATCATGTCTAATCAATATATGAATAAATTCCATGGGGAACTTCCCCTAAGGAAATATGCAGTGACTGAAGTTTGTTCATTAGATTGACTGGTACAGTCACAATGGGAAAGAAACGTTAGTTACACATCTTAGATAACATAAGCCCCCAAAAACGGGAGATTTACCTGTAGATTCAAGGTGCAGCCATGAAAAGCTAGACAAGAGCTGCTGCAAAGAAATCATCTTAAAACCCAACAATCAGAGTAATTGAAGTATAATCAGTCTTAAGTGGTAGCCCTCCTGCCTGTGCAAAAAGAGCTTAAAGTTCAAATCATCTCATTGAGCTGCTCACCACCAAGTGATGAGAATTTTCAGTCACGTAAGTAGATGATGGTCACCTTAGGTGGTGACGTCTTCAAATTATGGAAGATAGTAGCAAGATCCAGGAACCGAATACCTTGGGCTTTTTCTTCTATAGAATCTTTTTTTTTTTTTTTTCTTTGAGACAGAGTTTTGCTCTGGGCTCACTGTAACCTCCACCTCCCGGGTTCAAGCAATTCTCCTGCCTCAGCCTCCCAAGTAGCTGGGATTACAGGAACCCACAACCACCCCTGGCTAATTTTTGTATTTTTAGTAGAGACAGGATTTCACCATGTTGGCCAGGCGGGTCTCAAACTCCTGACCTCTAGTGATCTGCCCACCTCGACCTCTCAAAGTGCTGGAATTACAGGCATGAGCCACTATGCCCCGCCTAGAATCTTAAACCAGTGGAAACATCCCCAAAAATCCCCAAACAAATGATATTTAATATTATGATAGTGCCAAATTTTAATAGGACAACCTTTTCAGATTATTCCACTGTTAATGGATCCACTTAAGTATTTTTAATTTACAACTTACTGATTGCAAACTAAGTGCAATTTTTTAAAAAGAGGTTTTAGGTAGCTATAAAAGACACAGGTCACTTTAACTGGTCAATTTTATTATTTGGCTAGTCTTTACGGAACACTCTATAGCAATTAGTTTAATGTATTTAGTTAAACCAGATAATTACAAATATCCTAACAGAAATGAGGAGGTGCATTGTCCTTTAATTAAAAAAAATTTACTAGCCAGGTGCGGTGGCTCATGCCTGAAATCCCAGCACTGTGGGAAGCCGAGGCAGGCAGATCACCTGAGGTCGGGAGTTCGAGAGCAGCCTGACCAGCATGGAGAAACCCTGTCTAAACTAAAAATACAAAATTACCTGGGCGTAGTGGTGTATGCAAGTAGTCCCAGAGACTGAGGCAGGAGAATCGCTTGAACCCGGGAGGCAGAGGTTGCGGTGAGCCGAGATTGCACCATTGCACTCCAGCCTGGGCAACAACAGCAAAACTCCATCTCAAAAAAAAAAATAATAATAAAATAAAATAAATTTACTTTGAAATAATTATAGATTTGCAGGAAAGTGCAAAGACAACACAGAGAGGTTCCATGTACTGTTCACCAAGTTTCCTCCAAGGTTATATCTTACATAATTATGGTACAATATCAAAACCAAGAAATTGATATGGTTCAATATATGTGTATAGTTCTGTGTCATTTTATCACACATGTAGATCTGTATGACCACCACTGCAATCAGGATGCAGGACCATCCCATCACCACAAAGCTCTTTCTCATGCTACCCCTTCACAGTCTACTCATGCCCTCCCCTGAGCCATTCCTAACCCTGGCAACCACTAATCTGTTTTTCATCTCTATAATTTTGTCATTTTGAGAATGCTATATAAATGGAATTATATGGTAGGTGACCCTTTTGAGACTGGCATTTTTTACTCTGCACAATACCCTTGAGATTCATCCAAATTGTTGCATGCATCAGTAGTTCATTCCTTCCTATTGCTGAGTAATATTCCATGGCATGGATGTACCATCATTTAACAGTTCACTTATCAAGGGACATTTTGATTGTTTCTGGTTTGAGTCTATTACAAATAAAGCTGCTATGAGTATTCATATACAGATTTTTATGAGTACATAATTTTTCATTTCTCTAGGGTAAATGCCCAGGCATAAAATTGCTGGGTAAGTGTATATCAAGTTTTTAAAGAAATGGCCAAACTAATGGGTACAAAAAAACAAAGAATGAATAAGACTTACTACTTGATAGCACAATATGGTGACTATGTCAACAATAATGTAATTGTATATTTTTAAATAATCTTTCTTTCTTTCTTTCTTTTTTGTTTTTGAGACGGAGTCTCATTCTGTCACCCAGGCTGGAGTGCAGTGGCGTGATCCTGGCTCACTGCAAGCTCCGCCTCCCAGGTTCACGCCATTCTCCTGCTTCAGCCTCCCGAGTAGATGGGACTACAGGCGCCTACCATCACGCCCGGCTAATTTTTTGTATTTCGTTTAGTAGAGACGGGGTTTCACCGTGTTAGCCAGGATGGTCTCGATCTCCTGACCTTCTTGTGATCTGCCCGCCTCAGCCTCCCAAAGTGCTGGGATTACAGGCATGAGCCACCGCGCCCAGCCATATTTTTAAATTATCTAAAGAATGTAATTAGATTGTTTATAATTTAAAGGATGAATGTTTGAGGAGATGAATACCCCATTCTCCATGATGTGCTTATTTCATAGTTCATGCCTGTATCAAAACATCTCATGTACCCCATAAATATATACACAAAAACTTTATAAAAAGAAATGACCAAACTGTTTTGAGTTTTTCCACATCCTCACCAGCATTTGGTATTATCACTTCTTTTTGTTAAGAGACAAAGGTCTCTCTCTCCCTCTCGCTCCCCTACCCTCCATACCCCAAGCTAGAGTGCCGCTCGCCCGACAGCACAGGCTAGAGTGCTGTGGCACAAACACAGCTCACTGTATCCTTGACTTCCTGGGCTCAAGTGATCCTCCAGCCTCAGCCTCCTGAGCAGCTGGGACTACAGGCAGATTTCACCATGCCTAGCTAATTTTTTTTTTTAATTTTTTATAGAATCAGAGTCTCACCATGTTCCTTAGGCTGATTCTGAACTCCTGGACTCAAGTGATACTCCCAAAGTATCACTTTTGGACTCAAGTGATACTCAAGTGAGCCTACCAAAGTGCAGGGATTGTAGGTGTGAGCCACCGCACCCAGCCTTCTTTTATTTTAGCTGTTCTTAGAGATATGCAGTGATAGCTCATTGTGCTCTTAATTTGCATTTCCCTAATGACTAGAGATGTTGAACATTTATGTCAAGACATGAGGTTTATCATTGGTTTCAGGGTTTCTTTTGGCAAATCACTTTACTCACTCTAGCCTCAATTTTCTCATATGTTAAATGAGAAAATTGCCGGGCGCGGTGGCTCACGCCTGTAATCCCAGCACTTTGGGAGGCCGAGATGGGTGGATCACAAGGTCAGGGGTTTGAGACCAGCCTGACCAACATGGCGAAACCCCGTCTCTACTAAAAATACAAAAATTAGCTGGGCGTGGTGGTGGGCACCTGTAATCCCAGCTACTCAGGAGGCTGAGGCGGGAGAATTGCTTGAACCCGGGAGGCGGAGGTTGCAGTGAACCGAGATTGCGCCACTGCACTCCAGCCTGGGCGACAGAGAGAGACTCTGTCTCAAAAAAAAAAAAAAAAAATGAGAAAATTGAACTATATGACACTCAATGGGCCCTCCAGCTCTGCAATTCTGTGTGCCCATAGATCTACCCTGGGTGAGTTGTTTTTGCAAGGTGAGGGAGCTTATACTTTTTCCTTTATGCACCAGCATCTCCATATACTAAGAATCAACAAGTAGCGAATGTTATCCACGGGTTTCACTGACATGTCCATGAAATGTGTGGTAACTTGCTTCATTTGGCCCTTTAGGCCTTGTTCAGCCTTTAAGTCACATCATCAAAGTCAGAGGAAAAAGATTCAAACTTTCCTAAATTTATCAGGGCCTTTATTAATTTTTGATTCATTGCACAGATGTTTGAACTCCTTTGTTCCCAAGATTAAGTACAGAACATAGTGTCGGCGAAAAGAATCGAACTCTGTAAAATATTTGAAGAGATTTATTCTGAGCCAAATGTGAGTGAGTGACCATGGCCCAGGAGGTCCTGAGAACATGTGCCCAAGGTGGTCAGGGAGCAGCTTGGTTTTATATATTTGAGGGGGGCATGAGACATCAATCGAATGCATTTAAAAAATACATTGGTTTGGTCCAGAAAGACTGAACAACTCAAAGTGGGGGCTTCCAGGCTATAGGTGAATTTAAACATTTTCTGGTTGACAATTGGTTGAGTTTGCCTAAAGACCTGGGATAGATAGAAAGGGAATGTTCAGGTTAAGATAAAGATTGTGGAGACCAAAGTTCTTTTTAAGTCTTACAGTGGCTTAAAGACAATAGGGGACAAATGTTTCCTATTCAGATCTTAGTTAATCTTTTTAGGATTGGGAGGGTCTGGAAGAAAAAGATCTAGCTATGTTAATAGAGATTCTTTACAGATGCAAATTTCCCCTGACAAAGAACAGCTTTGCAGGGCCAATTCAAAATAAGGCAAAGAAACATGTTTTGAGGTTTAAAATATATATATATTTAAATTAATATTAATATTTAAATTACATTAAAATTGATATATTTAAATTAATATTAAATATATTACATATCATATATATATATGTTTTTTTGAGATGGAGTCTCACTGTGTCACCCAGGCTGGCGTGCAGTGGCGTGCAGTGGCGTGATCTCGGCTCATTGCAACCTCTGCCTCCGCTGGGTTCAAGTGATTCTCCTGCCTCAGCCTCCCGAGTAGCTGGGATTACAGGTGACTGCCACTGCGCCCATCTAATTTTTGTGGGTTTTTTTTTTTTGAGACGGAGTCTTCCTCTGTAGCCCAGGCTGGAGTGCAGTGACGCGATCTCGGCTCACTGCAACCTCTGCCTCCTGGGTCCCGGTTCAAGCAATTCTCCTGCCTCAGCCTCCCAAGTAGCTGGGATTATAGGCACACACCACTATGCTCAGCTAATTTTTGTATTTTTAGTAGAGACAGGGTTTCACCATGTTGGCCAGGGTGGTCTTGAACTCCTGACCTTGTGATCCGCCTGCCTCGGCCTCCCAAAGTGCTGGGATTCAGGCGTGAGCCACCACGCCTGGCCAGGTTAAAATATTTTGATTTTCTTCTTTGTCTGGTAATGTTATGTCAGAGTCAAGTTGGAAAATAAATCATGATATGTAGGGTTAAATAAAACCCATCTGATGAGAATTTATGATTTATAGAGCATGACTCCCCAGTCCCCTTAGATAAGAATTTGGGCAAGATAAAAAAATCAGAGTTTAGTCCTCAATAGTTTTAAGTGGATGACACCTCACAGTTTTGGTCAGGCATTGATGGAGTGGGCCTACTGTGTGCAGATAGGACAGTGCCCTGTGTGCAGATAGGACAGTGCCCAGACTCAAGACAGTGTCTTGAGTCTGAATCATGCCTCTGCCACTTATTAACTATATAACCTTGTCAAGAAATACAATTTATCTGAACTTCAACAAAATAATAATAATAATACCTGCTGCCAACGTTGTTATGAGGAATAGAAGTAATATATGTGAAGTACCCAGTGCATAGTAAGCACCCATAAATGGTGGCTGCGATTATATGGGACATGGGGAGCAGTCCCTGGAGAGCACGTAGAGGAAGACACATCCCAGATGCCATTTCTTTGCAATATGCTTGCACACACACATCTCCTTTAATCCCCACTTTGACACTGGAAGACAGGTATTGACTAGCCCCGGGTTTTATAAAAATGAGGCTCAGAGAAGTTAAACAACTTAAGATCACCCTGATACTAAGTGAAGGACACAGAATTCACATTGTGCCCTTAAGGGGTTTATAGTCCAGCCAGGGAGATAAGCCGAGCAGAAACAGATAAATACCAACACAGAATAGCTAAGTGTCAGTTGAGTGGCAGAGCTGAAAAGCACTTAGGCGTTTAGTAAGGGAATTATTTCTCTGAGGATAGGCTATCAGGAAGACAAAAGGAAACTAGAGGATTAGAAGTTCCTCTGTCTCACTGAACATCTCTGAGTTCCTTGCTGTCGCCATCGCCACTGCCTATGGGTCCTCTTAGCCCAGCCCAGCGGCTGCAGGGAAGGAGGCAGTGCTGAGCCCTTCATCCTCCCCATGTCCTTTGTTTCATGGCATATTTATGTGCAGGCCCTCCCATCTCACTTGAAAGTTTTATTCAACCTGTGTCTTCAGTATTACTATGAAAGCTCACTGTCAGAGTTGTATTTCTTTCTTTCTTTTCTTTTTTTTTTTTTTTTTTTTTTTTTTTTGAGACAGAGTTTCGCTCTTGTCGCCCAGGCTGGAGTGCAATGGTGCAATCTTGGCTCACTGCAACCTCTGCCTCCCAGGTTCAAGTGATTCTCCTGCCTCACCCTCCCAAGTAGCTGGGATTATAGGCACCAGCAACCACACCCAGCTAATTTTTTTGTATTTTTAGTAGAGACGGGGTTTCACCATGTTGCCCAGGCTGGTCTCGAACTCCTGACCTCAAGTGATCTGCCCGCCTTGGCCTCCCAAAGTGCTGGGATTACAGGTGTAAGCTACCGTGCCCCCAGCCAGAGTTGTATTTCTTCTGTTAGCAGAAAACCCAGGGACTGTTTTATAGAAATGCATTCTAGATTACAATCTCTAAAATTATTTTCTGTGATGTGAGCTTGATTTTTCTATAAGCATATGTCTGGGCCATTTTTGTACTTGCTAATTTTCAGAACATCATTGTGCTGTGTTGCCTACAGAGTCTGGCTTGTAGGAGCAGCAGTTCATTTTGTCAATATGCATATGTACTGAGTGCCTACTATGTGCCAGGCACTGAAGTGTCAGGCCTTATGGCGCATATATTTCATGAATGGTTGATTAACTAATGAAGGCCATAAGAATTT